>NC_000003.12:57888787-58191818 GCF_000001405.40 Homo sapiens
AGTTGTAGGAAGTGAATTTTAGGAATGGAGTGAAGTAGGACAGAGGACAGGTAGGACAGCTTACATTATACATCTTAATCAAAATCTGTTACTTTCTGTTTTTTTTTCTTTTTTTCTGTTTTTTTTTGAGATGGAATCTCGCTCTGTCATACAGTGGCGCCATCTCTGCTCACTGCAAGCTCCGCCTCCTGGGTTCACACCATTCTCCTGCCTCAGCCTCCCGAGTAGCTGGGACTACAGGCACCCGCCACCATGCCCAGCTAATTTTTTGTGTTTCCAGTAGAGACAGGGTTTCATCATGTTAGCCAGGATGGTCTCTGTCTCCTGACCTCGTGATCCACCCGCCTTGGCCTCCCAAAGTGCTGGGATTACAGGCGTGAGCCACTGCGCACGGCCCCTCTTTCTGATTTTAAAAAGTCAGAGACAAAGTGCCACATACTGCAAAGAGCCTATGAGAAATGAAAATTAAGAAAAGGAGCCATGGGCATTGGGAGACTAGAGGCTATAATGATATTGGAGCAGTTTCAATGGTTGAGTGGTGGATGTAGACCAAGTTGCAGTTGGTTGTAAAGCAAGAGAATAGAAAATTTTCTTCACATATATTACAAATGAATAAATTGAAGGAGACCAACTGACATACAGGAGTAAATAAGGGGACACAGAATAGATATATCCTCTTCAATGAAACGTGGAATATGAAAATATGACTTTAAATTATAAAAAAGTAGCATTATACATTTACAGAAAATCCCCCATAAAACAAAACAAAATTTTTTTATTTCTTTGAATAGCTTTTCTAAAATGATTCATTTACTGAAATACATTATATAGGCATCTCTGCTGAATTATGTCAGCAGAGAACAGTAAACTATCGATATAACTTAATTTTTATTACTTCTTCATTTGAATAAATACCTTTTCATAAATCTTTTATTTTAACTTAATAGCCTTGATCTAAAGAGGATTGCTTTATTTCTTCTGAGCCCTTTTTATAAAAATATCTAGGCTTTTAAAATAAGGTGAAAATAAAAGGCAAATTGTCTGCCTGCCCCTAGTTTTCTGCATTAACGTGATTGCTCCGTCATAGTTCCAGTTCTCTTAGTTCCCCTTCCAGATTCAAGTTTTTATTCAAGCTTGGTCATAGGAGTAATGTTATCATCTTTAAATTTGGTCATGGAATGTGTTACACTGCCCAGCTCAGGGAAATGCTGCTCAGTTTGGGCTTGGATGGTAACGTTTATTTTCCTTGGCAGAGAAGCTGATCGTCGAAGGGCATCTAACCAAAGCGGTAGAAGAAACAAAGCTTTCAAAAGGTTTGTTTTCTGTTTTTCTATGTTTTTTGACAGTTCTTTTGGATAATGAAGGTTAGTGTATATTTTCAAGGTTATAGTATTTTAACCATCAGTTTACTTCTTATAGCTCACAAAATAGCAAGCCAGTAACAGTATCAGATAATATATAAAATAATCAGACTTCTGTTTTAAGAAGGGTATCGTAACTGGAATGTGTCTTTTTAAGTGGATGTATATTTATGGTTTTTTGAATGTTAGTACTTGATATAGGTTTCTTTAGGTATTAAAGATTTGTTGCAATCTCTGTCATTCCCAGCATTAATTTCAGCTTTGATCTCAAATTTTAATCAAACACAATGTAAGTCGTTTGTGATACAACTTAAGTGAAACATGCTTGCACTTCTATTTTGGGGGTTACAGTACCTTTAAAATCTCTTATGATGTTTAATATTTCCTTAATTTTTGGCATCTCAGTTTGATTTAAACAAAATTAATGACTTTTGTGAATGTAGAATCTTCTTATATTTTATGAGTAGTCCAGTAATTGCCCAAAGTAGTTTATTGTGTTAATTCTGTTACAGTTGTCAGAGAAGAAAAGTGAGTTTTAAAGCACCATATTGTCAAGTCACTTTTATACATAGGGAAATTAGGCAAATAAATTTGGTGGCATGTGTTTATCATAGTAGAACTTTCATTAGACTATACCAGTATAAAATTTAAAACTAGATTCACAGTCCTTTTGGCCAATTAAAACATTGAGTTACAAAAGTTTGAGATACTTAATTTTAGTACATTCTATTTTATTAAAGTAACTGGATTCATTTGACTTTTTTAACCATGTAAGAGGATGGTGTTATTTCAAATATCTCGTGGTTTCCATTCTGAATTTTGTGCACGGCAGATGCCATATTTGGGGAAAAAATGCATAGAATATGCATCATTAATATTGTTTTGGCAAACAGGCATTGAGTTTCAGAACAGTGAACTATTTTTAGTACATATGGCAATTTTTTTCACCTTATTAAAGTGAGATGAGAACAGACCTTAAAATAGCTTTTACCTCACCATCCAAATACCTATTCAGATTAGTTGGTTGAATAGCCAGCACTTTGAAGTAGAGCCTTAGGAAAAAAAAAAAAAATGCTTCTTTAATTAAAATATCTTGCTATCTTATCACTTATATTTAATGCATTCTAAATTAGAAAATATTTTCTTGAAATTATGTTTTATCATTATTGGAAAAGTTTTGTGCATTACTGATTTCCCTTTTTAATTTATTGTTTTTATCTTATTGATACATAATGTGCATATTTTCAGGATATGTTTTATAGTTTGATACATTTAATGTATAAAGATCAAATCAGGGTAATTAGAATATCATCACTTTAAATATTTATCTTTGTATGATTTCCTTTTAAACCTGGCTATAAACTGTTTATTGGAAGTTTTAAAGAACATGCCTTTTGATCCAACAATTCCACTTTTGGGTTTTTAACCCTTTTTTTTTTTTCCTTGAGACGGAGTTTCGCTCATGTTGCCCAGGCTGGAGTGCAGTGGCACAATCTCAGCTCACTGCAACCTCCACCTTCTGGGTTCAAGTGATTCTCCTGCCTCAGCCTCCTGAGTAACTGGAATTATAGGCGCATGCCACCATGCCTGGCTAATTTTGTATTTTTAGTAGAGAATGAGGTTTCACCATGTTGACCAGGCTGGTCTCAAACTCCTGACCTCAGATGATCCACCCGCCTCGGCCTCCCAAAGTGCTGGGATTACAGGTGTGAGCCACCATGTCCGGCCTGGGTTTTTAATCTTAAAGAACAAATTGGACTAATGAGCAAGAATATTTATTTCAGTGTTGTTTAAAAGCAACAAGAGGAAAGCATTAGGGTCCATTAATAAGGGTATTTATTAAATAAATTATGGCAAATAAGTCCATGTAAATGAATAGAATATATTCTTTAAGAATAATACAAATATAAGTTTTAAATACTCAGGGATTTTTCTATCAGTAGTGAACATTTTACTAGCACCTTTCACAGTTAATAGGCAAAGATATGCTAATCCTTGTAACAAACCAGATGGCTGAAATAAGTTACATTTTAAATCGAGCTATAAAGTGTTTTCTTTTGGATTTGGCTAAATTGTCTTTAATTGGCAATGTTTTTGGTGGAATTTTCTTGTTTGGACTGAAAATAGCAGTTGCCATAAATGAACAATTACCGACTGTTACCAGTCTTACCTCTTCTCTTACCTCTAGAAGATGTATCACCTAATGCAAAATGTGCTTTCTGTTTAATCTCTAACTCAACTTGCAGTCATTACATGTCTATATATAGCTTTGGAGGTAGAGGTAGAAAGAATATGTGTAGATAATTCTACCACTAACTAGCTGTACACCCTCAGGCAACTTCAGTTCTTTAAACCTCAGTTCCCTCACTTGTGAAGTGAGATTGACAAAATGTGAGCCACCACTCATGGTCTTGTGTTTCATTCTTGAATAGATTTGATTTGCCTCTATGTAACTATAGTATCAGGACACAACATTGAGGATCCATGACTTGACTTGCTAAAAACTTGCTTTCTGGCCAACCTTGGTGACTCACACCTGTAATGCCAGTATTTTGGGAGGCCAAGATAAGAGGATCGCTTGAGCCCAGGAGTTCGAGACCAGCCTGGGCAACGTAACAAGACACTGTCTCTTAAAACACACACACACACACACACACACACATACACACACAAACTTGCTTTCTTTTTTTTTTTTTTTTTTTGGAGATGGAGTCTCGCTCTGTTGCGCAGGCTGGAGTGCAGTGGCTCAATCTCGGCTCACTGCAAGCTCTGCCTCCAGGGTTTGTGCCATTCTCCTGCCTTAGCCTCCCAAGTAGCTGGGAGTACAGGTACCCACTACCACGCCTGGCTAATTTTTTGTAGTTTTAGTAGAGATGGAGTTTCACTGTGTTACCCAGGATGGTCTCGATCTCCTGACCTCTTGATCCGCCCGCCTCGGCCTCCCAAAGTGCTGGGATTACCAAAGTTGCTTTCTTATTCAGAGTAGATATATGCTTTCAATCATCCTTTAAAAAAAAATACCTACTAGGTACTAGGCACTGTTCTGTGCACTGGGAATATAGCAGTTAATGAAACAGACATTCCAGCCTGGGCAACATAGGGAGACCCTATCTCTTCAAAAAAATAAAATAAAAAATTAGCCAGATGTGGTGGTGCACACCTGTGGTCCCAGCTAATCAGCACGCTTAGGTGGGAGGATGGCTTGAGCCCAGGAAGCCAAGGCTGCAGTTGTGCCACTGTGCTCCAGCCTGGGCAACAGAGCAAGACCCTGTCTGAAAAATAAAAAAGAAAGAAAAGAAAAAAAAAAAAACAGGCAATCTCTGCCATCAGGGAGTTATATTCCAATGAGATCTTGATGGAAAATTTGGCCCTACCTTTAAGGCAACTTTACCTTCCCAGCTAATACTCTAAATATAGAGTAAGAGTTCCTTCTAGGCTAGAAGAATACTTTTGCAAATATACTTCCTATTTACCTAATATTTTAATCCTAAAATTGCCAAAAATATTAAAATCAGGGAGAGCTGTTTTCCTGTTTTCCTTTTTGTTCTTCCAGAGTGGTTCCTTTTGTAACCATATATGGAGATTAGATGTATTAGCCTCTTTTATTTGAGAATGTAACTTTGTGATCGAAACTAGAACATTCAGAAATGTCTGATTTTAGCATACTATGAATGCAGCAGCGGTCACAGATTAGATTCCCATGGGCCTCCATGGCCAGTGACTTCACTTCTAATCTAAGTTCCCCGTCACTAAGCAGTTGACCTTTGACTACAAATGGCAGTGAGAAAAGAAGCAAAGACTTCTTGAAATTCATCACCCATTTCACAAGTTAAGCCACAAATTCTGGGGGTATTCTTATATGGAATAGCCATAACAAGTTATATTTTAATGTTGTATTAAATATTTTGACAGTAATGGTTTTAGATGTGTTTCTAATTTCTTTCAAAATAGAAAATATATTTTAATTTCCTTGATTTTAAAACAATATATATATATATCTACAAATTTTTCAGTGTATGACTATGTGAAGTTAAAAAGTAAATGTCCACCATGTCCCTATCCCCAAAAATAACTAATGATGTCTCTGTTGTAGATCCTTCCAGACCTTGAATAAATATATGCAATTAAAAATTCATAGATAAATGTATAACTATTTTTAATCTACATGGGGTCATATTATACATACTGCTCTTTATTAGGCTTTTTACTTAGTAGTAAATATATCTTGAATAGTTTTCATTCCATAATATATGTATTTCATTTTCCCATAATGAACAATACTTCAGTGAGCATTATGTATCGCATATGTGCTGTGTTACTTCCTTTAGGAAAAGTACTAGAAGTGGGCATGCATGTACAAACAGTGAAATCAGGTCTGTAACATTATAAAAATATATGCTTTATAAATTTATAATCTCACTAAGGAAAGAAGATATATACATATACACAGAATAATACAAAATAAAGTATGATTAATTGAGGAAACAAAAGACACAAAGATACAATTAAAAGGAGCACCATGGTGGAGAAATGAAGACTTCCTTAGAGTTGATGGGACTTAAACTGTATATTACAGAATGAATAGGCCAAGTAGAGAAAATGGCTCTTTTGAGGTTAGGGAAATATTGAATCAAACAAATAATTGCAGGACATAATGCAGGCATGTATTAGCCCTATAATGAAGCTAGCATGACCAGAGCAGAGCTCCTGTGGGAAATAATGTAGGGACCAGATTACGGCTAAATTCTGCTATGTAAAGCTTGACTGAGGCCTTGTGGAGAATGGGGAGATAGGATTTCCATATAGGATTTCATTCAGAGAAATGACATTTTCTGCAAATGCTACCCTAAAGAATGCCATAGGCCAGGTGTGGTGGCTCACACCTGTAATTCTAGCACTTGGGAGGCTGAGGTGGGAGGATTACTTGAGCCCAGGAGTTCAAGACTAGCCTAGGCAACATAGTGACACCCCCTCTAAAAAAAAAAAAGAAAGGAATTCCATAGTATGTACAGATGTGCCATTACAGATGAGGATCTGGGGCCTAATTAATTGCCAGTCATCTTTAATAAACTATTGGGCCTATAGTTAGGATTTCTGAGGACAGTTCTTTGAAAATTAGGCCTAAGATGGCTTCATTGGACCAGGCAGAAGACCTCTTGTAAACAATTTCAAAACTTTTTTTTTCTTTCTTTCTTTCTTTATTTTGAGACAGAGTCTTGCTCTGTCACCCAGGCTGGAGTGCAGTGGCACAATCTCGGCTCACTGCAACCTCCACCTCCCGAGTTCAAGCAATTCTCTGCCTCAGCCTCCCGAGTAGCTGGGATTACAGGTGCCCAGCACCATGCCCAGCTAATTTTTTGTATTTTTTGTAGAGATGGGGTTTCACCATCTTGGCCATGCTGGTCTTGAACTCCTGACCTCATGATCCATCCACCTCAGCCTCCGAAAGTGCTGGGATTACAGGCGTGAGCCACTGCGCCTGGCCCTAAACTTTTTAAAAAGTTTTTTCTTGGCCAGGTGCAGTGGCTCATGCCTGTAATTCTAGTGCTTTGGGAGGCTGAGACGGGAGGATCAGTTTAGCCCAGGAGTTTGAGACCAGCCTAGGCAACATAGCAAGACCTCATCTCTACTAAAAATTTAAAAAAGATATCTGGGTATAGTGGCATGGTCCTGAAGTTCCAGCTGCTCAGGGGGCTGAGGCAGGAGGATCCCTTGAGCCCAGGAGGTCAAGGTTGTAGTGAGCTGTGTTTGTCCCACTGCACTCCAGCCTGGACAACAGAGCAAGACGCTGTCTCAAAAAAAAAAAAAAAGTTTTTTCTTACTGTGATTCAGGGACAGTTATCTTTAGAAATAAAAGGCTGTTAATTTTCTTATTTTAAGTGGCACTTTTTTATAAGAACTGATCGTGGTTTTTTTTTAAGAGTTTTATTATTTGAGTACAAATCTTACTAAAGCAGCCTTCTTACTAGTGTTTTTATGTAACAGAGCCTTCTCCTTTAATCATCTTTATACAGTGTCTGCATTGTCCTGGGAATTGTACTATATTTGTTGCAGTTCTTTGAATACTTTAGCAAAGCTTGCTTCGTTTTTGTTTCCAGTTGGCAAGTGGACAGCCTTGAACAAAAGCCCCAGCCCTCAGCAAAGCAGACATGATCCACATTATAATTTAATATGAGCTACGTGTAATAACCAGCATTCCATTTTGGACAAGGGTGGTGAAGAAGTAAGAGATTCAGTGACCTGACCTATTTTAAAAGTACTTTGCGTACCTGTAGATTTTGAGCATTCATAGCCTGAAGCAGTTTTATTGATATAAGATATTTAACTGTAATAAGATTTTACTTTTATTTTTTTCTTGGTAGAAAATCAGACAAGAGCAAAAGAATCTGATTTTTCAGATACTCTGAGTCCAAGCAAGGAAAAAAGCAGTGACGACACTACAGGTGAGTTTTAACCTAATGTTTACAGACCTGCAGCTGTTAATGGCAGTTTAGTTATATAGGTCAATGTGAGTGGAGATTTCAAAGTATGTGTTTGGGGAAAAAAAAAACGCTTCCATTTATCAAGTCATCCCCTTTGAATGCTGGATATTTTGTTAAAACTACTTTCAACTACCCGAATATAATAGCTGTATCAATTCCAATTGTTTGTTTTGATAACAATAGCTTGCTGATAGATCTGAATACTGTCTGTAATTATATATGTATTTTTTTCCTCTCTGTAGACGCCCAAATGGATGAGCAAGACCTAAATGAGCCTCTTGCCAAAGTGTCCCTTTTAAAAGGTACTTTAACATGTTTTTATGACATCGTAAACCAGGGTATCAAATCACCCTTTGCCATAAAATCTGTTCTAGATATTATGTGAAGTTTTAATTTTTAGTTAAGAGATTAAGATAGGTTCTGTAAAGTAGCAGGGACTAAAAATTTAAAGTTTTGGTGTTTATACCCAATATTTCAAACTATTGTTGAATAATTTGGATCAGTCAAGATTACGAGGGACAAAGTGTTAAGTGGTAGAATATGAAATGCAGCTGTGTTTTTTGTTTACCCTTGTGTCTCTAATAGGAATTTATTAGCGCTTTTAACATAATTAGAATAAGGTGAAAATCTTAACTTTCTTGAAAGACTCACCGGTTTACTCTGTTATCATATGGTAGCAGTTGTAAATTTCCTTATTTTCTGGTCTTCTTCATCTTCTAATAAATATCCCCAGGTTCTTATGACACTCTTCTAGAAATTTTGGGCTAAGAAACTTTAGGTGGATGGCCAGGCATGGTGGCTCACGCCTGTAATCTCAGCACTTTGGGAGGCTGAGGCAGGTGGATCATCTGAGGTCAGGAGTTTGAGACCAGCCTGACCAACATGGAGAAACCCTGTCTCTACTAAAAGTACAAGATTAGCCGGGTGTGGTGGCGCGTGCCTGTAATCTCAGCTACTCGGGAGGCTGAGGCAGGAGAATTGCTTGAATGCAGGAGGCAGAGGTTGTGGTAAGAGGTCATGCCATTGCACTCCAGCCTGGGCAATAAGAGCAAAACTCCATCTCAAAAAAAAAAATGAAAAAAAGAAAGAAATTTTAGATGTTGATAAGATAAGTAATGCATGTAATTAACTCTTTGTCTCACCTCTAAACAGGAAGTACATTTCTTGATATTTACTTGTTTAGAATGAAGTGGGTAGAAAATAAATCAGCATTTATAAAAATGTTTTTAAAATAAAGTTCCTTGGGGATAGTTTACTGGAAAATTGTCAACATTCAGTCTCTTTTATGTTGCCTTATTGTACACAAGAAAAATTGACATATGTTGTAAGTTCAGCCCAGTGGGTTTATTAAAAATGTTGGTAGTGGTGTACTAACACCAGACAGCTCTCTGGGATCAGAGTGACAGTAGCAGCCTGTGGAAATTTCTCTTTGTGGAAGTGCCGATTTTTCTGGCTGGACTAATAGGGAATCTCCTTGTCCAGACCCCGAGCTTTGGGATTATATAAGGAAGGAGCACTCTTACTGATTTGTACTCTTCTTAGGTGATCTTTGGTGTTGATAAGACATGCTTTTTTTCTAATGTCATAATAATAAATATAAGTTAATGTTGGTATGATCCAGAACTCTCATCTCAGAAATGCAATACCATTATTGTGTAAAATGTAGTTACTGATACTGAAAGAATGTCAGACCCTATGGGCCTTTATGGGAACGTGGAGAAAAAAGAAGGGAGGTAAATGAGTAATGAACACACCCATACAAAAGTAGCCCTCTTTATGGTCTTTTGCACTACAGAACTCTCTTTTTTCTTTTTCTTTTTTTCTTTTTGTAGGTACATAGTAGGTGTATATATTTATAGGGTACATGAGCTGTTTTGGTACAGGCATTCAGTGTTACAGAAATCTTTTCAATAGCCAACTTAAGATTGAGTATAGTGTTTATGATTGTGTTAATTGTATTCAACTATTATTAGTGCTTTTGTGATTTTTGTCAGTCTGTTTTAGATTTGATTTTTATCCCATTGCCTACCACAATGCAGGTATTCAGTAAAACTCAGATATTTGATGAATTAATTGATAATGGACTTCTTACATTAAAATTATAAAGACACAAGAGCATTAGGAAAGTAACACTAGCCACAAAGCTAAGAGCCAAAGAACTCTGGGTTCAGTCATAGGTTTGCCATTTATTTGTAATATGTCCTTGGCAAATTGCTTAACTGCTCTGTGATTCAGGGTTTTTTCATGTATTAGACTGGCGAAAACCAACTTTATAGGTTTATTGTGAAGATTGAATGAAAGGGTGTGCATGGACCACTTACCATGGTGTTGGGAACATAAAATGTTAACCACCATAATGAAGACACTGATCATGATGATGATGGTGATTGATAAAAGCAGGCCTATCTGTTGAAGGACTCTGAGTAACTCCATATTAATTGAATAAGATTGTGGAGTTTTAAAATTATTTCCTATAGTATTTAGGAACAAGGATTTGTTTGTAATGGATTTTTTCTAATTAGTAATGCATTTATTTGTTTGTTACTTGCCAGATAATCAGGAAAAAATATTTTTAATCCATGAGTAGCACCAAACAGTATCTATAAAAGTACTCACAATATAGCCTGGGAAGTCAGACTCAAGGAACAGGGAATGAAAGGGGAAAGATGTAGGAAAAGATTGGAAAATACAAGATGCATGTGGAGCTGGCGGCCTGTGTGCAGATGCTATTAGTAATTGCTTCAGGTGCCATTGATGAAGATGGGTCAGAGTTTCCCTAACCTTGCTTTACGTTAAGGTGAAAGAACTTCTAAAACTTTTCTTTACATTTCTGTATGATTGCCAACTTTTTTGTTAATGAAGTAGTATCTTTATAAATACCTGCTGAAAGATTTTGTGGCTTGATTTTATTTTTATGAATTTTTTTACTTATTTTGTTTTGTTTTGTTTTTAGAGACAGGGGTCTTGCTAAGTTGGTCAGGTTGGTCTTGAACTTCTGAGCTCAAGCGTTCCTCTCACCTCAGCCTCCCACCTCAGCTTCCCAAGTAGCTGGGACTACAGGCATGCACCACCCTACCCGACTTGTTTACTCTTTCACTTTGTTTCTCTTTCTCTCTCTGTCTCTCTCTCTTTTTGCAGCTTGATTTTAAGAACAGACTGTCAAGTCAGTCAGTGATTGGATGTAAAGAAAAATCATCTAGGTAGAAGGAGGCATATTTTAGAAGAGTCTCCAAGAGATAATTATCATAGCCCTTTATGGTCATTATTATTTTTCTTTTGTAAAGTTTCTCTTGTAAGAGTTTTACAAATTCTTAAAAGTGATGTATTACTGGTACTTTTTAGAAACATTTATGTTATGCTTGATTATGTGTGGTTATGGTTTGTATCTGTATAATTAGGTTCAATAGACTGACATAATTTTCTCTTAAAAGTATAAATTACTAGACAACAGTGTTGACCTTTACAGCTATATAAGGCAGCTACATATAAGTAGCCTCTTTATTTTCCTCATTCAAACTTTGTGCCTGACTTCCCGAACCATTATTTTCAAGTTTTTTTTCCCCTTTTTTAAAAAATAGCCAATCTTTTTCTTTAGATTTATTGTGTACGACTTGTCACATTTGTCAGCTAGGACAAGGAAAATAATAATAAACATTCATTATGAGATAAAATGATGATAGCAGTAGTACCTTTTCCCTGATATAGTAATCATTTCTATCTATTTAGTTACTTTTAAATGAGAAATAAGTTGATCAAACCATGTTTTCTGTATGCTTGAAACCATCTCCCATAAAACGTTTTTTAAAATTGGAATTCACTTCAAATCATGTCTGTTGCAAATTTGCTCTGTTTGGGGAACCTTGCCAGGGACTGCAGTGGTTTTAAAGTCTAATAAGACTGTCGGGCCGGACGTAGTGGCTCATGCCTGTATTCCCAACACTATGGGAGGCTGAGGCGGCCTGATCACTTGAGCCCAGGAGTTTGAGACCAGCCTGGGCAACATGGCAAAACCCCATCTCTACAAAAATTAGCCAGGCATGGTGGTGCATGCCTATAGTCTCAGCCACTCAGAAGGCTAAGGTGGGAGGATCACTTGAGCCCAGACGGCAGAGGTTGCAGTCAGCCCAGATCGTGCCACTACACTCTAGCCTCGGTGACAGAGCAAGACTCTGTCTCAAAAACAAAAGCAAAAATCTATCCTCTGGATTTAAGGAATTTCAAGGCAAATTAGTGATAGTACATTTTTTAAAACTTTGTATTTTCCTTGTGCCTCAACATCCCCACAAACAGGCCGTGAACACTCTGCCCTGGCAACCAGATGCACCAGTATGATAAGGCTGGTCCCTGCCACAAGTTCCCCTTCATAACCTTCCCTGGCAGTGCCCTAGTGAAATTTAACGAAATCACCTCATGCCTTTTGTTTGTGTATCCTGACCCCCAATACAAGCATTTGCCTACAGGTCCTCACTCTATCAGTTATACCTATTTGGCTGAACCCATTCTTTGGGCTTCTCCCATATGGTTCCCTGCATGGTGTACCTTGCCTCCCTCTCTAGGACCTTTGAGTATAATAAATCCTTTAATTTCATTTACCTCTCCAAGTATAATTCCCACAGCTATGTTGGAGTGATCCTTGAGGACCCCACAGGGAGACTTACTCCCTCCCCCATTTACCACACAGAGAGTTATAGATGATAAGCTGATTATTGGTGGTTGTTGCCATCAGCAGTCAAAGAAAAGAGAATGCCCAGGGTTTTTTTGTTTGTTTGTTTGTTTCAGAGGATAGAGAAGAAAGGCATTTTGAGTTTCATGGGACAAGAGTCATTTGAAATGACTCTATAAATAGTGTGTCTTACCATATGTGATATATTCAGTGATTAAGAAAAACTAAACCTAAATCTGATCAAGACTCTAGCTCCAACTGCCAGTTTGCAGGACATACAAAGAACTAGGCACATATTCTAAATGATGTGATGGGGATACAACCAGCAAAATCCAGAATGTGGAAGATTCTACAGGACATACAACCCAGTTTCTTTAGCAATTAAATTAGAAGGGGAAAAAAAGGAAAGGGGATGGGGGAAATCCTATAAATTAAAAGAGATTTAAGAGTTATGTCGGCCAGGCGTGGTGGCTCACACCTGTAATCCTAGCATTTTGGGAGGCCAAAGTGGGCAGATCACTTGAGGTCAGGAGTTCGAACCTAGCTTGGCCATCATGGTGAAACCCTGTCTCTACTAAAAATACAAAAAATTAGCTGGGCTTGGTGGTGCACACCTGTAATCCCAGCTACTTGGGAGGCTGAGGCAGGAAAATCGCTTGAACCCGGGAGGCAGAGGTTGCAGTGAACCAAGATCATGCCACCACACTCCAGCCTGGGTGACACAGCGAGACTCCATCTCAAAAAGAAAAAAAGAGAGAGAGATGTCAACTAAATATAATGTATGAACCTTGTATGAATCTTCATTCAAACAATTCAACTGTAAAATAAATTTGGAACAATGGAAAATTTTAATACTGACTGAATATCAAACAATTAAGAAATTGCTGATTTTTTCCAGTGTGATCATAGTATTATAGATATTATTTCTTTTTAGTCTTGTCTTAAACATTTTAGAGTTTTTTTATATTTACATCTATAAAATATTTTAAATGGGTAGGATTACAAGAAGAGTAGATAAAAATACCTTCTTAGAAAAAGGAAATATTAAAAATCACAAGCTAGATCAAATGGGTTTGGTTTGAGGATTGATAAGTATAATTAAAGTTTGTTCACATAATCCTTTGAGTGTTTTGTAAGATAGAGTGATCATTATAACAATTCAGTGGCTTCTGAGCACAGCAATGATATGATCAGATCTGCATTTTGGGGAGGTTTATTGAATGAACTGGAGTGGATAGAGGCTACAGGTAAGGCAGTCAAGAGGCTTAATCATTTGAGAGTCTGAACTAGGGTAATTACTGTGGAAATTTCAGATAGCAAAAACCACTTGGGGCCTTGGTAATCTTATCTAGAATCCATTGGCCTGAGACATTAAATATGGGAGAGAGATGGAAGTCAGCTATGACTCCAGCATTTGACCCTGAGTGACTGAAAATTTAGAAATATTTATTTCTGGAAGAAAAGGTGTCCTGGTGGTAGCTGTGATGGTTTTAATTTGGCACATGCTAAACAGGAAGAGTGACCATGGGTTTGCCTGGAACCATTTATGGCTATTGTCCCAGCATAATTATCGTCAAAAGTGCTCTCTTTCATATTCAAAGCTGTCCCAATTTTATACGGTCACCCTAGGAACTGGAGATGCAGCTGGATGTGCAGAACAGAAACTAGAACCAACAAATCATTTTCATTTATTTCTCAGATGTTTTATTGACCTGAGAGATACAGAGATAAGATACACAAGAAGGCTATAGACAGAAGATAGGAACTAGGTTTGGAAATTCTTTGCACAGGGGTGAACAGTGGTAGCAGAGGGAGTTTCTAGTGAAAGAAAAGAACAATGGTGAAAGTAAAAGAGCCAAAAAGATCCAGCTGTTGAGAAGGAAGCTGGCAGTTCAGAAAGAGTGGCAAAGGGGTAAGAATTGACAATAAGAGGCTGCTACCTTAAGCTATTTGACATGGCCACACGTACCCACAATGGAAAGATGATCTTCCTGCATTGTGAAGGTTGTTCTCATCAACCAAGCCTGCAATGACTAGACATTCTAAAGAGAAGAGTGATGGCAATGGAAAGAGGACACATCCACTTGCCAGGTCACTTCTATCAGTTGATGACATGCCATATGTTATGGCTAGGTCAGCTTTCCACAAGTATGCACATGCAAAATAGAACTTGGGAAAAAAATCTTTGATTTGGCCCTTTACCAAGTGGATCAGTGTGTCAGAGTTCAGTTGAGCAAAGGTCAGAGTTTAAGTTGAATCTCCAGTCACTCTTTTGAAGATATTTGGTGATGCCAAATTTAATTTAGGATATTATGTAGGTAAGTATTCTGTCAGTTCATTTATAGTGTGAATTTACAGGATTTAGCCTTAGTCCGAGAAAAACTGGCCCCTGGCCCAGACTATACACCAGGCAGTTCTAAACATATACAATTCATGTTAAGGAAAAAACAGATTTACAACTTACATTACTCCTAAATAACATTTATTTCCATGTGACTTGCATGTCTAAATAAAATGAATTTGGCTTAGTAAGGCTTTCATTTATCTTCATCTAAACGCTTTTCCACCAGTACTCATCACAAGACTCCCCAAGGTTATGAAGCAGATTGATATAGAAACTCCATTTCTAGGACAAAAACGAGGCACCTTGAGAATGGACCCAAGCCATAATAAACTAGTAATGCATTTTCCCACACAACCATATAAAATACAGTGAGCCCTTGATCAACCTTTGCACAAAAAGAATTGCTCATTAAGTCTTTGATTTTTTAAAAAATGGCACTTGGTTTTCTAGAAAGAGGATCTGCACACTAACTATTCGATTTGTTTGAATATAGTCAGATTATTATGTCTGTGTTTATTAGGCTTAATTTGAAAAGATTTTTGGTTAGTATCTCCACTTCTATGATCAAACACTATAGAGTTCAAGACCAGCCTGGGCAACATAGTGAGACCCTGTGTCTACCAAAAAACTACAAATCTTAGCCAGGCACAGAGGTACATGCCTGTAGTCTGAGCCATTCTTGAGGCTGAGGTGTGAGAATCGCTTGAGCCCAGGAGGTAGAGCCTGCAGTGAGTAGACATTGTGACACTGCGCTCCAGCCTGGCCAACAGAGCAGACCCTGTCTTGAAACAAAAGAAAACAAAACAAAGAATCAGTTGCAGACATGATAGCCTTTATGCTTAAATACCTCAGTATACATTTCTTATTTATCTTATGTAACTACCATACAATTCTCAAAATTAAGAAATTAACATGGGTACATTACTATTCTCAAATCCAAATACCTGTTCACATTTTGACAGTTGTCTCAGTAATGTTCTTTATGACATGGCCCAGCATGGTAGCTCATACCTGTAATCCCAGCACTTTGGGAGGCCGAGGATCACTTAAGCCCAGGAGTTCGAGTTTATCTCCCAGGGGACATTTGGCAATATCTGGAGACATTTTAGTTGTTGTAAACTGGGGTGTGGGCCAGGGTGGAGGAGGGGTACTGAATCTAGTCGATAGAGACCAGGAAAACTACTAAACATTCTACAATTCATAGGGTAGTCCCACAGCAAAGAATTTATTCAGCCCTGGTGCAACATAGCAAGACCCCATCTCTACAAAAAATTAAAAATTTTGCTGGGCATGGTGGCACGTGCCTGCAGTCCCAGCTACTCAGGAGGCTGAGGAAGGGGGATAGCTTGAGCCCAGGAGGTCAATTAAGGCTGCAGTGAACTGTGATGGCACAACTGCACTCTAGCCTGGGCAACAGAGCAAGACCCTGTCTCAAAAAAAGAGAAACCAAGATCTAAATGTTTGGTGTCCTCATGGCTACTGGTGTATAATTGCTTCTAGGCCCACTCAGTGGACAGACTTAAGAAGTGTGTGTGTGGTTCTGTGTGTATGCAGTTGCACACATATCTATATTTATTTCTATATATTTCTCTATATCTCCAAATCTATTCGAGTTCATACCCTACACCAGAGGATTAATCCTTTTTTTTCTTTTTCTTTTTTGATACAGAGTCTCACTCTGTTGCCCAGGCTGGAGTGCAGTGGCATGATCTCGGCTCACTGCAGCCTTGGCCTCCTGGGTTCAAGCGATTCTCCTGCCTCAGCCTCCCAAGTAGCTGGGACTACAGGTGTGCATCACCAAACCCAGTTAATTTTCGTATTTTTAGTAGAGACGGGTTTTACCATGTTGCCTAGGTGGGTTTTGAACTCCTGACCTCAAGAGATCTGTCTGCCTTGGCTTCCCAAAGTACTGGTATTACAGGTGTGAGCCACTGTGCCCGGCCCAGGGGATTAATTCTATCTTACCTGTTTTCATATCTGTAATTTTCTTCTTCAACAGTGAGAAAAGTGGCTTCATTTATCTGCAACGTATTTATTTGAGCCTTTTTAGAATACACAGAAAGTTGTTTCAGAATTAATAGCCAGTGCTTTTGTAGAAAAGAAACCTGTGTATAAAATTTTTTTTGATTATCAAATTATTAACATACAGCAATAGTCCTCAACACAGGACATTTTACCTCCCAGGGGACATTTGGCAATATCTGACCAGGAAAACTACCAAACATCCTACAATTCATAGGGTAGCCCCACAGCAAAGAATTTATTCAGCCCAAAATGTCAGTAGTGCTGAGGTTGAAAAACTCGATCACAGAGCAAGGAAAATACCTACTCAAGGAATTAATGTCGATGTTTTTGTCAAACCACTTGAATGTAAGATGCAAGCATCATGATGCTTCTCTTCTAAATACTCCTTAAAAAAAAAAAAAAAAAAAAAGAGCATTATCCTATATAATGACAAATCCAGAAACAGGGGCCAGGACCTTTGCAGACTCCAGTGGATAGTGTTGAAAGAGCTGTGAGAGAAGTTTTGTAGCTAATGCAACAGTGTTTCTGCCACTGGAAAAATCTCTCTCTCTACATGCCCCTTCCCTGGCCCAAAGACCTTTTGAAGGAAGAATTGATAAGTTGACTAGAGTAGCTGAACCCAGAATCAAATTTTTTTCTTTTTTTTTCTTTTTTTTTTTTTTTTTTTTTTAGAGACACAGTCACTCTCTGTCGCCCAGGCTGGAGTGCAGTGGCGCGATCTTGGCTCATTGCCACCTCTGCCTCCCAGGTTCAAGCAATTCTCGTGCCTCAGCCTCCTGAGTAGCTGGGATTACAGGCGCGCACCACCACGCCCAGCTAATTTTTAGTATTTTTAGTAGAGACGGGGTTTCCACATGTTGCCCAGGCTGGTCTCAAACTCCTGACCTCAAGTGATCTGCCTGCCTCAGCCTCCCAGAGTGCTAGGATTACAGGCATGAACCACCGCGCCTAGGCCAGAATACAATTTTTCTAGAGAGAAAAATAGGATATAATCTATGAATATGAAAAAAAAATATATATATATATATATATATATATAATTTCCAAAACCTATTGTAATTGTATTGTGAAAGTTATTCTTAGCTCTTTTTTGATGAATTGAAGTTATTATGCTGAGGTACTTATAAACCAAGGTGATACTCAAATAGAATTCATTAGAACAATATGGCTTACCTGATGATATATTTATTTCAGGCAGTGTTCAGTAGCAGAAGGTTTTAAAAAATTAAAAAGCAGAATGATTGGAGAGGAAGGAGTTTAGGGGAAGGGGCATATTTGAAATAGAATGCTGGATTTAATTTATTTCGGTAAAACCACTTAGGTTACATCATTTAATATATTCAGCAGATTTTTGTTGTTGTTGCGGTTTTTTTTTTTCTTTTTGATACAGAGTCTCACTCTGTTGCCCAGGCTGGAGCGCAGTGGCGCGATCTCGGCTCACTGCAACGTCTGCCTCTTGTGTTCAAGCAGTTCTCCTGCCTCAGCCTCCCAAGTAGCTGGGACTACTGGCACCTGCCACCACGCCTGGCTAATTTTTTGTGTTTTTAGTAGAGACGGGGTTTCACCGTATTAGCCAGGATGGTCTCGATCTCCTGACCTCGTGATCCGCCTGCCTCAGCCTCCCAAAGTGCTGGGATTACAGGCATGAGCCACCACGCCCAGCTCAGATATTTGTTATATGTGCGTGTTGGGGAAATGATGATGACAAAGTAGGCTCAGTAGAGCTTTCAGCCTAGTTTTTATTTTGTGTTCCACAACTAGGGTAATTGTGCTAAAATTTAGCTGTTACTTGAAGAAAAGTTTCTTTTTGTTTTCCATATCCAGTTAAGTTCCAAGTGAAATTTTTCTGACTGGTTATCAAGAAATTTCAAAATTGATGAAGAAGTATAGCATTTTGCTCATCTCACTGAATTTCAAGTCTTAATAAGCAATGAGTTATAATCTGTCACTGTCTGTTTATTTTGATGCTAGAATTGTGAATATATAATTTATGTTAATATATTTTTATAATGTCATCACCATGATTACTAATATATATAACTGTATTTGTATTTTCTCCCAACTACTAAAATGCTTACTATAATTTGCTTCTAAGTTTTATTTAACTCAGTTGTTCTATGTTGTTTATGCATGTGCAAACATGAGAGAGATTACCAGTCTTTTATTGTAGATTATAGTGTGATACTAACTCTTGCTTTTAAAATAAACATGTTTTTGTCAGATGACTTGCAGGGTGCACAGTCAGAAATTGAGGCAAAGCAAGAAATACAGCATCTTCGAAAGGAATTGATCGAAGCCCAGGAGCTAGCTAGAACAAGTAAACAAAAATGCTTTGAACTTCAAGGTGAGATCAAGATTACTTTGGTTCTTTAGGGATGTGTGGAGGCAGCACAATATAATTGGGTGGCCCCAAACTTGGAGTCCGGAGGCATGTTCCAGATTCACAACTTTATGAGATATGTGATCTTGGTATATTTACTTGACCTCTCTAAACTTGTGTTTCAGGTCAGTAAAATGAGGAGAGTTACAGTTGCTCTACCTTCACACTGTTGATGTGAAAATCAAGTAAGATCTTTACTAACTGAAAGATCTTAATAGTTAATTGCATATTAAGTACAACAGAAGGAAAACTCAAATTTCTAAATTTTTATTATGCCTAATGTTAGCTAATGTCCTGGCCACATTCTTTTCTAGTAGCTCACTTATCTATAGGTCATAAGCCAGTGGAGTCTGTGCAGTTCCCTAGAGCTTACATTTCTGTATCATTCATAGTAACTACCTGGTTGCAGACAATTAGTATCTCAAAGAGTCTTAAAATGAGAAAGGGAATGACTTCTGGAGCCCTCATGTTCTCCAAGATGGCCTTCCTGCCTAGTAGGAAGATTTACATCCCAGGAGGGAACTAGGAACTTCTTGTTACTACTTCTTTCCTTTCCTAATTCTCAAAGAAATTAGAATTGGTATTCACTTAACTTGAACCTTTTGGAGGATCCAGGCTAATATATTAAATTACAATGAAAAAATATTTGGTAAATAGCAATTATTTAGTTTAGTGTTTACTATGTGCTTGACAGTAAATATAAGAATTTTAAGTCTTTTTAAAAAATTAAGTTCAAAATGCTGATTAACAATTATCAAGACTGTTTCTCATGTTAAGAAAAGCACATATTGTCTTGGTGATACCAGGTCCAGAAAACTCCACTACTCAGTTGAATAGATTTATTACTTACTACAGTTCTGTGCTCCTAAAATCTTTAAACTAACTGCTAATACTGATAATACTTACTGCCTAACTTTTGTTTCTTTCAATAATCTTTTAGGAGAGAATTTTAAAAGAAATTTTCAGCTGCTCAACTCTGAGTACTTTCATTAATTCACAAAACTATTAATAGATACTGTGTTTTTACTTTTAGCTCTTTTGGAAGAAGAAAGAAAAGCCTATCGAAATCAAGTTGAGGAATCCACTAAACAAATACAGGTTCTTCAAGGTATGGAAGACCCCAAGGCTCTTTGAGATTGTTATTGTGTGTTTGTTTTTAGTGATTCAAAAGGAATGGAGGCCAGGCGCAGTGGCTCATGCCTGCAATCCCAGCATTTGGGAGGCCGAGAAGGGTGGATCTCCTGAGGTCAGGAATTCGAGAGCAGTGTGGCCAACATGGTGAACCCCTGTCTCCACTAAAAATACAAAAATTAGCTGGGCATGGTGGTGCATGCCTGTAATCCCAGCTTCTCGGGAGGCTGAGGCAGGAGAATTGCTTGAACCTGGGAGGTGGAGGTTTCAGTGAGCTGGGATTGCACCACTGCACTCCAGCCTGGGTGACAGAGCAAGACTCCATCTCAGAAAAAAAAAAAAAAATGAAATGGAAAGTAAGAAGGCAGAGAGTCCCCATTTTTCATGGCTTTGATTCTCTAGAACCTCACATTTCAACACGGCTCTTGGTGGAGCTTTATTTATTTATTTGTTTTTGAGACAGAGTTTCGCTCTTGTTGCCCAGGCTGGAGTACAATGGCGCGGTCTCACCTTACTGCAACCTCCGCCTCCCAGGTTCAAGCAATTCTCCTGCCTCAGCCTCCTGAGTAGCTGGGATTACAGGCATGCGCCACCACACCCAGCTAATTTTGTATTTTTAGTAGAGATGGGGTTTCTCCATGTTGGTCAGGCTGATCTCAAACTCCCAACCTCAGGTGATCCACCAATCTTGGCCTCCCAAAGTGCTGGGATTACAGGTGTGAGCCACTGCGCCTGGCCTATTTTTTTTTTTTTTTTAAAGAAAATTCAAGGGAAGATTGTCCAGTACTCTCGTATTAGACACTTAGAATGGAAAAAGCAGAGGTGAAGATTTGGAGTTGGTAAGACTGTCACTTTCTGAGTTATGTCGTGAGTTCCTACAGAGGGCCTTTGGATAGGAAATCTGTTTGAGCTACTCTGCGTCAGCACTTTGAGCTTGCTGGTATATGTATATATTGATGGCTGGTGTAGATATATTGCCATCTAATGCTCAGAACACACTTGTATTGCAAGAAAATATTTTTTTGCTTGTTTTTTTGAGACATAGTCTTGCTCTGTTGCCCAGGCTGGAGTGCAGTGGTGATCTTGGCTCACTACAACCTCCGTCTCCCGAGTTCAAGTGATTCTGGAGCCTCCCAAGTAGCTGGGACTACAGGTGCATGCCACCATGCCCAGCTAATTTTTGTATTTTTAGCAGAGATGGGGTTTCACTATATTGGCCAGGCTGGTCTCAAACTCCTGACCTCGTGATCCACCCACCTTGGCCTCCCAAAGTGCAGAGATTACAGGCATGAGCCACTGCACCTGGCCTCAAGAAAAATTATATATCACGTGGAATAGGATAGTAGTCTCTGCACTGATTTTCGTTGATAATGGCTGTTCTTCTTATCACCATTTTGCTATTTCTTTGTCTGGGCTATTACAGGGTTATTACAGAAATTTCCAGAAAGACCCCTGCCTGTCGAATGTTTACTTCAAGCTTGAGCTCCTGGTATATTATGAGGAAATTATATGATACCCCAGGAGAGGTCTTCCTTTCCCATGCCATTGTAAAATTCCTAAAGTAAAATTAATTTGCCTTCTTGTCAAAGAAGGAGCCAATGTTGTTTTAAAATTTTAGCTTGAGAGATAGGTGGGGAAGAAATTAAATAGACAAGTAATCACTATTCAGAAGAGAAGGGAGAGTCATTGTACGAGGCCCAAGATACTTGCCCAAAAATATCGCAGAGAAAAACTAGTCTTTGGGGTCCTATTTTTTGAGTGGAACATTTGAGTTATTTAAAATTAGAATTTTATTTTGGTCAGATTAGAATTTCTAGGGTATGTCATATGTGTTTTTAAATTGAAAGCTCTTAAAACTCCTATTGTAGTTTAATGTCATTATCCATTAATTTACATAAATCTGATTTGGATCTCTATTTTCATCGTAGACTGTGTAGGGGCAATTTTTCCTAAAGGTTCTGTGACATAGTGCTACCTTTTTTTTAAAACCTGTCTTGCCCAGGCATTATTGAGTGCCCCCTGGTGCCAGCATGTGTATTTCACGACTGTATCAACAAATCATGATCATCTTCTCTGGCCATTGTGCCCTTTCAGATTCCAAACTTGTTACCTCTCAGTCCTTCCTACAAACTTAGAAAGTCTAATATCTTAATGTTTACTTATGTAGCAACCTCCCTTTCTCCCATCCCTAAATCCTCTTGTAATTAATTATTTTCCTTTGGAACTTTTTAAATCTACAATTTCCTTATAATATGGTAACCAATATTAATTTTCTTGTTCTGCGCCAAGTTTGATTTTATACAAATTGTTTCCAGTTTGGGTCATGAGCACAAAACCAGGTATTTTTAAAAATCTATATAACCCTTCAATGAGGCAGTATTAATTTTATTAACTCATTAATTCAACCAATAATTCTTGATTGTTTACTGTGTTAGATATTGGGGTATCCCCAATACCTGACAGCTGTGAGCAAAACAAATGCCCTACACACATGAGGTGTACAGTCCAGTAGAAAAGATAAACAATAAGCAAATTAATAGATAATATGATGTCCAATAAGGACTTCAAAGGAAAATAAAGCAGAGTAAAGAGCCAGAGAATGACAGTGAGCTGTTTTTCACATGAGTCATCAGAAAAGGCCTCTTTAAAGAATTGACATTTGAACAGAAAAACGAATCAAGGGCGTCAACTGTTTATTGCTTTTATTGCTTACCATTTGACCAAGCAATTCTACACATAGGATTCACCCTAAAAAAAAAAAAAAAAAAAAAAAAAAGGATTGTATATAGTGTTTAAACACTGAACAGCCTAAAATGTCAAAAATAAAGGGTTGGGCAAATAAGTTATATATACTATAACTATTTTTTTGTTGAAAGAGTTTCATCAACAGAAGGATAGGGAACACTGCATTTATTGTGATCACTCCCTATTTAATGTTTGTTTTTACATGTTTATAAATGCATAGGAAAAAATCCAGAAGGAATATCAGAAGTAATTTTCTGTGTGTTGGGGAGATGAAGATCACTTTGGTTTTTTTTTCCTCTTTGCTATCTGTATTTTGACGCTTTCTGCATCAAACGTGGATTGTTTATACACTTTAATCAAAAGCAACAGCTCTGACAACCCAGGTTATGCATTAGCTACAATCCTGTATGGATTATTCTTTTATTCTAATGGGCCAAGAAAATGATGGATATACTTTTGCAGCCCAATTGCAGAGGTTACACATCGATACTGAGAATCTCCGGGAGGAGAAGGACAGTGAAATCACAAGTACTAGAGATGAATTGCTTAGTGCCCGAGATGAAATTTTGCTCCTTCATCAAGCAGCAGCAAAGGTTGCCTCTGAGCGGGACACTGACATTGCTTCTTTACAAGAAGAGCTTAAGAAGGTGAGAGCTGAGCTTGAGCGGTGGCGGAAAGCAGCGTCTGAATATGAGAAAGAAATCACAAGTCTGCAAAACAGTTTTCAGCTTAGATGTCAACAGTGTGAGGACCAGCAGAGAGAAGAAGCAACAAGGTTGCAAGGTGAATAAATGTATTTTACATAAAGCTGTTAACTTTTGACAATGATAACTTCTTAACTTGTTTAAAAAAGAAACATGCAGGCTTTTTTTTTCTTTGTTAGCTATCAGTTGTATAAACCAATGTTTTTAAATCGGAGCTAAAAATGTATTTTCAGGTCTGCAAGTTCTACTTAAATTTATATTTTTTTACGGTTTTATATTTTATTTTAAAATTGTTAAAAATTGCTTGTCTTATAAAAGTGAAGTGGAAAAAAATACTATTGTTCAAGTACAAGCTGATAGCAGTCCTTGAGGTATACATGCAAAGTAACAGGAATCATATAATTAACCATGTAAAATCTACTTGCTTTTAAGGGGGCAAAAAGTATGTTCTCCTCTGAAATCTTTTCCTTTATCCTTTGAAGTATTATGGAAGTTATATTTCTGTATTAACAAATATGTTTTGGGACTATTTTAGGTGAACTAGAGAAGTTGAGAAAGGAATGGAATGCATTGGAAACCGAATGCCATTCTCTAAAAAGGGAAAATGTTTTGCTATCATCAGAACTGCAACGGCAAGAAAAAGAATTGCACAAGTATGCAAGAACTCTCTGTTTTTCAGATATAAAATATTTCTTTATCTTAAATTTTCATCTAAATTAAATTTAATTTTAATACTTAAATATTTTACAGGAGCAAATGTTCAGCCCATCTCTGTTTGGCTATTTGGCAGGTTAACCATACTGAATAAATACTTCAGCTTTTTTTTTTCCTGCCACCACCATTATCCTACATGTCCTTTCCTTGTACTCATGGAATACAGATTCATTAAATGTCCCAAAGAAACCCTGAACAAACAACAAAAGTCTGTAATTCATAGTTGAACTTGCCCTGTAAACTAATAAATTTCAAATATCAACTGCTTTTCTTTCACACCAGTGATCTCTTCTTTTAGTAAACGTGATCAGGAAGTGACTATAATGAAGAATTTGTAAGGCTGGGCGTGGTGGTTCACGCCTGTAATGCCATCACTTTGGGAGGCTGAGGTGGGAGGATCGCTTGAGCCTGAGAGTCCAAGATCAGCCTGGACAATGTGGCAAAACCCTGTCTCTACAAAAAAATACAAAAATTTACCGGGCATAGTGATGTGTGCTTGTAGTCTTGGCTACTTGGAAGGCTGAGGTGGGAGAATTGCTTGGGCCCAGGAGGTCAAGGCTGCAGTGAGCCACGATCATGCCACTGCACTCCAACCTGGGTGACAGAGCCAAACCCTATATCAAACAAACCAAAAAAAAAAATGGAATTTGTGCTACTGAAAGATATAAATTAATCTTCTGAATTTCAAATAGGGTTGTATGAAGGGTAATAATATATAAGACCAATAATTCTCTGAAACCAGTTAAATCTTTCTAGTATCTAATACTTGACAAGCAAATCAGTGAATGCATTAGATTTATTCCAGCAAATTTAATGAAGTCCTATTTTACCACCACAGTTTGCCATATTTAAGTTTAAAATGGGTTTATTCCGGCCGGGTGTGGACATTATGAAACAACATCTCTACAAAAAATACAACAAATTAGCCTGGCCTGTAGTCCCAGCTACTCAGGAGGCTGAGGTGAGAGGATCACTTGAGCCTAGGAGGTGGGGACTGCAATAAGCCATGATCACACCACTGTAGTCTAGCCTGGGCAACAGAGCCAGTCCCATGTCTCAAGAAAACATGAATAAAAATAAAAACAAATGTTTTACATTGTTTATAAGATGTAAAAAACTTTGTAAAAGCAATTCCAAAATAGGAATGGGACAAAATAAAGGTCAAAACTATAAATATATGTATATGATATATATCATATATGAAATACATATGAGATCTATACATATCTCATATATAGCTATATACATAAATTTTTTTTTTTTGAGACGGAGTTTTGCTCTTGTGGCCCAGGCTAGAGATCAGTGGCGCGATCTCAGCTCATCACAACCTCCACCCCCTGGGGTCAATCGATTCTCCTGCCTCAGCCTCCTGAGTAACTTGGATTACAGACATGTGCCACCATGCCCACCTAATTTTGTATTTTTAGTAGAGACGGGGTTTCTCCATGTTGGTTAGGCTGTTCTCAAACTCCTGACCTCAGGTGATCTGCCCATCTTGGCCTCCCAAAGTGCTGGGATTACAGGCATGAGCCACTGCACTCAACTCATAATTTTTTTTTTTTTTTTTGAGGCAGAGTCACATTCAGTTGCCCAGGCTGGAGTGCAGTGGCATGATCTCGGCTCACTGCAGCCTCCGCCTCCCAGGTTCAAGCGATTCTGCTGCCTCAGCCTCCTAAGTAGCTGGGATTATAGGTGTGTGCCACCATGCCTGGCTAATTTTTGTATTTCTAGTAGAGAGGGGGTTTCACCATGTTGATCAGGCTGGTCTCAAACTCCTGACCTTGGCCTCCCTAAGTGCTGGGATTACAGGCGTAAGCCACTGCCCTCGGCCGAAAGTATTGATATTTTAATGATTCAGGCTAGATCCCTTATTTTTAAGATGTGATTAATTGGAATCTGGCAGATTCTTAAATACTGTTTTCAATTATTTCAAATTTTAAGTGTTGGGAAGCAAGCCTACAAACTCCTAGTGAGTAGAAGCACATGGTTTAAAAATATTAGGCCCCAGAAAGGGGCCTATAAGTCATTGGTCAGATCATCTGCCTAAACTCACATAAAGTATTTAAGACAGATTAATTCTTTTTCTTAAACTTTTCTGATGCCCTAAATTTGCTTGATAAGCCTCCCCAGCATTTAAGTAGTATTTAGAAGCTAGTCTTCCTTTACAGGGTCTTATGTGCCATTTAATTCCTAGCTGTATTGGCTTGACAACATCAGACCCACCCCAAAGAATCTGTGAAGTGTACAATCAAAATGGGATTCAGACTCTGTAGTAGTTCAATTACCATAGTGAGTCTGAGTCTTGAATGATCCATTCTGAAAGATGTAAAACTGTCACCTTGAAAACCTTATACTCCTTTAGCTATTTATGGGAGCCAAATTCCCTAACACAGCTATACTGTACAGACCTTTTATTTTCTGTTGTCTGGGCTACGGAAGAAGGAATTGAAGAAGGAATTTCTGTTCACACATATCAAGCTGTTCTCCACATATGTTGTAAGTCAGATTTTTTTTAACATCCAGTTATAAAAGTGATCATAGAGACTGTGGTGGCTCACACCTGTAATTCCAGCACTTTGGGAGGCCGAAGCAGGCAGATCACCTGAGGTCAGAAGTTCAACACCAGCCTGACCAACGTGGAGAAACCTCGTCACTACTAAAAATATAAAATGAGCCAGGCATGGTGGCGCATGCCTGTAATCCCAGCTACTCAGAAGGCTAAGGCAGGAGAATCACTTGAACCCGGGAGGCAGAGGTTGCAGTGAGCCGAGATCACACCATTGCACTCCAGCCTGGGCAACAAGAGCGAAACTCTGTCTCAAAAAAAAAAAAAAGTGATCATAGAATTTATTAACCTTGGGAACAGCCTCAGAAGTTAATGAATTCAATCCTGTTATTTGGCAGTGAAGGGCACTGAGACTCTGCTTGTGTTAGTTATGTCTGTATTACGTGGTATCTGGTATAGGTCTAAGAGCTGAGGAAGTGTTTACTCTGAAAATGAAATGTACCAGTTAAGTGACTTGCTTAATATCCCCCAGCTAAATAGTGGCAGAGCTAGGGGTCTAGAACTCAGCCTCCTACTTCTTTGTCTTATGCTCTTTTCTCAATTTGGTGTGTCTTCTCATTTGAACAGGTTTATCTTTACTTGAATTGACAGTGACTCCTAAGCTTTAAGTTTCTGACCCCCATTCTATTTGTCAAGTATTTAAACTTAAAAGAAATTGTTGAAACATGTGTGTTCTTTTCCTGTAGAAGACCTACACTGAGTCTTTTCATGATGAAATTAATACAATTTGATACAACAAAATATACAGTTAATTACCTCCTATTTCTGTTTTTAAAATTTCAACCTTTGTGTATATTTGATGGGACACACCTTTAAACTTGCATTTTTTTAGTGTTTTGATGGTTTTTGCTTATTGAATGAAAATATTTCATTCTTTTTTATACTTTTCTTTTTTTCTCTGAAATCCACTCTATCCCTTCTAGTGAAATGTATAAGAAACTGGACTTCCTTCTGTGTCCAGTTTCTACCTGTGAATAACTATCTGTCAATATTTATATTGCAGTTCTCAGAAGCAGAGTTTAGAGCTTACCAGTGATCTCAGCATCCTTCAAATGTCTAGGAAAGAACTTGAGAATCAAGTGGGATCCTTGAAAGAACAGCATCTTCGGGATTCAGCTGATTTAAAAACTCTTCTCAGTAAGGCAGAAAACCAAGCAAAGGATGTGCAGAAAGAGGTAAAGCGAAAAGACATTATGAGCCCAATTATGGTTGGACTTAAAGCCAAAAGCAAATCGGATATCCATGCTAGTTAGAAATAAAGGGAAGCAGAAGTCACATTACCTGTCACAAAATTGATACTTGGAACATCTCTGCTTGGTGATTTCTAGCTGCATATCATGGTCCATATGTAGAGAATTCTTCAGTAGGGTTGGTCTCAAAAATATAATATACAAAACTACATTTTAATTTTTCTCTACCAGTTACTTATATGAGAAATCCTTTGTACCAGGTCTCTTGATCTATTGTTTAACTTTCAAAGAGAGTATCGTATGTAACTTAGCATACTTTTGGAAAGCAAACTGAGGCCATACTCTAATGCTGTCTGAACCCCTCAGGTAAATATGGCCTGAAAAGTTACTTAAAATTCACCTCATAGCCAGGCAGCCAGCCAAACACATGTTCTGTGGCCTTTTACTTTCTTCCTCCCACCCCCTTTTCACCTTATTCATAAATGTGCATGCTCACTTTTCATGTCATTCTGCTTAAAACCTTGAGTTGAGTGGCTTTTTAAAAATTTGTGTTGAAGTCATAACAGTTGATTTTGGAACAGAAACCCTACCCAGTTTCTTCCTGAGCAAGAGAGGTGCATTTCACTTCCCAAAGCCTTGAAGTTGACAGCAGGGCAGTAAGAGCTGTCTTCAGTCCTGCTGGCCTCATACCACTCCCTGCATTGACTCCTGGCCAGCTCGGGGAATGGAGAAGCCTGATACAACTTGATCTACAGATTAGGGACCACCCCAGTTGTAGACTTTCTTAAAAGGATTCTTTATGAATTAGAAGGAAGTTGAAGACAACTCTTTGTCTTTAATAATGAACTTTCCCAAAGTTGTTTCTAGAAGATCTGCTTAATCAATGCAGTTTTTCTTTGCACTTTTCTTTCCTTGTAGTGTCCTGAATTTGGCAATGATTGTTCTTCTGTCTTCATGTTTGTTCCTAATGAAAAAATACTGTAACATTTTTTATTTTCTTGCGGACATACTGATTTTGTGATGTGTTCGTTTTTACCTTACTAAAGATATGTGTTTTAGAAGAAATCTCATTTTATTTGGTTGGAACACAAATTTTGTGCCAAAGTAAATATCTTAGTATTTAATACTGTAAGCACTTTGTGTCCTTCCAGTCCATATGCCATAATTCTTTCAAACTCTGGGAAGAATGCTGTGGTTGGAAGATTATTCTGTTGTATGTTACTATGAACGCATTAGTCATTTTGTTGCATTACTTGTTTGCCTGTTTTTGGTCACTGAGTAATCGGTGCAAGATGCTTTAACTGTTTCCACAAATGGCAGTGGCATGTTGTCACAGCATCTAAATTGTTGATAGTCTTGGATTGCATTAAATGCAGCACATTTAAAAATATGTCTGATCTTGTCAGTATGTTTCTTTTCTATTTTCTTGTTCACTGTTTTCCATTGTGAAATGATGTGTAGTCATCACACTCCTTTGTAATGTGAAATTGCTCTCTTTCTGTTTGTCCAGATGTTAACATGTTGGATACTATATACTATAGTTTAGTTATAGCTATATACTATAACTAAAATGTTCTTTAATGAGGTTCTTATCTCTGTGTAATCCACTGCAAATGAATTATTGCCTTTTATTGATGCACATATATTCCCCTTCAGCATTTCCCCTTTGTTCTCCTCTCTGTCATAGAATCATGCTTAATATGCACAGTGTCTAATTATGTATTTTCAGCACTGTAACAGACTAAAATATTACAAGCTAAGCAAGCCCACATATGATTCTTTTTATGAAGAAGAACCAAAGGTGTTGGTAATATTGTGTGGTATTTCCCTCTTAATCAGGACCAAGCTCATTTGTCACCTCAGAGTTAGAAAGCAAGATGGAGCAAAAATGATAGCCAAGCAAGGCTGCAATAGGTCACCTTTGTTGCACAAATTAAAATTTATATATGTGGCAGCTTTTATGTGAATATTTAACAAAGAAAAAGTACATGCAAAAAGTAAATCTTGGCTGGGCGCCGTGGCTCACGCCTGTAATCCCAGCACTTTTAGAGGCCAAGGCGGGCAGCTCACCTGAGGTCAGGAGTTCAAGCCCAGCCTGACCAATATGATGAAACCCCGTCTATACTAAAAATACAAAAATTAGCCAGGCATGATGGCATGCGCCTGTAATCCCAGCTACTCAGGAGGCTGAGACAGGAGAATCGCTTGAACCCGGGAGGCGGAGGTTGTGGTGAGCTGAGATCAGGCCATTGCACTCCAGCCTGGGCAACAAGAGCAAAACTCCATCTCAGAAAAAAAAAAAAGTAAATCTTAATCCTCAGTATTAAAAGAAAATAATGATATATCATCTTTATATTTGACTTTAGAAAGCATCACTATATTTTAATTTAGTAGGAATATCTGTAATTTAAGAATTTATAGGCCAGGTGCAGTGGCTCACTCCTGTAATCCCATCATTTTGGGAGGCCGAGGTGAGCAGATCACCTGAGGTCGGCAGTTCGAGACCAGCCTGATCAACATGGAGAAACCCCGTCTCTAATAAAAATACAAAATTAGCCAGGCATGGTGGCGCATGCCTGTAATCCCAGTTACTTGGGAGGCTGAGGCAGGAGAATCGCTTTGAACCCGGGAAGTGGAGGTTGTGGTAAGCCAAGATCGCACCATTGCACTCCAGCCTAGGCAACAAGAGCGAAACTCCATCTCAAAAAAAAAAAAAAAATTCCTAAAACATTGAGCACACAGTCCACCCTGCAAAGACTGACTCAAGAAAGTTACTTGGCTTTACCTTCTTGCCGTGGGGCCAGAGTCCTTGCCACCCCCTCACGTACTGGAGGTAAGCAACAGGATCCCCCTGGTTGAGCTGCCTTCCTGTGGTTCTGCTTCACAACTCCTGCAATGGAGAAATAAGTGCTTTGGTGCACAGGGCAGACTAGATGTAAGAATGGTGGAAAAGGAAAGTAAGGGAAAACTTGTCAACAAAGTACTCTTTACTTATTCTTTATTAGTCCCTGTTAAGAATCAGATCATGGGTCATTGAGAATTTATTATGTTCCAATTTGCAGAAACTAGTGTAGGTACAATGACTTTGCCTTGGCAGTATGCCAGTAATCTTCTGCCTTCTGGAAGGAAGTCCACAGATCTTCACATCAACTGAAAAAAGCTATCATAAAGTCCATGAATTGTACTCCTTTATTTCATTCTCTGGCATACTATCCAGGCTTGTTGTGGGAATGTTGTTAGGTAACAGGGAGTTTCTTTCATATTTTACCTCCCTCTCTGTACCTATATCTTTCTTCTCTTTTTCTGGTGACCTCTGTGTTGACCCTAAGCCCCATCTCTCCTGTCTAATGTTTTTATACATTTATATTCCTTCTTAATATTTATCTTTCTTGAGCATGATGATGGGCTCCTGATAAGTCATTCCAAGGTGTTTACATTTTTCAGAAGCACCTTTATAAAGGTTTCCTTTATTGAAGAATTTCTAGGATATAAGTAGAGAGGAACTGGAAACTTTCTACCCTCATAAGCTACATTTAGGGACAAGGAGGAACCTTTCTGGTATACGTTACCTATGGTATATCTATTTTATATTCAATCCTTGTCTATCTTCCTTCTAAAACCTTCAGAGATGGCAGAATAGGGCCGGGTGCGGTGGCTCACACCTGTAATCCCAGCACTTTGGGAGGCCGAGGTGGGTGGATCACTCAAGGTCAGGAGTTCGAGACCAGCCTGACCAACAAGGTGAAACCCCATCTGTACTAAAAATACAAAAAAATTAGCCAGGCATGGTGGTGCATGCCTATAATCCCAGCTACATGGAGGGCTAAGGCACAAGAATCCCTTGAACCCAAGAGGAGGAGGTTGCAGTGAGCCAAGATCACGCCACTGCACTCCAGCCTGGGTGACAGAGTGAGACTCAGTCTAAAAAAAAAAAAGAGGGATGGCAGAGTGGGGTAGTGGAAGTGGAGACAAAGGCACAGCCAGTAGCAGAACAATCTCTGTTCTTTGACTGTGAGCCCAGTTTGCGTGTAAGATGCTGTATCTAGAAGTGGAACCAGTCTAGAATTTCAGCCTCCAGGCACCATTTAAAGTAGGGGTAAGCCATACTATGTTTCACATTGGTCTCACCTTTAAAAGGCAGATGGTCTTTAAAAAGATGTGACTCTATCTGAAAGTCAAAGTATATACAGTGAATTGTTTTCCAGAACAGAAAATGACAAGTTTTGCTATTTAAAAATTTCTACTAGAAACAGGCGGGGCACGGTGGCTCATGCCTGTCATCCCAGCACTTTGGGAGGCTGAAGCAGGTGGATCACCCTAGGCCAGGAGTTCAAGACCATCCTGGCCAACATGGTGAAACTCCATTTCTACTAAAAGTACAAAACATACCAGATGTGGCAGCAGGTGCCCGTAATCGCAGCTACTCAGGAGGCTGAAGCAGGAGAATCACTTGAACCTGGGAGGCGGAGGTTTCAGTGAGCTGAGATTGCACCACTCCACTCCAGCCTGGGTGACAGAGCTAGACTCCGTCTCAAAAAATAAACAAATAAAATAAAAATAAAATTTCTACCGAAAACAGAATTTTTAAAATGACTTAGTTGATAACCTAAGTTTTTTTGTTTTGTTTTTTGAGATGGAGTTTTGCTTTTGTTGCCTAGGCTAGAGTGCAGTGGTGCAACATCAGCTCACTGCAACTTCCACCTCCCGGGTTCAAGCGATTCTCCTGCCGCAGCCTCCCAAGTAGCTGGGATTACAGGCATGCACAACCATGCCTGGCTAATTTTGTATTTTTAGTAGAGGTGGGGTTTTGCCATGTTGGCCAGGCTGGTCTCAAACTCCTGACCTCAGGTGATCCGCCCACCTTGGCCTCCCAAAGTGCTGGGATTACAGGTGTGAGCCACCGTGCCCAGCCAATGCCTGTTTTAAGTGGAGAAATAGAAATTTCCCAATCATAGTGGTCGGTACTTCAGATACATTTCTTTGCTTCATTTGCCTAGAAAATTCACTTATCCAGAACACTTTAATACCCAGTAATGCTGGGTAAAGGGAAACCTATTGGGAATTAATACTTTTTACTTCAAGACTAAAATAGCTTGGCTGACACTCCTTACTAGGATATAAACTCAGGCTTCCTAACATTGGCTATGGAATTTTTCTTCACCTACTTTTCTTTTGCTCAGTTTGAAATTTTCCTTTTCTCCTGTAACTCACTTGGTGGAAAAGTGATCCTTTATATTAAAAACAGATGACAAAATGGTGATTACTCTTAATTTTTTTTAACTCCAGGGCCAGAAAATTCTTACATGGAATAAAGTCAACATTAAAGGCTTTTCTTTTTTTTTTTTTTTTTTTGAGACGGAGTCTCCCTCTGTCACCCAGGCTGGAGTGCACAGTGGCATGATCTTGGCTCACTGCAACCTCTGCCTCCCGGGTTCAAGCGATTTTCCTGTCTCAGCCTCCCGAGTAGCTGGGATTACAGGCATGCACCACCACGCCCAGCTAATTTTTGTATTTTTAGTAGAGATGGGGTTTCTTCATGTTGGTCAGGCTAATCTCGAACTCCTGACCTCGTGATCTGCCCGCCTTGGCCTCCCAAAGTGCTGGGATTACAGGCGTGAGCCACTGCGCCCGGCCAAAAGACTTCTTATGAGTGCAAGTTATTCCTCCTTAAACAAAAAGACTTGACTTTGGTGTTCCAGGTGACTAAATAGGATCTGGCGTATAAACCTGATTAGAACCATAACATCATACCCATTTTAAGTTGTATCTGCACACTTTTTTTTTCTTTGCCTTTAGTATGAAAAGACACAGACTGTACTCTCAGAACTGAAGTTGAAGTTTGAAATGACTGAGCAGGAAAAGCAGTCAATCACAGATGAGCTCAAACAGTGTAAAAACAACCTGAAGCTGCTCCGAGAGAAAGGAAATAATGTAAGTCTTTGCAAACTTGGCTTAGCTTTGATTGAGAGGCACATGAGAGATTGAAATTGATTTTCAGAGGACTTTATCACTGATTTGTGAAGCAAATGGTACAGATGAAATAGGCTTTTCATTATGAAATTCCATGATAGAATCATTGTGCTGTCAGATTTTTGAGTAAGAATTTGTACCTTTAACCTATACTCCTAGAAGAGCCTCAGGACTGCCTGGAGGAAGAGCCTTGTTTGCAATAAAGCAGCTTGCTTAAGAACTGTCAGCTTTTCCCAGATGAGTCTGAAGCTCTGTCACTAAGCTATCATCTGGCTCTTGTTTCTCCCCTGCTGGGAAATGAAGCATTGTACCACCAGGGATCCATTTAAGAGAGAGTAGTACATGTTGTTCTTATACCAATAATGTTCTCACTGAGGCACAATTTCTAAAAAGCTTAATGTCTCTTTGTCATTCTGTAAATATTAGAAAATATTTGGTGAGTTTCTGTAGGGCTGTGAGAGAGAGAGATGAACATTTTGGTATAAATTGAGTTTAATTTTTTTGTTTTTCATTTGCTAGAAAGACAGATGGTCTTTAAAAAGATGTTATACTAAATAAATGTTGTGTTGTACGTTTTGGTGATCGTTACCTTTGTGGGCCCTGATAGATGTTTAGTGTGGTTGGTTGTGCTCTGACTTATTTAAAACCACTGTCATGGCTTGGACACTGCAGTGTGCGTGAGCCACATACTTCCTATGGAGGAAGCCACTTCGCTTACCTTGCAGCACAAGTACAAAAGAGTGATGTTGCATGGCCATCGTGTTACTCATTTGCACACAGAATGCTCATGAGTTGTGTCCAACTGTCCTTTGCTAAAGAAAGTCTTAGTTTGTAGACAGTAAAGTCTTGCTGCTTAGGTAGAAGCCTTTTAGAAGTTGATGAACTGGGTGTGGAGGCTTTATGCTAAGGAAAAATGGTTTGCATTTACTTTTCAAAATGTAGATTACATAACTCTTCTAAAATCAGATCATAATGGTTTGGTTACTTCTCTTTTGTGTTAATTCATATCCCTGGGATTATGGAATTTCAGTCTACTGCTAAATTAACCCATGAAGACATCTAGCATAATCAGAATGGATCTCCCCATACTATTTAGAACCTTTTCAAAAGTAACTTTGCTATTATTATTTATAGCTACCATTCACCTTAGGGGTGAATTTCCTTTTTTTGTGATATTGCACCTATGGTATTAAAATATTACTCTGTAATAACACTCATTGTAGCAGTTTTCTTTCCATTTTAAAAATTAATTGTATTCTGGTAACATGATTGAAAGCCCTGAGACTCAGCTGCCTTTTTTTTTTCTTTTTTCTCTTTTTTTTTGAGACGGAGTTTTGCTCTTGTTGCCCAGGCTGGAGTGCAGTGGCATGATCTCAGCTCACCGCAACATCCACCTCCCGGGTTCAAGCAGTTCTCCTGCCTTAGCCTCCTGAGTAGCTGGGATTACAGCATGTGCCACCACACCTGGCTAATTTTGTATTTTTAGTAGAGATGGGGTTTCTCCATGTTGGTCAGGCTGGTCTTGAACTCCCAACCTCAGGTGATCTGCCTGCCTTGGCCTCCCAAAGTGCTGGGATTACAGGTGTGAGCCACCGTGTCCAGCTCTGCCTGTCTTTATATACCAAACCTTTATTACATGTGAAATCTCTTGCCTGATTTAGGAAGCACGCATTATCACAGGGCATTTATTTTGAAGCTTGAAAGCAGTATCATCTAATAAGCAAAAGAGCTTTGGTTGAAAAAAAAAATTTGTTAGAGGGATAAAATAACCATTGCTGAGGGAGTACATTGTCAAATAATGGATTTCAGGTATCGAGCAAAAATAGTGTACTGTCAAGCAGAGAGCATCAGCTGGTGGTGAAGTATTGTCAGTGTTTTTTGTTTTTTGTTTTTTGTTTTTTTTTTTTTTGGTGACAGGGTCTTGCTCTGTCACCCAGGCTGGAGTGCAGTGGCATGATCTCACCTCACTTCAGCCTTGACCTTCCCAGTTCAAGCAATGCTCCCACCTCAGCTTCCCAAGTAGCTGGAATTACAGATGTGTGCCACCATGCTCAACTAATTTTTGTATTTTTTGTAGGGACAGGGTTTTGCCATGTGGTCCAGGCTGGTCTCAAACTCCTGGCCTTAAGCAATCTGCCCACCTCAGCTTGCCAAAGTGCTGGGATTACAGTCATGAGCCACTGCATTCGGCCTGCTCTGTCTTCATGTGCTATATTTCATTAGAATGTTAGGTACACCCACATTGCCCATTGCCTTCAGCTGTTTCTTTCTCTTTTTTTTTTTTTTTCAACGGAGTCTCTCTCTGTCACCCAGCTTGGAGTGCAGTGGCACTCTCAGCTCACTGCAACCTCTGCCTCCTGGTTCAAGCAATTCTCCTGCCTTAACCTCCAGAGTAGCTGGGATTACAGGCATGCACCACCATGCCTGGCTAACTTTTGTATTTTTAGTAGAGACAGCATTTCACCATGTTGGCCAGGCTGGTCTCAAACTCCTGACCTCAGGTGATCCACCTGCCTCAGCCTCCCAAAGTGCTGGGATTACAGGCATTGAGCCTAACGGTTCCTAGCTATTCCTTTTAAACTGATAGTTTCCCAACTTGCATACCACAGTCTATCAGATTGTGTTAGATGTCTTTAAAATGTTTGAATCTGTGTAAAACCTGAGTGGTATACTTCTATTATTTCATTCTTTCTTCCTACCTCCCACCCTACTGGGGTCTGAATCCTCTTATCTGATTACTTTCATAGCATAAAATGATTTTAATATGCCTTCCCTTCTTTAGCCTTCCATATTACAACCCGTCCCAGCCGTATTCATCGGCCTATTCCTGGCTTTCCTGTTTTGGTGTTTCGGTCCATTGTGGTAGAGAAAGGTACAAGCACTATTGTTGAGTCCTTGTCTGTTTGTCCCCGTCACCTTTTTGTGCCATATTTGTAATATAGTGCATGGCAAGAACACACAGGTATTTTGTTACCTGAAGCAAACCCTTCATTTAGTATGCCGTGTATTTGTGTCATACCAATGAACTGAACAGTCAACTAATCCCATAACTTTTTGTCTTGTTTACTTTGTAGTAATGCTAACCATGAGTTAATTCCAACCTAACCAGTTGTTAATATGCTTCCATTAACTGAGTCTTTATCTCTAGCAAACTGGAGTGCACTATGAATTTCTGCAATATTAGTACCCTCTTTCCAATTATGTGTTTAATCAGATTTGAATGAGAAATGAAGAGTTTGCCTCCTTGAAGTTTTCAGCCAGCCTTCTTCCCCTTCCTCCTTATCCTCTTCCTTTTCATAGTGTAGATTTTCTTTGTTTCAACCCTTTGCCTGTTTATACTATGGCTATGAAGATGAAAAATAATGAGATTAACATAATGAACCATTGGCTCACAATCTCAACCCTATTGTGTACTTGCAAGGATATAAATGTATCCCATTTCTTTCTGAGCCCTGACCTGCAACATCAGAATATTTCTTTAAAAACCAGTTTTTCTCAATAACACTTCTGGAATACAAGTAAAAATAAAAGTGTCAACCAAAGCAAGTTGATCTTATAAAGCCCTCTAAAAGCTAGCAGGCAACAGCCCATCCATGCTTGTTTCTAACTGGCATGCATGTTAGTAGAGCATATGCGGTGATCATGTGGCTTTATTACACTGAACAGAGTCTATACCAGAATTATCAGACAGGCAGGATCCCTAATGTTACTTTTCCATCTTGAACCCTGTTTGATTTTGTCTTCTGTGGTTTCAAGTTGGACGACCAAAGCCTAGACCATTATCACCTTAGCCACTATCCCCTTGCATAAAATATCCCAACATGTGAGTCTGGTTCTTATCAAGAAATAAACATTTTAGGCAGAAACATACTACAGGTGTCTATATACATCAGTTATATTGGAATATATGGATACCAGAGTAAATAAAGCAGGCAGAGCCCACAAATTTTCTTAGAAGTCACTATTAGGTTTCAACTGTAACAAAGTTGAAAACTTCCCAGGACTTTCTTGGGACGTGTTAGACTTCCAAATTGGTGTTCCTGCTATTATGACTCTTCTTATACCTGCACTCCCTCACTTTTTTTTTTCTTTTCAAACTTTATATTTATGATGCAGAAATAAGATTTTTCCAATATTCTGTTAAGTATTCAGGACTCTCTGGAACCAAGGGGTTAATAGGTATGAAAAGAGAGGGGAGAATGTGATATTGACTCTTGGTTTCTTTCCACACAGAAACCCTGGCCCTGGATGCCCATGTTGGCTGCCCTGGTTGCAGTAACAGCCATCGTGCTGTACGTGCCAGGTCTGGCCAGAGCTTCTCCATGAGAGCGTTCCTTGAGTCCGTACACCGTCCTCCCTCTAGAAGCTGGCATCACACTCATGCTGGGGACAAACAGAACCATTTTCTTCCTCTTTACCTCTTAAAACAGCAGAAGTACAAGAATACAGCTGTAGGGTCATTGCTTTAAATTATATAAAATGTATCTGTCTATAAAGAAGATATAAAATTGTGACTTTATTCTACTGTAAGCAATAATTTGCTTGCAATTTTTCATGTAATTTTTAAATTAGTATGTTAAGATTCTGAATATTATGGTGGCCTAAAGTAGGCTTCTTGGTACACCAGATTATTTATAACATTAAATTTATGAGTATTTTACTCTGAATTCTGATCACCAGATAATTCATTTTTCTGATTTGATAACTACCCAAACCAAACAACCAATACATACATGGGAAGAGAGGCCCTGTGTGCTCAGTGCCTATCAGTTTGAAATATATACACATATATATATTTTTTACATATTTACGCCATTTTTACTTGTTATGAAACCACTGAGCTATTGGGAACAAGACTTAGAGACAACTATTTGCGTGGATTTTTTTTTTTTTAAGGAAAAATACGTTTGGAAAATAAACTGTTATGGTGATAATTTGGGGAATATGTGCACGCTTGTTCAGCCTTAATGTGACTTGAAGATGTGGAGGACATCAACTTTGAAAAACTTTCCATGAGAGTGTATTTTCTTGAGCAAACTGAAGTATTTCTGGGAGCAAAAACATAGTAATTACACAATTTCAGTGCAGTCAACCAAAATGTTGAGTCAATTGGAATGTAATTTATTAAACCATGTATTTAAAGAGATATTTTTCTTTAAAAGCCAAGTTACTTTCTCATATACAGCATTTTAGGAAGCATGATTTTTTTTTTCTATCATCTATTCCTCCAAGCATGTTTAATTGAAGAAAGTATTAATATCTCTTTAGATAAGCTTGTATTGACCTAATTTGGTTTATGATGTGTCAGAGCTAATTCATGTTCAGGGTGAGCGTTGTACCTACCAACAAATTTCCTGGTTGGGTATGCAAATGGTTATTTTCTTTTTATTGTTGTTAATTGGGACTTTCTGTTAATGAAAAGCACTATTCCCAAGATTAATAGTGTTCTATGCACAATGAAGCACCTAAAAACACTGCTTGATATTATAAATTTAAAACACAAGTGAAAGTTTAGCCATGGTTTTGTGCGGCATCATAGTTATGTCAATAAAGTTTATTTAGGTCATAGAATATCCTAAAGTATCACATAGTTAAATTTTTCAGTCAGTGAAGACCGGGAGGGAATGTCAGTGAATTGGCTTGAATGTTCTGTGGCAATCCACAGGTCTAGCCAAATATTGAAATAGGAGTTTAGGGTATAATTTGCCTTGTGATGTTTGGCAGTCACTGTTTATACTTTAAAGGTTATATTTTAAGCTATTTGAGATTGCTTTTGGGAAGATCACTAGATTTATGGAGGAATTAGTCACAAATGACTTGTAGAAAATACTGTCATATAGTTCATTTCATCATTTTCTGTTGCAGGAAGCCACTCCACCACAGAATGCTAATATGCCAGTGGTACCCAGTACCTCTTGTATATAGGTTATTGCAAATATTGTTCTGAAATGCTTAACTTCAGAATTACATTTTTTAAAGTAAATAATTGTTTTAAATCTATTTTGTAAAGATATAAAGTACAATAGAATTTCTGGAGTACAGATTAAACTATTTGCACTAACACACGTGACGTGCATGATTTAATAAAATAACTTTACTCTCCCTACGCATGTTTGAGTTGAATATCATTGAAGTTCTTAATGCTGACTCTACTATTGGGTTGTTAATAGTCTTCTCTTGACATGACTCTTTATGCAACATAACATACATTTGGTATTCTTCAGGGTTTAAAAGAAAACACTGAGCTGTTTCCTCCAAGTTTTATTAACCTTTTATTTAACTTACTGCTTTATTTTTTTCTCTTTTAATATGGTTATTGTTAAAATGAGAGTCACTTGCTAGACTGGTCTCTTTAAATGTAAGGTCTAGTATCAATATTTACTTCATTCAAGTGGAATAAATGGCTTTTTGTAGTTACTTCCAGTTTTCCTCAAGAATAGAAATAAGTCTGTTCATAAGCAATACCTTCAGTTTTGTTCAGTTCACTTCCACGTTAAATAAAGAATAGGATTATTCACTGGTAATAATAGAGTCATTAAGAAATATTAAGCATTGCAGCTAAAAATTGAACAACCCTGTAATGATACATTTAAGAATTATTCAAAGGTGCTACATGGCAGGGTTAGAGAATAAAAAGAACGTGGTGTTTGAAGCAAAACAGATCTGTATTGGCATCTTGGTTCTACCTTTTATCAGATGTTGTTGCCTTGTGCAAATCACATTTTCTCTGAGTCTCCATTTTCTCATTTATAACATGCGGAGAATAATACTTATATTTGTGGTAGTAGTGTGAACATTAAAAAGATAATGTATGTGAAGTACCATTCGAGTGGTGAATACGTTTTTATGAGAATGTCATACTGAAAAAATATTGCAAATATTAAAGTTTTAGGTAAGCCTAAACTTTAATCTACTTTAATTAAATGAATTGATTGACTCAACCATTCAGAATTTCTGTGTATGAGTGAGATATGTGTGTAACATTATGAATCCTGAGAAAGCATTATCACCTAGCTCTGTTTGTCGCCTTCATAGTTCACTCTTTTGGAAGTAATATGCTTGGTTTGGTGATGAACCAATTGCCCACAATGGTTTTGGAATTCCTGTTGTTATTGCCTTTAGAGCCACTTTGAGTCACATGTGAAAACCATTCACGTTGCCCTATAGTCAGAGGCTTTCAACCAAAACTAGTATTGCCTACTTGATCTCTCACTTTAATCACTACACTTGACCAAAATCTGGTGACTCTTGGCTGCTTCCAGTGACTATCTACTATCAAAAGGATGGGAATCTGCTACCAAAGAGAAAAAACTGCATGCAAATCAACTGAGTTAAAACTGCAGTCTTGGCTGGGTGCAATGGCTCACACCTGTAATCTCAGCACTTTGGGAGGCCGAGGCAGGTGGATCACCTGAGGTCAGGAGTTGGAGACCAGCCTGGCCAACATGGTGAGACCCTATCTCTACTAAAAATACAAAAATTAACCGGGCATGGTGGTGGGTGCCTGTAATACCAGCTACTCAGGAGGCTGAGGCAGGAGAATTGCTTGAACCTGGGAGGCGGAGGTTACAGTGAGCCGAGATCGCACCGCTGCACTCCATCCTGGGCGACAAGAGCGAAACTCCTTCTCGAAAAAAAAATGCAGCCTTGCTCCTGACTTAAAAATTACAGCCTTGCTCCAAAAAGTTCACTTCTGGATAATTATTTTGAGAACATAATTATGTGCATAAAAATTTACTAGGACATGTAGTGCAGCATTTTTATCATAGTGACATAAACAACCTAAGTGGGTCATTGGTTAAATAAATTAATATTACCACTCTATAGATTACTGTGGTTACAAAGTATGTAGAAAGATATTCATACTATATTAAGTAAAAGAAACAGGTTACCAGAGTAAAATAAACCTGGTTTTATAAAGGAAAATAAATGTAAACATACAAGATATGTTTGTAACAGGAGAACTTAGGAAGATTTATACCCAGACTGGTAGTAGTGGTTGTCTTTGTATGATTGTGGGTAAATTTAAATTCCCTTCCACCTTTATGATTTTCATTTTTTTTTTTTTTCTGAGACAGAGTCCCACACTGTTGAGTGCAGTGGCATGAATCTCGGCTCACTGCAACCTCTGCCTCCTGGGCTCAAACAATCGTCCTATCTCAGCCTCCCAAGTAGCTGGAACTATAGGCATGTGCCACCGCACCCAGCTAATTTTTGTATTTTTTTGTAGAGATGGAGTTTCCCTATATTGCCCAGGCTGGTCTCGAACCTTCTGGACTCAAGCTATTGTTCACCTCAGCCTCCCTTTTGTGATTTCTAATTTATTTTTAGTAATTAACAAATATGTATTGCTTGTATAAATTTTTTCAAGCTAAAATAAATTCCAAATTGGCTTTCATAGTTGAATGAGTAATTAACTTGTCAGAGTACCCACCCCCATCTTTAAAGGGGCTAATGTTCATTTGCACTGAGGAATTCTGGTGTGTTCACTCAACAGTCAGTCTTATAATGTTAAAAATGCTTTGTACATATATTCATAGAACTATAATGCTGGAGAAACCCTTAACAATCCTATCCCATCTTTTTGTTTATCCAGGAAAAATCCAGAAAATTTTTTACTTGGAATCGTAATAATAAAGTTGAGAACCAAGATGTTTCTTTTTTTTTTTTTTTTTTTTTTTCTGAGACGGAGTTCCTCTGTTGTTACCCAGGCTGGAGTGCAATGGCGCGATCTCGGCTCACCACAACCTCTGCCTCCCGGGTTCAAGCGATTCTTCTGCCTCAGCCTCCCAAGTAGCTGGGATTACAGGCATGTGCACCATGCTTGGCTAATTTTGTATTTTTATAGAGATGGGGTTCCATGTTGGTCAGGCTGGTCTTGAACTCCCGACCTCAGGTGACCCGCCTGCCTCAGCCTCCCAAAGTGCTGGGATTACAGGTGTGAGCTGCCACGCCTGGCCTGTTTCTTTTTCTGCTACTCCATGTTGTGTCTCCAGGTTTCAGTGGTTTCATATGCATTCATTTAGCAAATACTTATTGAGTGTCTGATGTTAGGCACCGTGCCAGATCCTGACAATACTCAGTCCCTATCTTCATAGAGCTTTTGGTATGGAGGTGAAATACAGGCAAGGAAGCTGGCAATTAAAATACAATGTAATAGAAGAAGACACTGGAGACTATGGAACCATAGAAGCATTGAGTGCATTTCCTCTCACCTTCAACCACTCAACCTTCCAAGCTGGGGATATCTGGCTACAGAGCCAAAGGTAAGTTTCCCTTCTAGATCGTCTAAGGAACAGGTCTGGTTTCTCTTGAAGCACATGTCATTGAAAACCATTAAGATCTGATCTTGATTTTCTTTAAAAAGGCATTATGACTGGGAAGCATTTTTAAGGCTTTGTGTGTACTCTCCTGGAGTTTTCCCCTGTTAAATGGTTTGAACTGTAACTTGCGAGTAATGGGTAACTAGTGAAGGTTTTTGGTTTTTTGTTTGTTTTTTTGAGACGGAGTCTCACTCTGTCTCCAGGCTGGAGTGCAGTGGCACCATCTTGGCTCACTGCACCCTCCGCCTCCCGGGTTCAAGGGATTCCCCTGCCTCAGCCTCCTGAGTAGCTTGGACTACAGGTGTGCACCACCACGACTGGCTAATTTTTTGTATTTTAGTAGAGACAGGTTTCACCATCTTGGCCAGGATGGTCTCCATCTCCTGACTTCGTGATCTGCCCGCCTCAGCCTTCCAAAGTGCTGGGATTACAGGTGTGAGTCACTGCGCCTGGCCTAAGGATTTTTTTTTTTTAAGCCAAGAAAAAGTGTTTTAGCCAGACAGGCTCTTTGAAAGGCGTCTCCTATTGATGAGCTGGGGCATGGATTGGATGGATCTAAATCCCTTGCACATGGAGGCAAGTGTCCACCATGTCTTATTGTTTGTGTTTATCGTGCTGTTCATTCAGTAGATTGAGCAGGACCTTTTTTTTTCCCTAAAGATTCAGCGCCTTTCAGCCCAAATCTTAAAATTATGTGATCTGTTACCCTGTCATGCAAGGACACTGAGATAAAACCTATAAAGCCTATGAAAAAGACGCCGGGTGTGGTGGCTCACACTTGTAATCCCAGCACTTTGGGAGGCTGAGGCGGGCAGATCACCTGAGGTCGGGAGTTCGAGACCAGCCTGACCAACATGGGGAAACCTTGTCTCTACTAAAAATACAAAATTAGCCGGGCATGGTGGCACATGCCTGTAATCCCAGCTACTCGGGAGGCTGAGGCAGGAGAATCGCTTGAACCCAGGAGGTGGAGTTTGCAGTGAGCCAAGATCACACCATTGCACTCCATCCTGGCAACAAGAGTGAAACTGTCTCAAAAGAAAGAGAGAAAGAGAAAGAGAGAGGGAGAGAGAAAGAAAAAGAAAAGAAAAGAAAGAGAAAGAAAGAAAAAGACATCATGAGCATTACGAATAAGAAAGGCAAAGGGACCAGGGGAGGGAGAAAGGAACAAGTAGAGAAACTGTTGCTGGTTGTGCTCCTTGTCATTTTCACCTTTTGAACTGGCCAGAGAATATCTGGGCAACCAGACTTCATTTAGCAGAGATTCAAACTTCTACTTTATGAAATTTCATCCTAGGATTTTTCTTTATCCTAAGTTCTGTGTGCTCATTTATCCCATCAGCATGAGCATCGTGCTCCACATAGAATTGGAAGCAGGTGTGCCTGCTTGGAATAGCATTCTTTTCACTCTTAAATGGCGGGATCCCTTCCTGCTAGACTGAGGATCCTTCCTCATGGCAGGTTCTACAAGCAAACAAGGGAGGAGCTGCAAAGGCACTAAAAATACCAACCATTTCAATTTTTTGAATCTCAGGCTTCTGCCATAAATTACTTCACTGTGTAATCTTTGCATAGTTATGTCATTTTGTTTTGGGTTGAAAACTTGCTCTGAGATAATTAGCCCATGCTTATTTAGCCTCCCCCATTACCCCTCCTCCTGCACTTCATAGCTAATCTTCAAAGAGTTAATGTGTTTTGAATATCTTAAACCAAATTTTTGTTTTATTTTTTATTTTTAGAGACTGGGTCTAGTTCTGTTGATCAGGCTGGTCCTGAACTCCTGGCCTCAAGCGATCCTCCTGCCTCCCCCTGCCAAAGTACTGAAATTTTAGGCATGAACCACCATGCAAGGCCTTATTTTCTTTAAATAGTGTTTATAGAGCTCATTACATTTACATTTTCTTCTACGAAGTAAATTTGGGATAGTTTTAAAGTTGAGCATTCTAATGTAGCACTTTATGTACCTAATCACATTTTTTAAAAAATCCATAAGAGTTTATTCAGTCATGCAACTTCGGCAAATAAAGTTCTATATTTTAAATACTTTTGCCAAAATTAGGTGGTAAATACATATGTGCTATGTGCACATATAGCCCTTTTTATCAATGAAGATGAGTAAGTACTGTGATATCACCTGGAATAAATAGAACCTTCTGCCTAAGTCATCTGTCTTTGAATACCTAAAATACATTTATTGGCCGGGCACAGCGGCTCATGCCTGTAATCCCAGCACTTCAGGAGGCCGAGGCAGGTGAATCACCTAAGGTCAGGAATTCGAGACCAGACTGGCCAACATGGCGAAACCTCATCTCTACTAAAAAAAAAAGAATAATAATAATACAAACAAATTAGCCAGACGTGGTGGCACATGGTGTAATTCCAGCTACTTGGGCGGCTGAGGCAGAAGAATCGCTTGAACCTGGGAGGCGGAGGTTGCAGTGAGAAAATAATAATAAAATACATTTATTTTTCTGGCCTCATGTTATAGCAAAGTCCTCAAAATCCCAGCAACTCTGGAGGCCGAAGCAGGAGGGTCGCTTTAGCCCAGGAGTTTGAGACCAGCCTGGGCAACATAGTGAGACCTCCATCTCTAAAAAAATTAAAAGTAAAGTAGCCAGGTGTAGTGGCACATGCCTGGAGTCTCAGCTCCTCAGAAGGTTAAGGCAGGAGGATCACTTGAGTTCCGGAGTTCAAGACTGCAGTGAGCTATGCTTGCACAGGGTCTCTAAAATAATAATGTTTTAAATTTTTAAAAAAGTTATCCATTGCTATGTAACAGATTACCTCCAAAACTTTGGCAGTTTAAAACAGCAAATAGGCTGGGGGTGGTGGCTCACGCCTGTAATCCTAGCACTTTGGGAGGCCAAGGTGGGCAGATCACCTGAGGTCAGGAGTTCAAGACCAGCCTGGTCAACATGGTGAAACCCCATCTAAAAATAGAAAAATTAGCTGGGTGTGGTGGTGGGTGCCTGTAATTCCAGCTACTTGGGAGGCTGAGGCAGGAGAATCGCTTGAACCCGGGAGGTGGAGGTTGCAGTGAGCTGAGATGGCGCCATTGCACTCCAGCCTGAGTGACAAGAGCGAGACTCCATCTAAAAATACATAAATAAATAAACATGCAAATATTTAGTATCTTACACAGTTTCTAAGGGTCAGGAATCTAGGAGCAGCTTAGCTGAGTGGTTCTAGGTCAAAGACTCTCCTGGAGTTGCTGTCAAGCTATTGACTAGGCCTGGAGGATTTTCTTTGCTCATTCAGATGCTATTAACCGGAATCTTCAGTTCCTCACCACGTGGGTCTCGCCATAAGGCTGCTCAGATAAAGCAGCTGGCTTCCCTCAGAGCAAGTGATTCAAGAGAAAGGCAGAGGGATGGAAGCCACCATATCTTTCATAACCTAATCTCTGAAGTGACATACCATCACTGTGCAAAATTCTGTTGGTCACACAAACTAACTCTGATACAGTGAGGAAGGTAATAACCAAGGGCATGGATACTAACAGGCAGCAGAAGAGAGCCAGGTTACAGACTGGTTCTTCAACTAATTTCCCATTAGGAAACTTTTGAATTGTTGATAAGCTTCTTTTAATGAAGTATATCAAAAGAGACAAACTAAATGACTTCTATAAATTACATCCTGGCTGGGCGCGGTGGCTCACCCCTGTAATCCCAACATTTTGGGAGGCTGAGGCGGGTGGATCACAAGGTCAGGAGATCGAGACCATCCTGGCTAACACGGTGAAACCCCGTCTCTACTAAAAATACAAAAAATTAGCCGGGCGCAGTGGCACGTGCCTGTAATCCTAGCTACTCAGGAGGCTGAGGCAGGAGAATCACTTGAACCCAGGAGGGAGAGGTTGCAGTGAGCCTAGATCGCGCCACTGCACTCCAGCCTGGGCAACAGAGTGAGACTCCGTCTCAAAAAACAAACAAACAAAAAAAAAGAATTACGTCCTTCCCCAATCTATTGATTCCCTAATATCAGTAAGTCATTGATACTGATTCTAAAGTTATAAGAAGTCCAAAACAAGAGAGCACTTAGGATTACTGTCATACTTACAATTTAAATTTAGAAATTGTTTTCAAAATTGATCAAAGTAGATAATTTTCTTAAAACTGTGTCTTCAACCACTATTTGAAAAGCTATAGGCCTCTAATCCCAGCTACTCAGGAGGCTGAGGCAGGAGAATCGCTTGAACCGGGGAGGCAGAGGTTTCAGTGAGCCAAGATCACACCATTGCACCCCAGCCTGGGTGACAGAGTGAAACTCTGTCTCAAAAAAAAAAAAAAAAGAAAAAAGAAAAGCTACAGGGACAGGGTGTTGTTTTTTTGTTTGTTTTGGTTTTTTTTTTTTTTTTTTTTTTGGTGGTCTTTGCTTTTTTGTTTTTGTTTTGTTTTATTTTGATTTTTGAGACTGGGTCTCACTCTGTCACCCAGGCTGGAATGCAGTGGTATAATCACGGCTCACTGCAGCCTTGACCTTCCAGGCTCAAGCAGTCCTCCCACCTCAGCCTCCCGAGTTGCTGGAACTACAGGCACGTGCCACCATGCCCAGCTAATTTTTGTATTTTTTGTAGAGATAGGGTCTCCCTATGTTGCTCAGGCTGGTCACAAACTCCTGGGTTCAAGCCATCCTTCTACGTCAGCCTTCCAAAGTGCTGGGATTACAGGCGTGAGCCACCGTTCCTGGCCGGACAGTTTTTACTGGGCACTAAGCTAGGTGCACCTCTCCTCATAGTTTACCCCTCCTTCCCTAGGCTATAATTGTTGGTTGCTTCTCTGTCTTCTCTATGAGATAGTAAGTTCCCAGAGTTCCCAGAGGGCAACTAAATACTGGGTCTTTACTCACTTTGGTATAACTGAAACCTAGTACAGTTCCTAGAACATCTATTTATTTATTTATTTATTTATTTATTTATTTATTTATGAATGAGACGGAGTCTCGCCCTTGTTGCCCAGGCTGGAGTGCAATGGTGGTGTCTTGGTTCACTGCAAGCTCTGCCTCCTGACTTCAAGCTGTTCTTGCACCTCAGCCTTCTGAGTAGCTGGGATTACAGGCATATGCCACCATGCCTGGCTAATTTTTTGTATTTTTAGTGGAGACGGGTTTCACCATGTTGGCCAGGCTGGTCTCGAACTCCTGACCTCAGGTGATCCACCCACCTCCGCCTCCCAAAGTACTGGGATTACAGGTGTGAGCCACCGTGCCTGGCCTAGTACATTTTAGATATTTAATAAATATTTGTTGCAGAAAGGGAGTAGAACCCTGGTCTGAAGGTGGACTTGAATCAATACTTTCTGGTTGCTAACAGTGGCCATTCATAGATAGTATGATGGTGTGCCCTCTGGTCTGGAATAAAATCACTTAGTGGCAGTAAACATTGTTACCACGAATGTAAATTTGACTGCGGCAAAGGACCTTATTTCTTACCAAATTTTAGAGTTTCTTAAAGCATACACTTAATGAGAAAAGCTGAACCTAGTTTTCACCAATTACTAGATAGAAAGACTGAATAAACATTTATTTATGCCTGCCTTGTTTCAGTAAAGCTTTAAGGTGGCCTTACACAGATATATAAAATATGGAATAGGCTGGGCACAGTGGCTCATGCTTGTAATCCCAGCACTCTGGGAGTCTGAGGCAGGAGGATAGCTGAATCCCTGAGTTCAAAACCAGCCTGGGCAACATAGCGAGAGCCCACCTCTACAGAAAATTTTAAAATTAGCCACGCGTGGTGGTGCACAACTGTGGTCCCAGCTACTCGGGAGACTGAGGTAAGGATCACTTGAGCTCAGGAGGTTGAGGCTGCATGAGCCAAGATCATGCCACTGCACTCCAGCCTGGGCAACATGAGGAGACCCTGTTAGATAAAATATAGAATATCATGGCTTAAATCGGGGGTTGGGGGGGAGAAAAGAAAGTAAAATAAGAGAATATAAAATTGAGCCAAATAAGTAAAATAAAATTGGGCCACGACTGAGGAGGAAAAATTACCCCATGCCACCTTGCACATACTGGGTCTAAGCTTTCTAATAATCAAAATCCTAGACAGTTACCAAAGTCATCGTCCATAAAATTAATAATAAATTATTGAAAAATATGAAGGCTAGGAATTTCTGTCAGGGCTATTTATTTGGAGATGGTCTCTGTCACCTAGGCTGGAGTGCAATGACAGGATCATAGCTCACTGCAGCCTCAAACTCCTAGGCTCAAGCAATCTTTGTCTCAGCCTCCTGAGAAGCTGAGACTGCAAATGTGTGCCACCATGCCCGGCTTATTTTTTTATTTTTTATTTTCTGTAGAGACTGGGTCTCCCTGTGTTGCCCAGGCTGGTCCCAAACTCCTGGATTCAAGCAATCCTCCTGCTTCAGTCTCCCAAATTGCTGGGATTTCAGGCCTGAGCCACCATGCCTGGCCAGGGTTCTTCTTTTTAAATGCATGCTGGCTCTACACAGTGTTGCTTTGAACTAAAACTGCTCTAAAATTCTCTCTAAAAAAAAAAAAAAAAAGCATGCTGTGTAAGCATGCTTAAAGCATGATATAGGGAGTCTTGAATATCTTCTTTTTTTCAAAAGTATCCTAAGTCGAGGCCAAGGTGGAAGGATCCCTTGAGGCCAGGAGTTCAAGACAAACCTAGGCAACATAGCAAGACCCTGTCTACAAAACTAAAAATTAAAAAATTATTCAAGTGTGGTGGTACACAACTCTAGTCCCAGCTACTCAGGAGGCTGAGATGAGGAGATCCCTTGAGCCCAGGATATCAAGACTGCAAGTGAGCTGTGATGGTGCCACTGAACTCCAGCCTGGGCAACAGAGCAAAACCCTATCTCTAAAAACAAAGAAAGAAAAACACCACAGATATCCCAAGTAGACGGAAAAAAATAACACCATTTGTCAAAGCTGGGAAGGGCAAATGGGAGTTTATTATATTATTTGTTATACTTTGGCATATGTTTGAAATTTCCTACAATAGTTTAAGTGTTTTTTAAAATGTACAGCAATCATCATACTTAATGGGATGACTTTGGTAGCATTTTTATTGAAGTCAAGGACTGGACATAGATACCCATTCTCATTCCAACTCCTCAGCATTGAACTAGCTAATGCTCACTCTGTCGCCCAGGCTGGAGTACAGTGGCATGATCACGGCTTACTGCAGCCTCGGCCTCCCAGGCTCAGGTGATTCTCCCACCTCAGCCTCTCAGATAGATGGGACTATAGGCACACGCCACCAGAACTGGCTTTTTTTTTTTTTTTTTTTTTTTTTTTTTTTTTTTTTTTATGTAGAGATGGAGTTTCGCCATGTTGCCCAGGCTGGTCTTGAACTCCTGGGCTCAAGTGATCCTCCTGCTTCTGCCTCCCAAAGTACTGGCATTACAAACATGAGCCACCGTGCCTGGCCCAAAACTTTTTAAGCTCCAACATGACATGCAAAGGAAATTTACACTCTCAAACTCCTGGGCTGAAGCAATCTTCCCGCCTTGGCCTCTTTAAGTGCTGGGATCACAGGCATGAGCTACCGCACCCAGCAGGAACTCCTAATCAAGCAAATTCTTTGTCATCAGCTAAGGAGCTCACTGAGTCAAACAAGTTGTTCTTGACCTCCTAGTCTTCTGGTACCCTGGGTCTGCTGCAGGCCTGTTTCTGGGCAGGCCTTCCCTGGAGCAGCATCAGACTCTTAATTTTGTGTGGAGTTACTGGGTAGGGCACTATTCCTATATAGAGCCGATGATCAGCAGTCCTCACCTAAGAAAAGCAGTCTTTTCTAGCCCTGTGTTCTGTGGCAGTGAAGCACACTAGGTGTTCCAGTCAGCACAAAGGGGTCAGCTGGAAAGCAGAGGGGGCCACCTGCTTCTTGGCTTCAGTTGATTGTATGCCATGCAAGTCTGTTGCCAACATCTTCTGAATTTTCAAGAGAAACTGGAAACCAGGCTGGGCACAGTGGCTCACGCCTGTAATTGCAGCACTTTGGGAGGCCAAGGTGGGTGGATCACCTGAGGTCAGGAGTTTGAGACCAGCCTGGCCAACATGGCGAAACCCCATCTCCATTAAAAATACAAACAAACAAAAAAAAATTAGCTGGGCATGGTGACGCGTGTCTGTGATCCCAGCTGCTCGGGAGGCCAAGGCAGGAGAATCACTTGAACCCAGAAGCCAGAGGTTACAGTGAGCCGAGATCACATCACTGCACTCCAGCCTGGGTGACAGAATGAGAGTCTGTCTCAAACAAACAAACAAACAAAAAAAAAAACCAGAAACTGGAAACTGGACTTTATGTTCACTTTCCAGATTAAAAAGGGGGAAGAAGGCCCTGTGTGAGGCAAGCAAAGCACACCTGCAGGCCCAGTTTGGTCAGTGGAGCTACCAACTGGCAACCTCTGGTCTAATTAAGCCTAGAATTCTAAAGCACTAGAGGTGCCTTATGCTGGGGTTGGACTTCACAGACCAATAAAATGTTCCAGAAATTTTGGAGCTAGACTCAGGGTTGCCAAACGTTTTATTTTACTGAATGTCTTAGTCCATTTTGTATTGCTTTAACAGAATACCTGGGACTGAGTAATTTATAAAGAGGTTTATTGCCAGATGCCGTGGCTCACGCCTGTAATCCCAGCACTTTGGGAGGCCAAGGCAGGTGGATCACGAGGTCAGGAGATCGAGACCATCCTGACTAACAGGGTGAAACCCGGTCTCTACTAAAAATACAAAAAAAAATTAGCCGGGTGTGGTGGCAGGCGTCTGTAGTCCCAGCTACTCGGGAGGCTGAGGCAGGAGAATGGCGTGAACCTGGGAGGCGGAGCTTGCAGAGAGCAGAGATCACACCACTGCACTCCAGCCTGGGCAACAGAGCTAGACTCCGTCTCAAAAAAAAAAAAAAAGAAAGAAAGAAAAGAGGTTTATTTAGCTCACAGTTCTGCAGGCTGGGAAGTCCAAGGAGCATGGCACCAGCATATTCTTGCTTCTGGTGAGGGCCACATGCTAGGTCACAACATGAAGGTCAAAGGGAAAGCAGACACCTGCAAAGAGAGGCAAAACCCAAGGCACGCCCTGGCTTCATAACAACCCACTCTCCCCAGAACTAATTGATTCCTGTGAGAACTAATCCAGTTTCCTCAGAGCAAGAACTCAATCACTATGGCAAGAAAGGCACCAAGCCATTCGTGAAGGATCCACCCCCGTGACCCAAGAACCTCCCACTAGGCTTCACCTCCCAACATTGTCACATTGGGGATCAGGTTTCACCATGACTTGGTGGGACAAACAAGCAGTATTCAAACCATATCACTAAGCTATAACAGTTTTTAATGTAAAAAACATACCAAACGCTACTATTAACTCACCATTTAATTAAAGAAAGGCCATTACAATACTTGAAAAATAGGATACACCAGGTTTGCAGATGCTGCTGCCACTGGGAGCCCCGTATTACCAGCCATGGTCAACCCCACCATGGTCTTCGATATTGCTGTCAACGACAAGCCCTTGGGCCGTATCTCCTTTGAGCTGTTTGCAGACAAGTTTCCAAAGACAACAGAGAACTTTCATGCTCTGAGCACTGGAGAGAAAAGATTTGGGTGTAAGGGTTCCTGCTTTCACAGAATTATTCCAGGGTTTGTATGTCAGGGTGGTGACTTCACATGCCACACTGGTGGCACATCCATCTACAGGGAGAAATTTGATTGCAAGAACTTCATCCTGAAGCATATAGGTCCTGGCATCCTGTCCATGGCAAATGCTGGACCCAACACAAGTGGTTCCCAGTTTTCATGTGCCCTGCCAAGACTGAGTGGTTGGATGGCAAGCATGTGGCCTTTGGCATGGTGAAGGCATGAATATTGTGGAGGCCATGGAGCGCTTTGGGTCCAGGAATGGCAAGACCAGCAAGAAGATCACCATTGCTAACTGTGGACAGCTCTACTAAGTTTGACTTGTGTTTTATCTTAACCACCAGACCATTTCTTCTGTAGCTCAGGGGAGCACCCCTCCACCCCATTTGCTCGCAGTATCCTAGAATCTTTGAGCTTTCACTGCAGTTCCCTTTGGGTTCCATGTTCTCCTTATTCCTTTCATGCCTAGCTGGATTGCAGAGTTAAGCTTATGATTATGAAATAAAAACTAACAGCAACAACAAAAAAGGATACACCTAATCCACAGTTTCTTATGAAACCCTGGAGGCCAGATGTATTTTGGAATTGCAATGTATTTACATTTTTGAAAGGTTAATATGGTGAATGTAACACTTCATAGTAAAATGCAAAATTTCCAGTGAACCATGTGAATATTCAACTAAGTGGAATAAGTAAAGGCTATAAATAACTATGTCAGTTCAGGTCAGAGTTTTCTGCAAAATGAGTTTTTATACCAAACCAAAAAAAAAAAAAAAAAAAAACTTGGTTTTCAGAGCCCTTTGCATATGGACTGTTATCAAGAAAGGAAAAGTCCTTTAAATGGACCAGCTTTAGGGCTATGGCCTTATTTTCCTCAGGTCACCCTAGTCCACTGGAGATTGCACTAATGGTTGGACATTTAGGAGCGTCTGATCTAAGCCAAAGCAAATCTTTATACAACTTCCCCAGTTTCATCTGACTCCCTCTTGAAACTGGTAGCAAGCCACCGCACATGGCAGCATTTCATAATGTTAAGTGTTCCTAAATCTGTTTTTTAGTGTTTCATAGCTGCATTGGTCCTAGTTCTAATTGCTGTGCTACCCAGAACTCAACTCCTGCTTTTATGAGACTCCTCTGGAATGTACCTCTCCAAGCTGGCATAAGGCCCAATGAGCTTGGCTCCCTTAGCTGTCCTTGTCGTGTGACAAGCTTGCCTTCCATGCCAAGTGCCTTCAGGGCTTTCCAGAATGGCTCCCATGTGGCCGGGCACAGTGGCTCACACCTGTAATCTTACACTTTGGGAGGCTGAGGCAGGAGGATGGCTTGAGCCCAGAAGTTCTAGATCAGCCTGGGCAACATAATGAGACCCTGTCTGTACAAAAAAATTTAAAATGAGCTGGGTGTGGTGGCACATGCCTGTAGTCCCAGCTACTTGGACGGCTGAGGCAGGAGAATCACTTGAGCCCGGGAGGTTGAGGCTGCAGTGAGCCATGGTCACACTACTGCACTCCAGCCTGGGCAACAGGAGACCCTGTCTCAAAAAAAAAGTTTGAACAACCAAGTTATATCGATGGTTTGCATTGACTCGGAATTAAATGACTTCTCCAGAAAGCAGCCTGAGAAACTGGAAGGGGATGAGACATTGGAGGCGGGCCTCGAAGGACTGGAAAGATTTGGGCTTATTGGGGATATAACAGAAAGGCATTGCAAGGGGAAGGTGGGAACATGTCAGGTGTGAATGAGTGGTTTCATGCTGGCTGGAGCTAGGCCTGGTGGAAGAGCAGCATTTGGAAAGCACATCAGGAAGAGGACATTTCAGGCAAAAGAAATGGTTGAGGCAAGAGGGAGCTCGCTGTGTGTGTGCCTGCATTGTACAAAAACTGCCCCCAGTGCAGGGGAGGATTCACACTTTTGGTTGTGATGAGCCAGCTGGCTGGCTTAAGCAGAAAGAGAACTTATCATGAGGCTACAGTGCAGGGTATTGCTGTATCTGCCTCTCTGTCTTCATCCCAGTCTACATCAGAAATTCCTCTCCCTGCTCTCAGCCCCTGGAGGATTTCTTCTGTGACCCTTCTCTTACCCTGAGCATTTTCTACCCCATTTGGGGCATTTTCTACCCCAAATGACCCAGTTGCCTGGTGTCATTTCTCTCTCCTATTAAACTATAAACCCCTAACAGCAGGGCTGTGCCTTACTTGCCTGTGCCACCTTCCAGCCCCCCACTGCTCTGGAAAGTGTGGCCTGCAGGCTTTCAGATTTTCTCCATGTTGACCCTGCCTTGGCCTTCCCATGGGGAGGTACTCAAGTTTCCTTTTCTGTGTTATCTCCTACAGTCCCTTGCAAAGATTCAGATCTCTGGCTCCAGGCATTTATTGCATTTTTCTGATCAAAGCTCTCTTCCGAGCAGGATATTTTCCATACCGGAAGCTTAAGAGAGTCCACAGTGAACCATGGGAAGAATGGGGTGATCGTAATTTTCTCAAGTTCTTGCATTGATTTAACACAAGAAAAGGACTTGGATCCTTTGCTCAGCGTCTCCTCTGAGCACTTTAGTTAATTCGGCATACATATACTTTTTTTTTTTTTTGAAACTTTTTTTTTTGGAAACTTTTTACTTTGATATGATTTTAAATTTGCAGAAGAGTTGCAAGAATAGCACAAGGAACTCACATTTGCCCTTCACCCAGATTTTCCAGTTTACACCTCGCCTCATTTGCTTTCTCTCTGTGTGTGTATACACACACACACACACACACACACACAGGTGCGTATTTTTTTTCTGAACTGTTTGAGAATGTCATTCATTTTGTTCCTTTGCCCCTACACACTTTAGTGTGTATTTCCGTGAAAGAAGGATATTCTCTTTACTTTGTACCAGGAGTGCTGGTTTCTTGCCCTAATATAGTGTTTACTGGCAACTGGAGGGTTGGGGGGACAAGGATCTTATGGATCTGAAGGAATTAGTCAAGAAGTTGTCACAGCATCTCTTTCCTCCTAACTAGATCCTGCAGGGACAGAAACCCACTCTGAGAAGTATGAGGCTGGGTCATCTAAGATAAGTCTGCCTGTTCTTTCTGGATGAAAATGTGATTGTTGTCACAGGTCCAAAGCCAAACACATTTTGGGAAAGGTGGCATCAATTAACCCAGCCAGCCTCAGACCTTGAGACATTTTTACGGTCTGTGCAACACAAGAATCGAGAAGGAAAAGACGTCGTACCACTGCACTTGCAGAGAAGCTTTGTTTTCCATCTCAGCCCTTGCTGCCTGTGCTAACAGTCGCAATCCTAACATCCTACCTGGACATCATCTTCCTGCCATCATCATCTGAGCCTGGGGTCCCCCCAACCTTCCTGCTCTTAACCAAGTTCCGAGAGATTCTGGGATTCAGGGGCTCCCAAAACAGCTGTGAGCAACCTTCCTCAATTGAGTCCCCACTCTTTTGGTTATGCCTAGTGGATAGATGGACAAGTGGAACAACTTTTTTTTCCTAATATAAAATTAATACATGCTTCTTGGGGAAAAAACATAAGTATAGAAAAATATGAAGAAGGGATACAGATCACCTGTAAACTTACTATAGTTCTGGTATCCACCCTTTCAGATTCCATCAGGAATGAACATTGTGTGATGGCTAAGAGCCCATACTCGGGTCATCAGGACTAGACACAGTTCTGGCTGTGCCATTACTAACTGAAGTAAGATAACTAACTCCTTTGAGATCCAGTTTCCTCTTCAATAAAACAAGATAAGGCTGGGCACAGTGGCTCACACCTGTAATCCCAGCACTCTGGGAGGCCGAGGCAGGCGGATCACTTGGGGTCAGGAGTTTGAGACCAGCCTGGCCAACATGGTGAAATTCTATCTCTACCAAAAAATACAAAAATTTGCCAGGCAGCTGAGTGCGGTGGCTCACGCCTGTAATCCCAGCACTTTGGGAGGCTAAGGTAGGTGGATCACCTGAAGTCAGGAGTTCAAGACCAGCCTGGCCAACATGGTGAAATCTCGTCTTTACTAAAAATACAAAAATTAGCCGGACATGGTGCATGCCTATAATCCCAGCTACTCGAGAGGCTGAGGCAGGAGAATCACTTGAACCCAGGAGGCGGAGCTTGCAGTGTATCGAGATCGCGCCACTGCACTCCAGCCTGGGTGACAGAGCAAGACTCTGGCTCAAAAAAATTTAAAAAGTAAAAAGAAAAAAAAAGCCAGGCGTGGTGGCAGGCACCTGTCATCCCAGCTACTCAGAAGGCTGAGGCAGGAGAATCGCTTGAACCCAGGAAGCAGAGGTTACAGTGAGCCAAGATTGCACCACTCCACTCCAGCCTAGGCAACAGAGTGAGACTCTGTGTTAAAAAATAAAAAATAGGCTGAGTGTGGTGGCTCATGCCTGTAATCCCAGGACTTTGGGAGGCCGAGGCGGGCGTATCATGAAGTCAGGAGATCGAGACCATCCTGGCTAACATGGTGAAACCCCATCTCTACTAAAAATGCAAAAATTAGCCAGGCGTGGTGGTGGGTGCCTATATTCCCAGCCACCCTGGAGGCTGAGGCAGGAGAATCACTTGAACCCAGGAGGCAGAGGTTGCAGTGATCCGAGATTGCGCCATTGCACTCCAGCCTGGGCAACAGAGTAAGACTCCCTCTAAAATAAATAAATAAATAAATAAATAAATATGAGATAATAATAGTACCTGGGCTGGGTGCGTTGGCTCATGCCTGTAATATCAGCACTTTGGCAGGCTGAGGTGGGTGGATCACGAGGTCAAGAGTTCAAGACCAGGCTGACCAACATGGTGAAACGCCGTCTCTAATAAAAATACAAAAATTAGCCGGGCGTGGTGGCAGGAGCCTGTAATCCAGCTACTCAGGAGGCTGAGACAGGAAAATCGCTTGAACCCGGGAGGTGGAGGTTGCAGTGAGCTGAGATTATGCCATCGCACTCCAACCTAAGCAACAGAGCGAGACTCCATCTAAAAATAATAATAATAATAGTACCTGCTTAAATAAGCTAATGCATGTAAAGGGTTTAGTCAATGCTTACATGAAGCAATCTCAAACAAATATTAGTTCTAGGTGATGAAAAAGGACTCCCGCCATACCACTGTATAGCAGCCTGCTGTTTTCTCTCAACAGTAATTGATTCATTCAATAATATTTTTTGAGCACCCGTTGCATGCCAAACATAGTGCTAAGTCCTAACACTTAAACAAACAAAATCCTTGCCCTTATGGAACTTACATTTCTAGTGGAGAAAGAGACAGATAACATGCTTGTATATGTTATAAAATATGTCACAGGGCCGGGCACAGTGGCTCACACGTGTAATCCCAGCACTTTGGAAGGCCGAGGTGGGTGGATCACTTGAGGTCAAGAGTTCAAGACCAGCCTGGACAACATGGCAAAACCCCATCTCTGCTAAAAATACAAAAATTAGCCAGGCGTGGTGCATGCCTGTAGTCCCAGCTACTCGGGAGGCTGAGTCAGGAAAATCACTTGAACCTGGGAGGCAGAGGTTGCAGTGAGCCAAGACTGCACCACAGTACTCCAGCCTGGGTGACAGAGCAAGACTCCATCTCAAAATAAATTAATTAATTAAATATGTCATAGGTTAATAAGTGCTCTGGTGGGGGGAGATTCAGCATGTGTGGTGGATAGGGACCACCATCAGCGGGTTGCTATTTTATATAAAGTAGTCAAAGAAGACCTCTTTGAAAAGATGGCGTTTGAGAAGTCTGAAGGAAATGAGGGAACTATAAAATAAATATCTGGGGGAAGAACATATCTGGCAGTGGGAACAGCATGTGCAAGGGCCCCGAGACCACAGCGTGCTTGGCATATTTGAGGATGGTCAAGGAGGCCCTTGTGGCCAGCAAAGAGAGGAAGAAAGAGAACCGGAGGAGCAGAGGTCAGGGAGGTAGTGGGGACCCAATTGTGTAGGACCTTGTAGGTCATTCTGAGGATTGTAGCTATTCCTCTGAGTGAGATGGGGACCTAGGGGAGGGATGGAGGAGAGGAATGATACAATTTGACCCTCATTCGATCTCAGTACTTGTATATTGTGGTTAAAGTGGAAAGCCGCACAGTTCCTTGGACTCTATTAACCAGCATTCCCCAGCCCTGTGGGCCCCTCCCACCAGGAGTCCACAGCCTGCCTGACACGATGCAGCAACTCCCCGTAACCCCTTGCTGCCCACCACCATACCGTTTTTCTAGGTGGGAATGACATCCAGGCATACCCAGATGCTTCCAGGCTAGACCGTATTGTGCCCAGCCTTACTGTTCGCATCTCACTGGCCATGACGGCTAATAGCCACCATCGATTAAGGCCTTGTCATAAGCCAGGCCCCTCACCCCCAGAGCTCCTTTAATCCTCACAGCCACCCTGCTAGGCAGCCACTGTCATTCTCCCTTTTGCAGCTGCTACAACGATTGATTAACTTGTGCAAGGTCCTGAAGCTGGCAGGCAGGGAGGCCAGGACTTCTACCCATCCGTCAGACTCCTAAGGATGGGGACAGTGATGAACAAAGCACAGCATCCACAGTGCCTGGCACACCACAGTCACCCAGACAGCCAGATAGAAGGCTGCATGAATCGGCGCTCTTCATCCCTCCCTAAGCTCTCCCTCTGTTGAGAAAATGTCTGAGAAAGCATTCCGCACACTATAAAGCATTACACAAATATGAGCATGGCTGTGAAGATGATTAGGAGTCCGAAACCTCAGGTTCGGGTTGGGCTCCTGATTTTTCTGATGGCCACCTCCTCCTAGTCATTGGCACGTTAACCTCAAACACCTGAGCGCCACCAAACCTCAGCATATCCCTAGCTTCTCCTTTGCTTTGCCTGAAACAAAGCAAGTCTTTTATAAGCAAGGGAGAGGGCCTGTGGTGGCCTTGCTTTTGCGAACGTGCTTTCACCTCCTTCCAGTTCATTGCTTTCATACAAAATTCCAGACGCACAGCGCAGGCAGACAGAAGCCTCATTCATAGCCAGAGGTCCCTCAGGCTGGGGTTTCCACGCCTCCTTCCCCTTCCCCCTCATCTCAGTCTCCTGCTGAAGTTGCGATCCACATGAAGCCACAGAGGTAGACTCAGGGCAAAGAAGAGTTTTTAATGTTGCTGATGGGGGTGAGGAGAGGGTGGCCCTCGGAAGGCCACCACATGGCATGGTGGAAAGAGCCCTGGATTTGCTTGACAATAGACTACTGCATTCCAGATTGGTTCCACCGATTGGTAGTCAAATGAACTTGGACAAGTCATTGACCCTGTCTTCTTGGAAAGACGTGGATCTCAGAATCCTTCACAACGCTTTGCTCCTGATAGCTAGTACCTGTTCAGCAGAGTCGGCACAAGCTCACACAGCCCTTGACCTCCTGTGGGCCAAGTGAACGCCTTCTTCCTGGTTTGGTTAAGTTGGCATAGAGCTGAGCATGGTGCTGCTGGTGGTTCTACTAAATTGTATGATGGTTTAAAAAAAAAAAAAAAAAACTGTCCTTGAGGCTGGGTGTGGTAGCTTACGCCTGTAATCCCAGCACTTTGTGAGGCCAAGGTGGGAGGCCAGGAGTTGGAGACCAGCCTGGGCAAGATAGTGAAACCTCTACAAAAAATAAAAAACTTAGCCAGGCATGGTGGTGCACGCCTATAGTCCCAGCTTCTCTGGAGGCTGAGAGGCAAGAGGATCACTTAAGCCCGGGAATCTCAGGCTGCAGTGAGCAGTGATCGAACCACTGCACCCCAGCCTGGGTGACAGAGTGAGCCCATCTCAAAAACAAGAAACAAAACCAGTTCTTGAGCAAGACATACCTTTCTAATTTCCCAGTACTTTCCAGCTTTCCAAACCCTTCAGGCCCCACACCACCCTGATTTTTGTCACCTGCAAATAATAAAACTACAAACTGCACTGCACGTACACTTTTGTAAAGGCTTGAATCATTGACTTCCTCAGCCCCACACCTTCTGGTCAGCACAGGGCACTGCACTGCCACTCCAGACAGGCCTGGGCAGTGAGGAAAGGTGCCAGCCACGTGGGCTGGGGGTGGGGAAAGTGACTAATCATGAAATCCTAATTTATAATGTGTTGCTATCCTTAGTTGAGCATTAATTTGGCTCTCAGAAATAGGAGAAGGTGTGGGTGACTGGTCTGAGGAGAGTTTCTGGGCAATTAGAACAAAAACAGAAGCATGCTCTTGCACACAAAGTGGACTTTCTCTAGGGTGGTGGTATTCTCTGGAGAGCTGAACTCAGGGAGTCTTTATTATGTATACTTCTGTGTGTCTAAACTTTATACGGTGCTGGGTGCCGTGGCTCACGCCTGTAATCCCCACTTTGGGAGGCTGAGGCAGGAGGATCAGTTGAGCTCAGGAGTTTAAGATCTGCCTGGACAACACAGGCCTCGTCTCTACAAAAAAAAAATTTTTTTTAATTAACTGGGCATGGTGATGTGCACCTGTGGCCCCAGCTACTCAGGAGGCTGAGGCGAGAGGATTGCTTGAGCTGGGGAAGTTGAGATTTCAGTGACCTGTGATCAGGCCACTACACTCCAGCCTGGGCAACAGAGGGAGACCTTGTCTCAAAAATAAAATAATAATAATAATTAGAAAAACTTTACACAATGAACATATATCCCTTTTAGACCACATTTCCTGAGTCTAAGATGCCATTGATTGAAAGACAATTATTTTCTGTACTCCCCTGAAAGCAAACTGCTACAATGTGTCATCTATTAGACACATCTGCATTTTTGAGATGTTGAAATGTGAAAAAAATGTGCGTCTTCGAATTGACAGAATGAAGTAACTTTTTAAATTAAAAGATATTTTCAGCTGAGCATAGTGGCTCACGCCTGTAATCCCAGCACTTTGGGAGGCTGAGGCGGGTGGATCACCTGAGGTCAGGAATTCGAGACCAGCCTGGCCAACATGGTGAAACTTCGTCTCTACTAAAAATACAAAAATTAGCTGGTTGTGGTGGTGGGCACCTGTAATCCCAGCTACTCAGGAGGCTGAGGCAGGAGAATCGCTTGAACCTGGAGGTGGAGATTGTATTGTGGTGAACAGAGTGAGACAGAGGAAAAAAAAAAAAGATATTTTCCACTTTTGGAAAAAAATTATTTAAATTGCTTTTGCATTCCACTCTCCTGCTCAGAATGATTTCCTCAAAAAAGCCAAGGGAGTCACATTTGAAGATGAGGAAATTTTTTTTTAATGTTTATGTGCCAGTTTCTTGCTAGACCCTGTGCTTTCTCATCCCTGACCCCATGGAGGCCTCATGAGAATGATAAGCCCAAATAAAATTACCACTTATGGAAAAGGAGTAATTTTGCAAGGAAGGAAACTGAAGGTCAGATTGGTGTTCCTGATCATGCAGTTCAGTAAGTGAAGGAGAGGAGGTTCAAACTCAGCTGCTGAGCCCCCGCTCCCCTCTTCTCACCACATGCCTCAGTTCTAAAGCTGTCCTGAGAAAGGAGCCAGGTTGGAACCTAAGCCTCCTCCCAGAAGCCTGGGGAATCAAAGGGCAAAAGGGCTGAGGCCCGGGCTCTGAGGCCCACCCTGCGAATCCCGCTCTGTCTGGTGCAAAGGAAACTGACTTCCTCCATGCACACACTGCTCTGCCAATCTGAGTGACTCAGCCTCAAGATGACCTCACTGTCCTCAGTGGGCTGTTTGGCCGCCTGCTTCATGTCACTGAGCCTCAGCACCCAGCATGTCAGATATGGATTTACGAGTATTTTCTCTGCTCCACTCCTCGAATGTGGCTAGGTTTGAAAAGGTCACACTTCCCCTTGCCCTCCACCTCTCAGCTTTCTGTTGCCAGGCTGCCTCTGCCCCTCCAGCTGCTAAAAACAGCCCAAGCTGCGAAAGCTCTTTGCTCCTGCCAAGCTCTGGTTGGACCACCATCCAGGGGGAGCTGGGGGCTCAGCCTGGATTTTCCCAGTGCCTAGGACAGATGCATGGCTGGTGGAGGACGTTGCTTGCCAGCAAATTGGCAGAGTAAACTGAAATAGTAGCTCTGGGTCTGCGCTACAGCAAAGTATAATTTTCAGAAGGGGTCTCATACAAGTATAGAGTGACCACATGTCAAAGATTGATTTAATTCATTAACAAGGAAACCAACAAAAGGACAAAGCTGGTTTAAGAGATGATTTGAAAAAGTGGCTCTTTTAGTTTGCTAGGGCTGCCATAAGAAATTACCGCCAACTAAGTGGCTTAGAACAGCAGAAATCCATTCTTCTGCAGTTCATGAGGACAGAAGTCCAAAATCAAGGTGTCGGAAAGGCTGGCTCCTCTGAGAGGCACTGGAGGGAATCTGTCCATGCCTCTCCCCCAGCTCCTGATGGTTGCGGGCAGTCCTCGGCATTCTTGGCCTGCAGCAGCATCACTCCAGTCTCCGCCTCTGTGGTCACATGGCCATCTTCCTTGTGTATCTGTAGGCTCCAACTCTCTCCTTATAAGGACACCAGTGATTGGATTTAGAGCCATCTTAATCTAGTATGACCTCATTTTAACTTGATTACATCTGCAAAGTCTCTATTTCCAAATAAAGTCACATTCTCAGGTACTGGGGAATTAGGACTTAAACATATCTTTTTGCTGGGGACACAACTCAACTTTTAACACCTACATTACCAAACTCATTTCTCATTACTCAGCACCACAGACCCCTGGCTTGATAGGGGCATTTGGGGTGCTGGAAAGAACAGAGCAACAGGCAACGTTGATGTCAGCTTTGATCTGTCCCCAGCATTCTGGGATTCAGTGTCAGCCAGTGAAGGCTCAGTGAAAGACAGGGCATCTCCACCTCCGAAGTCAGTACCATGTAGGGTATAAAGAGAGACCTTGGAATCAACTTCCAGGATTCAGTTCCCAATTCTGTCCGCCACTGTGTGTGACTCCTGACATTTCTTCACCTCTCTGGGCCTCAGTTACCTCATCTGTGAAATGGGGGTGATAATGGTACACAGCCTATCAGAGAGTGCTTAGAGCAGCATATGGGAAGCTCTGAATAAATGTTTCCTGCTGACGATGATGATGATTATCCGAATCACTCTCACCTGCAGACACAGCTTTGCCGCTTTTTTGGTGAGATAGGCTGTTCCTGATGGACACGCTGGAAAATTTCCAGTCCCCAGAAAACAGGGCAAGGGCAGTTCCTGATTAGGATAAAGGAAGCCTCTCTGATGGTCACATGCCCAGGTGACTTGTAGGCAGAGGCCAGCCCTGCTTCCTGTCCCCACTTCCCAACTTGCCCTGCTTTTGTGAATGAGCTCTTTCCTAGCTCCTCATCCTGGGTCTAGTTTGGAAGGTAATTTCTCAGTCACTTTTGAGTTGACGCAGGTGGCAGTTTCCTTTATGAACACTCATAACCCAGGGTAAGCTTGACAGGGCAGTTAGAGGCCCAGAAACAAAAGTTGGGAACAACAGCCTTTCCAGCTAGAACTAGAGCTGGCTTGGTGAGAAACAGAAGGCCTCCCTGAGGTTAGAGGCCTAAGCAGACACCAGGTCTGGCCTTCCACATCCCTGCTGGGTGGAGCAAGACTGTCAGCACTTAGGAAGTGCCTTGCACGTTGATCTTTGGGAAGCGAGGGGCTCCTGTCATCTGCGTCCAGACTTCTCCATTCTCAGGTGGACCGCACATGGCCTGGCCAGGCCAGGCCAGGCCCTGAGTGGTGACTGTTGCTGCTGCTGCAGCTGCTTTTGACATTATTGTCTGTAGAATAAAGGTAGAGGCTGGTGGGACCGCTGCAGCCATTCCCTGCCCAAGCCTGACCCTAAGTGCATCTGAGAGTGCTCTGCGTTGAACCAGGAGGGGTCAGGCCCGGACTCTCTAGGCCCCTTTTCAGACACACCCTCCCTGACTTTGAGTCTTCCCCTTTTCAGGCCTGGAAGAGAACAAGGCTTCTTTTTGTTTTTTGTTTTGTTTTGTTTTGTTTTGATGAAGTCTCCACGGGGTTTCACCGTGTTGGCCAGGCTGGTCTTGAACTCCTGGCCTCAAGTGATCCACCTGCCTCGGCCTCCCAAAGTGCTGGGATTACAGGCATGAGCCACCGTGCCCGGCCTGAAACATTGTTATATGGCACATAACTGTATATGTATGTTTTACTTATTTTTTTATCTTTATTTTTTTGAGACAGTCTTGCTCTGTCACCCAGGCTGGACCACAGCAGCACCATCTCCGCTCACTGCAACCTCCACCTCCAGGGCTCAGGCAATTATTCTGCCTCAGCCTCCTGAGTAGCTGGAATTACAGGCGCCCACCATCACGCTTGGCTAATTTTTGTATTTTTGTAGAGGTGGGGTTTCACCATGTTGTCCAGGCTGGTCTCAAACTCCTAACGTCAGGTGATCTGCTCACATTGGCCTCCCAAAGTGCTGGGATTACAGGTGTGAGCCACCACACCTGGCCATCTTTCTGTTTTGTTTTGTTTTGTTGCTTTTGCTTTTCTTTAAGGGAGTGGAGATTTCTAGGAAAGGCATAATTATGGAGACAAAAAGCAGACCATTGTTTGCCTGGAGCTGGGGTTGACTGCAGATGGGCAAATGACAAAATGGACATGTTTGAAAACTAGTTTGTAGTGGTGGTTGCACTAGTGTGTAAATTTACTAAAACTTGTTGAACAATACACTTATTATGGGTGAATCGTATGGCATGCAAATGATTCTTCAATAAAGCTACTTAAAACGTATATAGTTGGGGCACAGTGGATTGAACTTGTAATCCCAGAACTTTGGGAGGCTGAGGCGGGTGGATCACTTGAGCCCAGGAGTTTCAGACCAGCCTGGGCAATATGGCAAAACCCCATCTCTACAAAAGATTAAAAAATATATATAGCCGGGTGTAGTGGTGAATGCCTGTAGTCCCAGCTACTTGTGGGCCTGAGGCAGGAGAATGGCTTGAGCCCAGGAGTTTGAGGCTGTAGTTAGCTGTGATTGTGCAGTGGCTCACACCTGTAATCCCAGCACTTTGGGAGGCCAAGTTGGGCAGATCATTTGAACTCAGAAATTCCAGACCAGCCTGGCCAACACGGTGAAACTCCATCTCTACTGAAAATACAAAAATTAGCCGGATGTGGTGGTGCACACCTATAATCCTAGTTACTCAGAGGCTGAGGCAGGAGAATCGCTTGAACCTGGGAGGCAGAGATTGCAAGTGAGCCAGGATGGTGCTGCTGCAGTCCAGCCTGGGTGACAGAGTGAGACTGTCTCAAAAAATAAAGATTAAAAAAATGTACATATGCAGTTATGTGCCATATAACAATGTTTCAGACAGCGCAGTGGTTCACACCTGTAATCCCAGCAATTTTGGAGGCTGAGGCTGGTGGATCACTTGAGACCAGGAGTTAGAGACCAGCCTGGCTAAGATGGTAAAACCCTGCCTCTACTAAAAATACAAAAATTAGCCGGGCATGGTGGCAGGTGCCTGTAATCTCAGCTACTTGGGAGGCTGAGGCAGGAGAATTGCTTGAACCAAGGATTCTGAGGTTGCAGTGAGCCAACATAGTGCCACTGTACTCCAGCCTGGGAGACAGTGAGACTCCGTCTCAAAAAAACAAAAAAACAAACCAAACCAAACAAAACAGGCTGGGCACAGTGGCTCATGCCTGTAATCCCAACACTTTGGGAGGCCAAAGCCAGCAGATCACTTGAGGTCAGGAGTTTGAGACCAGCCTGGGCAACATGGTGAAACCTCATCTCTACTAAAAATACAAAAAGTAGCCAGGCATGGTGGTGCATGCCTGTAATCCCAGCTACTTGGGAGGCTGAGGCAGGAGAATCGCTTGAACCCGGGAGGCGGAGGTTTCAGTGAGCCAAGATTGCACCACTGCACTCCAGCCTGGGTGACAAGAGTGAAACCCGTCTCCAAAAAAAAAAAGAAAAAAAAAATGGAGCCAGCACAGTGGCTGATGCCTGTAATCCCAGCACTCTGGGAGGCCGAGGCTAGAGGATCACTTGAGGCCAGGAGTTCAAGACCAGCCTGGCCAACATGATGAAACCCCATCTCTACTAAAAAACAAACAAACAAACAAACAACAACAAAAAAATGTTTCAGTTGACGACATATCTCACCTGCCACGGTGATCCCACAAAATTATAATACTATATTTTTATTTTACCCTTTCTATGTTTAGATGTTTAAATATACAATTACTTACCATTGTGTTACAGTTGCCTACAGTATCCAGTACAGTAACATGCTATACAGATCTGTAGCCTAGGAGAAATAGACTACACCATTTAGCCTAGGGGTGTAGTAGGCTAGACCATCTAGGTTTGTGTAAGTGCCCTCTATGATGTTCACACAATGGTGAAATCACCTAATGACACATTTCTCAGAATTTATCCTTGTTGTTAAGCAATGCATGACTGTACATATAAAATGAATTCTCTTAAAACCACAATCAGTGAGAGATTACTGTCTTTTAGGTACTTTATAGGACATCCTCAGTGATTCTGAACTTGAAAAAGAAGAGGTAGGGGAGCTGAATTGGAAGCCATGGCCTTTATGTGACCTAGGGTAGATTCATATCCTCTTTGGGCCTTGGTTTCCCCATCTGTGATACCCCGATGCTTTTGGAGGAGATGAGGGATGCCAGGGTGATGGAGCCTCTGCTGTGGTTTCTGTGCCCGGCTCCAAAGGTGCATTGGACCTTCAGGTCATACCAGGCACCACTGTGAGCTTTGTCTTTGCCACAGGAGCACCTCTGCCTTCCTGTCTTTGTACAGAGAATTTCCTTCCTCCAGCCACATGGAGCAGCCAGGAACAGCTGGAAAATCCGGATTGGCCTAGCTTCATTTTCTCCAATCCTGGCCCTTTCTTTGACCTAGACCAGGGAAGCAGCCAAGACACTGCCCTGGAGAAAACTCCCATCTTGGATGGAATGGATGGAGCACCTGCTGGGCATTTACACACTTTGCATAAATGTATGCAGCCCTGATGGGCAGCCTTAGCCCATTTTACAGAGGAGGAAACAGAGGCTCACACACAGAGAGACATTTGTTCAAGGTAACGTAGCTGGTAAGCACTGAGCTTCCTGCTCTTTCCACTAGACCTCCCTGCCTGCAAAGAGGCCAGTCACCTTGCTCAGGTGAGAGCTGGGCAAATTGGCTTATTTGGGAATCACCTGACCTTCTTTTCTTCTGCCTCTCCCAATCGGGTCAGAACACCAGGATAACTAAAATGCCACTCCTCCAGGAAGACTTCCTGCAAACTTCCACCCACTCACCCAGCAAGTGCTGAGACTCACCTTCTTCTGGGTCCCAGCAGCAGAGACCCAGAGGCTTGAGACCCAGGGACTGTGAGTAGCTCCATTTAGGAGCATGGAAGGAATGAGGCCTTGGGAGTCAGAAGACCACTTGCTGGCCTAGCGTGGTGGTTCATTCCTCTAGTCCCAGCATTTTGGAGGCTGAGACAGTAGGATCACTTGAGCCCAGGAGTTTGAGATTAGTCTGGGCAACATAGTGAGACCCCCATCTCTACAAAAAAATTTTTAAAAATTAGCCGACACTTTGGGAGACTGAGGTGGGTGGATCACTGGAGGTCAGGAGCTCGAGACCAACCAGCCTGGCCAACATGGTGAAACCCTGTCTCTACTAAAAATACAAAAATTAGCGAGGTGTGGTGGCATGTGCCTGTAATCCCTGCTACTTGGGAGGCTGAGGCAAGAAAATCACCTGAACCCAGGAGGTGGAGGCTGTAGTGAGCCAAAAAAAAAAAAAAAAAAAAATATATATATATGTATTAGCCAGGTGTAGTGGTGTCCACCTGTGGTTCCAGCTACTCAGGAGGCAGAGGTGGGAGGATCCCTTGAGCCTGGGAGGTTGAGGCTGCAGTGAGCTGTGATTTTGCCACTGTACTTCAGTCTGAGCAAGAGAGCAAGACCCCATCTCAAAAAAAAAAATTAGAAAAGAAGAAAATCTGGTGCTATAATCTGAACGTTTGTGTCCCCACAAAATTCCTACCCTAAGCCCCAAGGAGATGGTATTAGAAGGTAGGGCCTTTGGGAAGTGATTAGGTCATAAGGGTGGAGCCCTCATGGATGGGATTAGTGCCCTTATCATGTTCAGAGAGCTAGCAGCCTCTTCCACCTGTGAGGACATGGCAAGCTGGTACTGCCTATGAGGAAGGGCCCTCACCAGACATAGAATCTGCTGGGACCTTAGTCTTGGATTTCTAGCCTCCAGAACTGTAAGAAATAAATTTCTATTGTTTGTAAGCCTCCCAGTTTATGTTCTATTGTTATATAGCAGCCCCAATAGAGTAAGACACCTGGCCAGGTGGTGGGGATAAAGTCTCGCTCTGTTGCCCAGGCTGGAGCGCAGTGGCACAATCTTGGCTCACTACAACCCCCACCTCCAGGTTCAAACGATTCTGCTGCCTCAGCCTCCCTAGTAGCTGGGATTACAGGCACTTGCCACCATGTCTGGCTAATTTTTGTATTTTTAGTAGAGACAGGGTTTCACCATGTTGGCCAGGCTGGTCTCGAACTCCTGAACTCAAATGATCTACCTGCCTCAGCCTCCCAAAGTGCTAGGATTACAGGCGTGAGCCACCGCACCCAGCCTCACAGTAGGGTTCTGAACAAGGGTGGGACAAGCAGATGTGGCTTAAAAGAAGGTGGCTCGGCTGGGCGTGGGCGCCACTGCACTCCAACCTGGGTGATAGAGCGAGACTCCGTCTCAAAAAAGAAAAGGAAAAAAAAAAAAAGAGTGGCTGTAGCTATGGGGTGGAGGATGGTCAGCTCCCAGTGGTGTTGAGTGGGAGGACAGGGGACCAGCCAGGAGGCTGCAACTGGACCTCCTTCTGTGGGGCCTCCAGGGGAGGGCGTGGCACCAACCCTCCTTTCACCTTTTCTCTGTCCCTCCTTCCTCATTCTTTTTCTGTCCCCTGCCCCACTTCCTGGGGCCCAGAAGAGCCTGCCTATCTGATAAGCTCTGGGGAGTGCCCACTTCATGGCCTGCTGCTCCTGGCAGTCTTTAACTGGTTTCTTCTGGAGATGGTGCAGGGGCTGCATGGTGGGCACACGGGACAGCATGCCTGTGGGGGCGCCATGAGAAGGGGAGGGCCTGAACCCCCAGGGTGGGCTAAGGTGCAGGTAGAAGGCCAGGGGAGAGTCCTGCAAGAGCTACTCCTGGCCGACTCAGACCCTCTTGCCCTTCTTATCGGGCCTGAGGAGCGATAAGGGGCCAGTTCCTGGACTGTGGGTTCTAGGCCTTTGTTTGGGACCGCCAGGAAGTGACTTGGTTTTGCTGTGGCTTAAGCAGTGTGGTTGATTCACCAGGGTGGGGGGCTGGGTGTGCCTGGGGGAGCCCCCAAACACCAGGCCCTGCACCACCCATCACCGACAGGCCAGCCGCTGGGAGGCCACCGTGGGAGTGTGTCCAGCCTCCACATCCGCCTCCTGACAGCTGGCCACAGAGGGAGGATTCCTCACCCCAGGGCGTCTCCTCTTTCTTTACTTTTCAAGCAGAAAACACTTCCAGAATATATTATTCCCCAAATGTGCGAGACACTAGAATGAGTGCTTTGCCTACACCATCTCCTTTCATCTTCACCCCAGTAACAACGGCCCTCAGGGCTCATCGTGGGTGTTATTCACTGTCCACATTTTGCAGAAGAGGAAACTGAGACTCAGAGAGAGGAAGTAAATTGCTCAGGTTCACTCAGCTAGGAAGCAACAGATCAGGATTCGAGCCCAGTCCAAAATCATAATTCACTCCCTTGAAAAGCCAAAAGAGAGAGAGAACAGGGCCAGACGGGGTGGCGTCAGGAGGGTTGTGGGTCCCCTGGCTGCTGTGCAGAGCTTACATCGGGCGCTCAAAGGAGCCCGAGCCAACCACTGCCCAAGAGATTCTACCAAGATGAAAATGGTTCCTCCCCAGCCACAGTTCCATCACCTGCGTGATGGGACGAGAGACTGGATCAGGTGTTCTCCACAGCCGGTTATGAAGTGAGTAACCTGAGTTCATAAATGAGCAGTTGGGCGGGCTCCTCTTCCAGGCTCTTAAATGGGGAGCAGGGCGTGGTGCTCCGGGATAAGAGAAAAGAACAGGAAATTCCCAGCCCAGTGGGAGAGACCCTATTAGTCAAGACAGCAAAGCAATTCCAAAAAAGGGAAGTTTCTGGCTCGTGTCGCTGAGCCACGTATCAGCAGGACTCTGCCCTTTCAGCACTGATCAGTCAGCTTGGATGTTGCTTCTTCCACGGCTACCAAGGTGTCCACTAGACTCCCCAAGTTCACATCTCACCAGCTCTGGCCCTAGTGGAAAGAGTCTCTGGCTGAGAAGTCTCAGAGAAAATCCTGATTGGTTTGTTTTGAGTCACCTGCCATCCCTGAACCAGTCACCATGGTCTGGAGAGGGAGTTTGCTATCGGCCAAGCCAGCATAGCCTGCCTACCCTCTCAGTGGATCTTGCTGTGGGGCGAGCCAGCAGCCCCACATGGATTAGGTGGAGATGGAAGAGGAAGAGGTGGAGGCAGGCAAAAGCCATGAGACCCCAGCCACCCGGGGGCTAGCTCCTCACCCAGCCAGTCTTTCCACACCCAGGCTTTGCTAGGCCATTCTTGTCAGGCCAAGGATGCTAGAGGGTCATCACCAAGAAGGAGCCACTCAGTGTCTTAGTTTAGGTCAGGGGTTTTGAACCTCAGCACTATTGATATTTGGGGCTGATAATTATTTGCTGAGGGGGGCTGTCCTCTGCATTGTAGGGTGTTTAGCGGCATCCCCGGCCTCTACCCACTAAAAGCCAGTAGCAACTCCTCCCTCTTCCACTGTGACCGTCAAAAATGTCTCCAGACCTTGCCATATGTCCCCGGGGGACAAAATCACCCCTGGTTGAGAACTATTGATTTAGGGCCGGGCACGGTGGCTCATGCCTGTAATTCCAGCACTTTGGGAGGCTGAGGCGGGCAGATCACCTCAGGTCAGGAGTTTGAGACCAGCCTGGCCAACATGGTGAAACCCCATCTCTTCTAAAAAAAAAACATACAAAAGTTAGCCAGGTGTGGTGGGCGCCTGTAATCCCAGCTACTTGGGAGGCTGAGGCAGGAGAATCTCTTTAACCCGGGAGGTGGAGGTTGCAGTGAGCAGAGATCCCTGCCTCAGCCTCATGAGTAGCTGGAATTACAGGCGCCTGCCACCACTCCTGGCTAATTTTTTTTATATTTTTAGTAGAGACGGGGTTTCACCATGTTGGGCCAGGCTGGTCTCGAACTCCTGACCTCAAGTGATCCACCCGCCTTGGCCTCCCAACGTGCTGGGATTACAGGTGTGAGCCACCACGCCCAGCCCGACCAAGGCAGGTTTTTGAGCAGGAGTGAAAGTTTATTAGAAAGCTTTAGAGCAGGAACAAAAGAAAGTAAAGTACACTTGGAAGAGGGCCAAGTGGGCGACTTGCGAGATCAAGTGCACACTTTGACCTTTGACTTGGGGTCTTATACAATGGCATTCCGCATGCGCAGTGGCTTGCCAGCGCTTGGGCGGGGCCCCATGCACAGTGTGTTTACTGGGGTCGTACTCATGCTCACTGAGGTGTTTTTCCCTTACCAGCCAAGGGTTCCTAGAGGAAGGTCATACCAGTCAAACTCCGATGTTTTGCCTCTTAGTGCGCATGCTTGACCCCACTCGCCTAACTCCTGAGATCTTATCTGGAAGCTGCTGCTCACCAGGTTCAGGTGTTTCTGTTGGGAGACTGCCTTTCTCTGGCGCCGGCTGCAACCAATTATTTTAGAGATACAGCGCCTGACCATCGCGGGATGGTCACCTGACATTCCCGGTGGGGGCCTCTCCTGCTGTGCTCATGTCTGCCTGGCTACCTGCTGTAACACTGTCTGCTGAAATGTGGGCAGTGGACACTGGGAGGGCAGGGGAAGATGGGAGCACATTCAATAACCCCCAGCGGTTTCCTGCTCCTTCTTCTTGTTTTTTTCCTTTCCAGCCAATGTACCCATGCAAGGATTTGCCTCTGAGGAGGGCCTGTGGGCCTGCCATGCCCTCAGACCCCTTCCAGTGGTTTCTTCCAAGGTCTCCATGTTTGCCATTGTCTTTCCCACCACCCCAGCCCTGGACCTGGGTTAGAATCCTGACCCTGCTATGTCTAAGCTGTGTGACTTCAGGCAGATTTCTTAACCTCTCAGGGCTTGGATTTCTGTATAAAATGGGGCCGATGATACCTGACACATGCTTTAGGGGGTGCTGTGGTTTAAATATTCATGTTCCCTCCAAAATTCATGTTGCAACTTAATCCTCAGTTCAACAGTAGAGAGATAGGCCTTTGGGAGCTGATTAGGCTTTGAGTCCTCCTGGAGGGATTCGTGCCAAATAAAAGGGTGGGAAGGAACCAGCTAGGCCCTGTGCTCTTCTGCCCTCCACAGGTGAGGGGATAGCAACGAGGCATCAGAGAGCAGCCCTCACCAGACACAGTACGTGCTCAATAAACACTGACAGACTGAGAAAATCACCACCCCAGGTGTAGAAAATGGAAATGATAGCTCCAGTACTTCTGTTCACTCATTGAGTAGGAGGCTGGGAGGCAGGTAGGCTGGTGGTTGGCACTCCTGCCGTGGCAGGAACAACGGTTGCTGGTCAGGTCTCCGCTCTACTTTTCACTGGCTGGGTGACCTTGGGGAAGTTCCTTGACCTTTCTGTGCCTTAATCTTCCCATTGGTAAAATGGGAATAGTAGTAACATCCGGGTGTAATTTTCTAACTTAGATTAGTGAACGTAAAGCTCTTTGTCTGGAAGAGCTCAGTGCTTGTTAGCTCTTCTCATTCTTGGTAGTTGGGTGCTCATTACATGCCATGTTTCATCGACTCTAAGATGTCATTGATCACAAGAACACAGCACTATTTTATGTGCCACCAAGAAAGAAAAAGACTGATAGAAAGCTCTTGTCACTTAGGATGATGTTTTTCTTCTCTCTGAGAAAGTTATTTTATCATATAACATACCATCTACGTGACATAAGAAGAAAACTATGGTGAAATAAGTGAACCAAGATATTTTTTAGGGCCGGGCGCGGAGGCTCACGCCTGTAATCCCAGCACTTTGGGAGGCTGAGGCAGCAGATCACTTGAGGGCAGGAGTTCGAGACCAGCCTGGCCAACATGGTGAAACCCTGCCTCTACTAAAAATACAAAAATTATCTGGGTGTGGTGGCAGGCACCTGTAATCCCAGCTACTCGGGAGGCTGAGGCAGGAGAATCACTTGAACCCGGGAGGCAGAGGTTGCAGTGAGCCACAATCACACCACTGCACTCCAGCTTGGGCTACAAAGTGAGACTCCGTCTCAAAAAAAAAAATGTTGAAAGAAAAGACCATATCTTTTCCTTTATCGTTCTTTCTTTCTTTCTTTCTTTTTTTGAGACAGGGTCTCGTTCTGTCACCTAGGCTGGAGTACAGTGGTGCAATTATAGCTCACTGCAGTCTCAAACTCCTGGGCTTAATCCATCCTCCTGCCTCAGCCTCCTTCCTGAGTAGCCGAGACTACAGGTGCACACCACCATGGCTGGCTAATTTTTTAAAAATTTTGTAGAGACAGAATCTTGCTATGTTGCCCAGCCTGGTCTTGAATTCCCGGTCTCAAGCGATCCTCCTGCCTCAGCCTCCCAAAGTGCTGGGGTTACAGGCATGAGCCACCGTGCTCTGCCTCTTTCCTTTGTTTGTTAACACTTCCATTTATTGAGCATACACTCTGTACCAAGAACTGTCCCCAAAGAGAACTAGGAGCCATAAAGACGGAAGGCTGGGGTGGGAGTGAGGTGGGGATATGGAAGTTCAGAATGTGGGTCCCTGTTTCCTGAACCCCACACCAAGGTCTCTTCCAATCATTGATCTCTTGAGTGCTAGGGCAAAAAAACAAAGTTGCTCCATGTGCCAGAGGGTTAACAGTAGGGGGTGACTTTCCAGGCCACAGAACCAGGTAGGACCTGGGCAAGTCCCACGGCCTCAGCCTGCGGTTATCTGTGTTATTCACAGAGGCAGGACTGTCTAGTGCACGCTTATGTCTTCCTGTCCCCTCGCCTGCCTGGGCTCAGCTCCCAGCACCAGGGAGGCGGTAGAATCCGTGGAATATGTAAGAATTTTGGCTCAGACATGTCAGGGCTCAAGTCCCAACACTGCCTATTTCCAGCTACCTAACCTTGGGCAAGTGACACAGCCTCCTTGTGTGCTTTCGTTTCCCCATCTGTGAAATGGGGGTGATAATATAATGACACTGACTTGGTTGTCATGAGTATTGAACCAGACAACCCATATAAAGGGCCCAGCCCATGGCAATGTATACTACACATTGGCCCTTTTTATATTTCTATTTTAGGTGATCCCAGGCCTGGGTCTCCTGATGAGTCCATCTGACTTCCACTCTCCAGCACCCCCAGGGTTTACTGCTTCCATCCTGCTGACAGCCATATGCTCTTCTCTGGCTGATTCAAGGTGATTTTTGGGGTCTGTCCAGGGCCCCGCATAAGGTCCTGGGGTGGGCTTTCTGCTCTCTCTCGTTAGGAGACAGAGTGTGAGGGTTTCCAGACTCCCCACAAAACCCAGGACAGACAGGAGTGAAATTCCGGTGATGGGGATGGGTTATAGAAGGATGCTGTCCCTCACTCCTATCAGATACTGGTCCTCATTAAAAACTTGATTAGAGGCCAGGCGCAGTGGCTCACGCCTGTAATCCCAGGACTTTGGGTGGCCGAGGCAGATGGATCACCTAAGTTTGGGAGTTCGAGACCAGCCTGGCCAACATGGTGAAACCCTGTATCTACTAAAAATACAAAAATTAGCCGGGCGTGGTAGCGCATGCCTGTAGTCCTAGCTACTAGGGAGGCTGAGGCAGGAGAATTGCTTGAACCCAGGAAGGGAGGTTGCAGTAAGCCGAGATTGTACCACTGTACTCTAGCCTGGGTGACAAAGCAAGACCCCGTCTCAACAAAAAAAGACTTGATTAGAGTGAGGGCTGTGCTTTTCACCTCTGGAGGGGAAATATGGTCCATGGAAAAGGACAGTGTATGAATAATGTGACCTAGCCACAGGTGGCAAAGGGCAAATGCCAGGTGCAGCAGAATCACCACCCACTCATGAGGCTGTGGGTCTACAGGTAAGTGGGTGGCTCTGGGTCAGAAAGACATGGGTTCAATCCCTGGCTCCTCCACTTATTAGTCAAGACTTACTTTCTTTCTTCATCTGTAAAACAGAATTCTAATGGCAATAGTCTGGCAGAACCCAAGGTATTCATCAACATCCATGGTCTCCTCTTCTTGGGCACCAGCCAGAATGTATTTCCCAGACCACTGCTACATGGAGTGACCATTTGCTGTCAATGGAAAGTGGGTTTGGGCTTGTAATCGCAGTGCTTTGGGAGGCCAAAGTGGGGTGGATCGCTTGAGCTCAGGGGTTCAAGACCATCCTGGACAACATGGCGAAACCGCATCTTTACAAAAATTAGCTGGTCCTGTGGTCCCAGCTACTTGGGAGGATGAGGCAGGAGGATCACTTGAGCCCTGGAGGCAAAGGTGGCAGTGAGCTGAGAGTCCACCACAGCATTCCAGCCTGGGTGACAGAGCAAGACTCTATCTCTCTCTCTTTTTAAAATAATTTTGGCTGGGCGCGGTGGCTCACACCTGTAATCCCAGCACTTTGGAGGTTCGAGGCGGGTGGACCACGAGGTCAGGAGATCGAGATCATCCTGGCTAACATGGTGAAACCCTGTCTCTATTAAAAAATACAAAAAATTAGCTGGGCGTGGTGGTGGGTGCCTGTAGTCCCAGCTACTCGGGAGGCTGAGGCAGGAGAATGGCATGAACCCGGGAGGCGGAGCTTGCAGTGAGCCGAGATCCCGCCACTGCACTCCAGCCTGGGCGACAGAGCAGGACCCTGTCTCAAAAAATAATAATAATAATAATTTAATAGTATTTTGTTTTTGTGTTTTGAGACGGAGTCTTGCTCTGTCGCCCAGGCTGGAGTGCAGTGGTGCAGTCTCAGCTCACTGCCACCTCTGCCTCCCGGGTTCAAGCAATTCTGCTTCCTCAGCCTCCCAAGTAGCTGGGATTACAGGTGTGTGCCACCACGCCCAGCTAAATTTTCCATTTTTAGTAGAAATGGGGTTTTACCATGTTGGCCAGGCTGGTCTTAAACTCTTGACCTCAGGTGATCTGCCCACCTCTGCCTCCCAAAGTGCTGTGATTACAGGCGTGAGCCACCACGCCTAGCATAATAGTGTTTTTTAATGAATTGATTTTGCCTTAAGGAGATTGTGAATCAGGAAACTCAGCAATAAGACTCCTGTCTGTATGTTAGAATTACCTGGGGAGCAAAAATACTGATGCCTGGGCTCCACTTCCAGAGATTCCAATTTAATTGTTCTGGGGTAGAGATGAGCATCAGGAGCTTTTAAACAAATTTTCTAGGCTGGGCACTGTGGCTCACGCCTGTAATTCCAGCACTTTGGGAGGCTGAGGCAGGTGGATCACTTGAGTTCAGGAGTTCAAGACCAGCTTGGCCAACATGGTGAAATCCCATCTCTACTAAAAATACAAAAATTAGCCAGGTGTGGTGACAGGCACCTGTAGTCCCAGCTACTTGGGAGGTTGAGGCATGAGAATCACTTGAACCTGGGAGGCGGAGGTTGCAGTGAGCCAAGATCCTGCCACTGCACTCCAGCCTGAGCAACAGAGTGAGACCCTGTCTCAAAAAAAAAGAAAAAGAAAGAAAGAAAGAAAAAAACATTTCTAGTGGGCCAGGTGCAGTGACTCACGCCCATAATCCCAGCACTTTGGGAGACTGAGGTGTATGAATAGCTTGAGCCTGGCAGTTTGAGACCAGCCTGGGCAACATGGTGAAACCCTGTCCTACAAAAAATACAAAACTTAGTTGGGCATGGTGCACATGCTTATAGTCCCAGCTACTAGGGAGTTAAGGCAGGAGGATTGCTTGAGCCTGGGAGGTCGAGGCTGTAGTGAGCCGTGATTGTGCAACTGCACTCCAGCCTCAGTGACAGAATGAGACCTTGTGCCAGGGCTGAGAATCAGTGAAGTAATTAATCTCAGGGCCTTTGCCTGTGTTCCCTCTATCTGGAAGACTCTATGACCAGGTCCTCCTAGAGCCAGCTCCTTCTCATTGTTTAGGTCTCGCATTAACTTCCGAGGGCTGCCAAAACAAATTATCACATATTTGGTGGTTTAATGCAACAGAAATCTGCTCTTACAGTTCTGAAGGCCAGAAGTCCAAAATCAAGATGTTGACAGGGTTAATTCCTTCTGCAGACCCTGAGGGAGAATCTGTTCCTTGCCTGTCTCCTGGCTTCTGGAGGCTGCTGGCAACCCTTGGCATTGCTTGGCTTGGGGCTCCATAACTCTGATCTCTGCCTCTATTTTCACATGGTCTTCTCCTTTTCTGTCTGTTGTAAGGATATTTACCATTGGATTTAGGGCCCATGCTAATCTAGAATGATCTCAATTTGAGGTCCTTTACCTTAATCACATCTACAAAGACTCTTATTCCAAAAAAGGTCACATTCTGAGGTTCCTGGTGGACAGATCTTTTGGGAACCATAATTCAAACCACTACATCTCTCAAGTGTCACCTCCTCATGTTAGCAGTGGCAAATCTGTATAGGTCTGCAGCATCGCCAATTCTTGCCTCTTCGGAAGAAAGAATTTGACTGAGGGGCAAAAGGCAAGAAGGAGAGACCGAGGCAAGTTTTAGAGCAGGAGTGAAAGTTTATTAAAAAGTTTCAGAGCAGGAACGACAGGAAGTAAAGTACACCTGGAAGAGGGCCAAGCAGGCGTCTTGAGAGATCAAGTGCACGATTTGACCTTTGATGTGGGGTTTTATATGTTGGCGTGCTTCTGGAGTCTTGCATCTCTTCTTCCCTGATTCTTCCCTTTGTTAGAATGTTGGGTGTGTTGGGCCTCGGGGACAGGCCTCAGGAAACAGAATCTCTCTGATCTTCTCCCGCTCCCTGCTCCCTTTTCACCTGCCCCAAAGAAAGACTCCAATCTTCCCCCACCTTTCTCACTTGGGTCATAGACCCTTATTCCAGAGAGGGTCCTGCCCCATACTCTGGGGGAAGGAATGCTGAGCTTCCATAAAAGCCCAAGAGAAGGCTGGTGTGGTGGCTCACGCCTGTAATCCCAGCACTTTGGGAGGCTGAGGCAAGCAGATCACAAGGTCAGGAGATCAAGACCATCCTGGCCAACATGGTGAAACCCCGTCTCTGCTAAAATACAAAAAAATTAGCTGGGTGTGGTGGCGCGTGCTTGTAGTCCCAGCTTATCAGGAGGCTGAGGCAGGGGAATCGCTTGAACCCGGGAGGCAGAGGTTGCAGTGAGCCCAGATCATGCCACTCTGCACTCCAGCCTGGCAACAGAGCAAGACTCCGTCTCAAAAAAAAAAAAAAAAGAAAAAGGCCCAAGAGGACTGGGTTTGGAGAGCTTCTGGACAGCTGAACATTGGGAGGGTCCTGGAGGGTGCCCCAGGCAGGGCATGGAGCTCCATGCCCCTTCCCCAGTAGCTGGCCCTACGTGCTCTTCATCTGGATCCTTTGTAATATCCTTTATAATAAACCAGTAAAAGTGTTTCCCTGAGTTCTGTGAGCTCCAGCAAATTAATTGAACCCAAATAAGGGGTTGTGGGAACCCCAACTTGAAGCTGCTCAGTCAGAGGTTCCAGAGGCCTGGACTTGTGACTCGTGTCCGAAACGGGGCCAGTCTTGGGGACCGAGCCCTCAACCTTTGGAATCTGATGCTATCTCCAGGTAGATGGTGTCAGAATTGAGGACACACAGCTTGTGTCCGCTGCTGAACTGCTTGCTTGCTTACTGGTGGGAAGAAATATTCTCATATTTTGGGATTACAGAAGTCTTCTGTGTTGATTGTTGTGTTGGTGTGAGAGCAGAGTAAAAACACAATTTAAGCATTTTCCCTAAACATTACATATGGAGATATCCACATTTAAAGAGCTGAATAATGTCTAGGATTTGCTTTAAAATATTTCACACACACACACACACACGATAAAGAAGAGAGAAAAAAGAAGGATAAATGAAGTAAATACAGCAAATCTTGTTGATGGTTGAATTGGGTTGATGGGTATATGTGAATTAATTGAATCATTTTTTCTATTATTGTGTGTATTTAAATCTTTTAATAATAATTTATTTTCTTTTTTGATTTTTTATTGTGATAAAATATCCGTAATATAAAGTTTATCATTTTAACCCTTTTTGAATGTACAATTCAGTGGCATTCGTATTATTGTGCAACCATCACCACTGCCCATCTCCGGACTTTCTTTGGTCTTTATAAATCAAAACAGCAACTCAGGGCCGGGCTTGGTGGCTCATGCCTATAATCCCAGCACTTTGGGAGGCCAAGGTGGGCGGATCACCTGAGGTCAGGAGTTTGAGACCAGCCTGGCCAACATGGTGAATCCCCTTCTCTACTAAAAATACAAAAATTAGCCAGGCATGGTGGCAGGCGCTTGTAATCCCAGGTACTCAGGAGGCTGAGCCAGGAGAATCGCTTGAATCTGGGAGGTGGAGGTGGCAGTGAGTTGAGTTCATGCCACTGCACTCCATCCTGGGTGACAGAGTAAGACTCCGTCTCAAAAAAAAAAAAAACAAACAAACACAACCAATCTAACAAAGTTGTCTGTAGAACCCAATATCTACTCGGGTGATTTGGAGCAGGGGTGGGAATGAGTAGAATAGTCATGCAAAATCTAAAACATCCCTAAAGTTGGAGAGGGATTGGCCCCCTAAAATTGATGGGATGCCCCCACCATCATGGCTAAAGCCACCCCTATGTCTCTCAGGTCTCAGACTGTTGATGAGGCCAGGCCCGGAGAGGAGTAGCCCATGAAGTCATCTTGTTCAGCCCCCTGACTCGGGGCAGGACTGCACCCCATCCAGGTCAGAGGCTGACTCACTCCCAGCTATTCACTGGAAAGTTAGGCAGCTCCCTCCTCATCCTGCCTTCCAGGAAAGCCAGGCTTTCTGGAAGCCCAGAGGCTAGAGCTTGCCTCTTCCTGCCCAGGGTGGGATGAGGGGGTTGGGTTAGAGGATGGGGCGAGGGGCTGGTTCACTCTGACCTCATCACATTCTTGGACGGGGGAGCGGAAGCCTGGTGAGCCATCCCCAGGTCCAGCCTCCTGAAGCCTGCTGCTGTGATTTGTGGGCTGGCTTCCAGGCAGGGTAAGAATGGAATTGGCCCCAGGAACACACTGTAGGAAGGGACCTGTCTGCCTCCATTTGGGAAGGAAAATGGTGAAAACCTAGGCTCAAGTCCCTGCACTGCTGTTTCCTACTGTGTCACACTGAGCAAGTTATTTAAGCTGAGCACAGTCCTTTCCTGTGAAATGGGGATAACAATGGCACCTAACTCATAGGGCTGTTTTGAGGATTAAATGAGGTACTTTTATCCTTTGCATTATTCCTGGGGGCATGGTTTTTGTTCAGTAAATATTAGCTACTTGGAAAGCAAGAGCATTTAAAGGCAAAGGGGGCCAGTGAGGTGGCTCACGCCTGTAATCCCAGCACTTTGAGAGGGCGAGGCAGGCGGATCACTTGAGGTCAGAAGTTCAAAACCAGGCTGGCCAACATAGTGAAACACCATCTCTACTAAAAATACAAAGAAAAAATTAGCCAGGGATGGTGGCAGACACCTGTAATCCCAGCTACTTAGGAGGCTGAGGCAGGAGAATCGCTTGAACCTGGGAGACGGAGGTTGCAGTGAGCCGAGATTCACCACTGCACTCCAGCCTGGGCGACAGAGCGAGACTCTGTCTCAAAAACAAACAAACAAAAAAATAGCTGGGCATGGTAGTGGACACCTGTAATCCCAGCTACTTGGGAAGCTGAGGCACGAGAATCGCTTGAACCCAGGAGGTGGAGGTTGCAGTGAGCCGAGATTGTGCCACTGCACTTCAGCCTGGGTGACAGAGCAATACTCAGTCTCTAAATAAATAAACAGGGCATTTTTCTTTAGGTAGAGGGTCACCTATCACCAGCTCCATCGAAACTAGTAGTGCCACAGCCGAGGCTCTCAAGGGAGGGGGCAGCGTAGTGGGGGCTGAGGGCTCACGTAGCTAGTGGGCAAGGTATAGGCTCTGAGGCCAGACTGTGTGGGTTCAGATACCAGCTATGCTATAGATTGCGTGATGTTGGGCAAGTCACTTAATAACCTTCCGTGTATCTCAGTTTCCTCCTCTCCACAGTGGAGGAAATAGTAATGTCAGCTTCACAGGGATATCATGAAAATTAAATGACTTCTATGTAAAACACTCAGAGCAGTGCCTGGAACACGGTAAGTCCTACATGTGCGACGGCTCCAACCATCTGTATTATTTGTGTCTATCCAGAGTCTTCTTCCTCCATTCCCAGTCATAACAATAACAACAGCAATAATATCAGCAGCCACTGTTGGTTATCCTCTCACTTTATAAATTATCCCAACAGGCATGGTGGCTCACGCCTATAATCCCAGCACTTTGGGAGGCTGAGGACCACTTGAGGACAGGAGTTCGAGACCAGCCTGGCCAACATGGTGAAATCCTGTCTCTACTAAAAACACAAAAATCAGCCAGGCGTGGTGGCACACAACTGTAATCCCTGCTATTCAGGGAGCTGAGGCAGGAGAATCACTTGAACCTGGGAGGCAGAGGTTGGAGTGAGCTGAGATCATGCCACTGCGCTCCAGCCTGGGTGACAGAGCAACACTCTGTCTCAAAAATAAATAAAAATAAAAAATAAATTATCTCAACAAACCCAAGACACCATCCTTACCCTATAGGTGGAGCAACTGAGGCTCAGGAATGCTGGGTAAGGTGCTCGAGATCACACCGGTGCAGCCAGGATTTGAACTCAGGTCTCTGACTCAAGGGCCCACACGTGTGGCCATTTACTATTATATATGGCACTTAAGGAACAGCTCTGAGCTCAATACATAGATCCTCATAAAACAATAAGACCCTGAGGCAGTGGCCCACGAGACACTGACTGTGCCATGTCAGTTGTGTTGTAGGTGTTCAGAGGAGAGAGTAAAGCTGGAACGACCCAGGGAGGACATGGTCTGGCCTTGGACCTTGAAGAGGAGGTGAGACTTGGATTAGTGCATTGGGAGGGGTGTGGTTTCAGGTGGGGACAAAGGTGTGGAAGTAGGGCTGGGTGGGGCCCCACTTAGAGGCGGTGTCTGGGGTAAAGTCAGGGGCAGGGAGGGCGGCTGGCCAGCTTCCAAGTGGAATTGAGGCATAAAGCAGGGCTGAGGCCCAGGCCAGGAGCCGAGCACCTCCTTTTCCTGTTAGCCTCATTTCCCTTCCTCAGGGACCCACAGAATAAGCTCTTAACTAGAAGCTATTGTCCCTGCCCCCTCAAAATCCCAGTTTGGAGGCCCAAATGTCAAAGGGGAGCGATGGCTCTCTGGGCCAGTGGCGTGGGGGTAAAATAATTTACCAAGACAGTTGTAGGCAGAAAAAGGCTGATTTATTGGAGAAAGTAGAAAAATAGGTTGCAAGGAGACAGGGCAGCCTGCATGAGAGATGCCGACTGCAAAGAAACAAAGGCTGGCTGGAGATTTTATAGGACGGTGCTGACACTGTGTGCTGAAGAGGGCTGTGCGCAGCACCACGACGCCAAGCTTGCAGTGAGCTCACCTGCAGGTGTCTGGTGGTAGCTGGGCACAGGAAGATGGTGAGTTACTTGCGCAGGAGGGCTGTGTCCTGGACCACAAAGAAAGGCAGACTTGTAACTCATCTGCTTCTGCTTTTGCTTTCCCTGGTCCCACCAGCCTGACTCCCTTTCCCTCATCAGGACTCCTCCACACCAAGGAAATAACAGGTCCCCCTGCTCAGATTCAGCCTCGAGCCAGCAACAAGGGGAGTCGGAGGAGGCCTTTAGCCTATTTTATTGGTTTATTTTCTTCTCACAGCAAATATGCCCAGCCTGTGGCAGGCATCCAGGCACACCCAGTACATGTTCCTGTCCTTCCTCCCCTTGCAGGTATGGAGTGGGACCCAGTCCCGACACAGACTCACTGTCCCTCTAAAACCACATCCACCCCCACCTCAGAAACGGAAGTTTCACTGAAGGTTTCTTAGGAATTTAAAAGGCAAGGTTCCTTCCCAGTTTAGCAAGACTTTCTGAAAAGCTCACCTCCCATCCCAGGGACTTTTTTCCCTAGGGCCCCAGCTTCAGCCCTCCTCCCAAATCACAGCCTCCTCTTTGCCTCTCCAGATGAATCCCAGTCTGTGGCCCACAGCCCTCACATTCTTAAACTAAGTGCCATTAGCAGGATCTGCCTGGTGCAGAATGAAAATGTGAGGCCCTTTTTCAGAAATTACGAAGAATTTCAGCTGGGCATGGTGGCTCACACCTGTAATCCCAGCATTTTAGGAGGCCGAAACAGGAGGATTGCTTGAGACCAGGAGTTAGAGATCAGCCTGAGCAATAGAGTGAGACCTCATCTCTACAAATAATAAAAATATTAGGCTGGGCTCGGTGGCTCACACCTACAATCCCAGCATTTTAGGAGGCTGAGACAGGCGGATTGCCTGCGGTCAGGAGTTCAAGACCAGCCTGGCTAACATGATGAAACTCCGTCTCTACTAAAAATACAAAGATTAGCTGGGCGTGGTGGTGAGTGCCTGTAATCCCAGCTATTCGGGAGGGTGAGGCAGGAGAATCGCTTGAACTTGGGAGGCAGAGGTTGCAGTGAGCCGAGATCATTCCACTGCACTCCAGCCTGGGCGACAGAGTAAGACTCTGTCTCAAACAAACAAAGAAACAAACAAACAAACAAATTAGCCGGGCCTGGTGGTGCTGCTGGTGGTCCCAGCTCCTTGGGATGCAGGGGGTGGGAGGATTGCTTGAGCCTGGGCTGTCAATGCTGCAGTGAGCTGTGATCGCACCACTGCACTCCAGCCAGGGCAATAGAGCGAGACCTTGTCTCAAAAAAAAATTTTTTTAAAGAATTTCGGCGACAGCTGAGCATGGGTCATAAGCCCTAAAGCTGTCCTTGCCCTTAGCACATAGAATGTCAAGTTTTCAAGAATTTTAAAGCTAAGGTCTGAGATCCCATCCCCTCCCCCCACTCCACTCCCAAAAAAGCGTATTTTGAGAAGGGCTGCTCTGGACTACACTCACCCCACACTCACCCCTTCGCTTCTCATCTTGCCCTTAGGCCCTCAGTAGAAGGTTTGAGGTCTCATAGTTGAAGTGATTGTACTTTTCGCAAAGTACTTTCAGCTGTTCTTTATGAGAGAGAAGTTATCATCCCATTTTACAGCTGGGCAAACTGAGATTTAGAAACTCCCAGGTGTGGTGGCTCATGCCTGTAATCCCAGTGCTTTGGGAAGCCGAGGCAGGAGAATCACTACAGCCCAGGAGTTCAAGGCTGCAGGAGCTATGATTGCACCACTGCACTCCAGCCTGGACAACAGAGCAAGACCTTGTCTCTATTTTAAAAAGGAAAAGAAAAGAAATTCCCGGCCGGGCGTGGTGGCTCACACCTGTAATCCCAGCACTTTGGGAGGCTGAGGCGGGTGGATCAACGAAGTCAGGAGTTCAAGACCAGCCTGGCTAACATGGTGAAACCCTGTCTCTACTAAAAAATACAAAAATTAGCCAGGCATGGTGGCAGGCGCCTGTAATCCCAGCTACTCAGGAGGCTGAGACGGGAGAATATGCTTGAACCTGGAAGGCAGAGGTTGCAGTGAGCCGAGATCACGCCACTCCACTCCAGCCTGGGCGACAGAGCGAGACTCCGGGTCAATAAAAAAAAAAAAGAAAAAAAGAGATTCCCTCCCTGAGCTGACACCTTGCTGGCTAGTAGCATAGGTGGTACCAGCTCTGGCCTCCAGACATCCTCAGCCCTCAGCCATTTCCACTACAGAAAGCACCCAGACATCATCCAAAGCCAACACTCAGATGATGCAAAAGTCAATGCAGATAACTCACAGGAAGGAAGGTCATCCTGAGGTCTGATGAGTCAGGGAAGGACAGAGACATTCCTCACATTTTCACCAGCAGTTCTGCTGATAGAGGTCTCATGTGGGTCTGGTGTTCCTCTAGGATTGGGTGGAGCCGTTTAAACATGAGAAACGGCTGTTACAATAAATACAATAAAAGATGGTCATGCTGATTTAGCAGTAAGTGAGTGGAGCCAGAAAACCAAATTGGGGGTGAGGGTGAGGAAGAGGAATGGGGCTTTGCAGTCGAATCCAGCAGCAAATAGGCCCATGCCTGGAAGGAAGTTAGTCTGAGGCCACAACAAATCAGGCAGGGAGGTACATTGCTGGTAGCTACACATATTGGTGTCATCTTCCTAGAGGACATGTGGGTAGTTTATAAGAGAAACCATTAAGGGGTCATAAAGGTAAGGCTGGGTCGGGCGTGGTGGCTCACGCCTATAATCCCAGCACTTTGGGAGGTCGAGATGGGAGGATCGCTTGAGCCCAGGAGTTTGAGACCAGCCTGGGCAAAATGGCGAGACTGTCTCTACCAAAATGAAAACATGCCTGTAGTCCCAGCTACTCGGGAGGCTGAGGTGGGAGGTCAAGGCTGCAGTGAGCTGTGTTCATGCCACTGCACATCAGCCTGGGTGACAGAGCAAAACTCTGTCTCAAAAAAAAAAAAAAAAAAAAAAGCTATTAGCCAGGCCTATTTATGAGAAAATTAGATCCAGCAGATGAACCCAGTGTAGGGAACATTCTATAGGATACCAGGCCAATTCTCAATACTATCAAAGTCATGAAACAAGGAGAGGGCTGGTGTGGTGGCTCATGCCTGGAATCCCAACACTTTGGGAGGCCAAGGCAAGAGGATCACTTGAAATCAGGAATTGAAGTCCCACCTGGGCAACAAAGCAAGATTCTGTTTCAGAAAAAAAAAATTGCTGGGCATGATGATGGGCACCTGTAATCCTAGCTACTTCGGAGGCTGAATTGGGAGGATCGCTCAAGCCCAGAAGTTTGAGCTGCAGTGAGCTATGATCGTCCCACTGCATTCTAGCCTGGACAAAAGAGTTAGACCCTGTCTCAAAAAACATTTTTGTTTTTTTGTTTTGTTTTGTTTTGTTTTTGAGATGGAGTTTCACTCTTGTCACCCAGGCTGGAGTGCAATGGCACGATCTTGGCTCACTGCAACCTCCACCTCCTGGGTTCAAGCGATTCTCCTGCCTCAGCCTCTTGAGTAGATGGGATTACAGGTGCGCGCCATCATGCCCAGCTAATTTTTTTTTTTTTTTTAGATGGAGCCTCACTCTGTCATCCAGGCTGGAGTGCAGTGGCGAGATCTCAGCTCACTGCAACCTCCACCTCCCAGGTTCAAGTGATTCTCCTGCCTCACCCTCCTGAGTAGCTGGGACTACAGGTGCACAACACCACACCCCGCTAATTTTTGTATTTTTAGTAGAGATAGGGTTTTGCCATGTTGGTCAGGCTGGCTGACCTCATGACCCACCCGCCTCAGCCTCCCAAAGTGCTGGGATTACAGGTGTGAGCCACCATGCCCAGCCTAATTTTTTTTTTTTTTTTTCATTTTAGTAGAGACAGGGTTTCACCATGTTGGCCAGGCTGGTCTCAAACTCCTGACCTCAGGTGATCCACCCACCTCGACCTCCCAAAGTGCTGGGATTACAGGCATAAGCCACCACACCCGGCCAAAATTTTTTTTTTGAGCTGGAGTCTTGCTCTGTTGCCCAGGCCAATGGCACAGTCTAGGTTCACTGAGGCAGGGTTCAAGCAATACTCTTGCCTCAGCCTCCCGAGTAGCTGGGACTACAGGTGCCCACCACCATGCCTGGCTAATTTTTGTATTTTTAGTAGAGACAGGGTTTCACCACGTTGGCCAGGCTGGTCTCAAACTCCTGACCTTGTGATCTGCCCACCTTGGCTTCCCAAAGTGCTGGGATTACAGGTGTTAGTTACCACACCTGGGCAAAATTTTGTTTTAAAAAAGAAAAACAATGAGAAATTGCCAAAGAGTGGAGGGGAGACATGACATCAAATGCCACGTGGTTCCCTGCATGGAATATTTTCGTTTTTTAGAGATGGAGTCTTGCTATGTTGCCCAGGCTGGAGTGCAGTGGCTATTGACAGACACGATCATAGTGCACTGCAGCCTCAATGTCCTGGGCTCAAGCAGTCCTCCTGCCTGAGCCTCCCAAGTAGCTGGGATTACAGGTGTGAGACACCAGACCTGGCAGAAATAACAGCACAGAGATGAAGCGTCCCTTTCATCACATCCTGAGAGGGAGTCTGCCACATCACAGGGTACCACTGGCGAGGCTCACCTTATCACATGGTTAAGGAGGTGTCCCTTGGGCTTCTCTGCTGGAAAGCCACTATTTTTCACTTTCCATACTCTATTCTTCGGAAGCGAGTCAATAAGTCTAGCCTACCCTCAAGTAAGGAAGGACAGGAATTAGGCTTCACCTCCAGGAGGAAATCTTGATTTTTAAAATGTTAATTACCTTTAAAAAAGAAAACCTGGCCAGGCACAGTGGCTCATGCCTGTAATCCTAGCACTTTGGGAGGCAGAGGCGGACGGATCACGAGGTCAAGAGATGGAGACCATTCTGGCCAACATGGTGAAACCCTGTCTCTACTAAAAATACAAAAATTAGCTGGGTGTGCTGGCACGCACCTGTAATCCCAGCTACTTGGGAAGCTGAGGCAGGAGAATTGCTTGAACCTGGGAGGCAGAGGTTGCAGTGAGCCGAGATCATGCTTGGTGACAGAGTGAGACTCCGTCTCAAAAAAAAAAAAAAAAAAAAAGAAAAGGAAAAAAAAGAAAACCTATCCTAGTGGTAAAATGCAAAAGATACCAAGGCATACATGGTGTTAAGTCCTCCTATCTCTGTCCCCAAAAGTAACAATGTTACCATTTTCTTGTGAATCATTCCAGAGGTATTTTATGCACAGACAGGCAAATATGTGTACCTTGCTCCACCTTTTTACACAAGGGCGGTACCCTGGCCATGCTGTTCTGCACCCAACCACGGGGCTGCTTGAATTATGAGATTCTGTAAGCACCTCGGTTTCAGATGTCTGACTCTGAGGGGATGGGTCAGTAAATGACATTCTGTATAGCAAGGGCCTGGCCACAGCTAGGAGCAGTGACACAGATAAGTAGCTTCTGGTCTCATGAAAAAGTAAGATGTCAAATGACAATAAAATCGAGTGCAGAGTACATAATCATTTCAATTAGGTGGAAGTTATCTTTCAGGAGAGGCTGCAGGAAACTGTAAATCACTGAGATAAAGTGGAAGGCCTGTGAGTAGCATGTTTTGTTACATGTAAAAGAAAAACTAAAAGATGAGACTGTGAGCTTTTGGGAATGCAGTTTCCAGGATCCTGAAGCCAACCACATATAGGTGGCAAAGACCCCGTCGCCCTTTCCTGGTCAGGGAGGGAAGGGCCGTTTGACTTTCTAGAATTGTCTCCCTGGATTGAGGGTGTTTGCAGTTAATTGTTTTGTGGAAATAAGAGCAGAGCAAACACCCCACCCAGGGCAGGGACAGGATGTAGATTCCTCAGGCCTGAACTGTCAGGCTCGAGGCCACACACTTGTGGATGCCCCACACCCTGGTGCTACTCACAGCCTGCAGGATGAACGCTGTCCCTCAGCCTGGTACCTGTCTGTCCGTCCGTCCATCCATCCATCCATCCATCCATCCATCCATCCATCCATCCACTAGCTTATTTCCTTTATTCACTCAGCGTTTATTGTGTGCCTGAGCTTGTGGCAGGTGCAGGGATATGGCTGTGGTTGAGATGGATACAGATCCTCTGCATGGAGTGGAAGGTCTGGTACAGAACTAACCAGGTGTGGGGCATGCATCTGTGCTCCAGCAATGCCCTGAGATCTCCATGTACTTCCCCACCCTGGGGAGCAGGGCAGCTTTGTGGAGGAGGCAAAGACCAAGCTAAGCAGGAGTGAGCTAGGCTTGGGGGGCTCAGGGGAAAAAAGGGGACACTCCAGGTGAATGGGGACAAGAAAAGGCTCACAGACCAGTACCAGCATCCATTCACCAAGTCTTTGCCTCAGCTGCACCCTGTGCCTGGTGCCTGGCAGTCACGATTTCATTTCATCTCCATAGTAGCCTTTTGAGCAAGATAATTATCATGCCCTTTAAAAAAAAAAAGTATTTTTTTTTCGAGATGGAGTCTCACTCTGTCGCCTAGACTGGAGTGCAGTGGCATGATCTTGGCTCACTGCAACCCCTGCCTCCCAGGTTCAAGCGATTCTCATGCCTCAGCCTCCCAAGTAGCTGGGATTACAGGTATGCACCACCACGCCTGGCTAATTTTTGTATTTTTAGTAGAGACGGTTTCACCTTGTTGGCAAGGCTGGTCTCAAACTCCTGACCTCGTGATCCGCCCGCCTCGGCCTCCCAAAGTGCTGAGATTATAGGCATGAGCCACTGTGCCTGGCCTATCATGCCTTTTCTAAAGATAGGATGCAGGCTGGGTATGGTGGCTCATGCCTATAATCCCAGCACTTTGGGAGGCTGAGATGGGAAGATCACTTGAGCCCAGGGGTTCTGACCAGTCTAGGCAACAGAGTGAGACCCCATCTCTATTTTTTTTTTTTTTTTTTTTTGAGACGGAGTCTTACTCTGTAGCCCAGGCTGGAGTACAGTCGTGCGATCTCAGTTCACTGCAACCTCCGCCTCCCGGGTTTGAGCGATTCTCCTGCCTCAGCCTCCCAAGTAGCTGGGACTACAGGCGCCCGCCACCATGCCTGGCTAATTTTTGTATTTTTGGTAGAGGGGGGAGTTTCACTATGTTGGCCAGTTTGGTCTCAAACTCCTGACTTCGTGATCTGCCTGCCTCGGCCTCCCAAAGTGCTGGCTACGGGCTTGAGCCATTGCACCCTACCTGATTTAATGAATATTTCTTGAGCACCATGTGCCAGGACATAGGGCCACAAGGCCCCTGTGTAGAATGCCTGGTGTCTTCCAGACATTTGTGAATTTATCCTCCCTGCAAAATTGAGCGCCTCAAAGACAAAGCTGAGAGTTTCCTTGTTTTTTTGTGTGTCTCCCCGGTGCTCAGCCCAAGGCCTGATGTACAGAAGGCACTCAAACATTGCAGATAAGACATAGTAGCGGCTGGGCGTGGTGGCTCACGCCTGTAATCCCAGCACTTTGGGAGGCCAAGGCGGGCGGATCACGAGGTCAAGAGATCGAGACCTTCCTGTCTAACACGGTGAAACCCAGTCTCTACTAAAAATACAAAAAATTAGCCGAGTGTGGTGGCACGCGCCTGTAGTCCCAGCTACTCAGGAGGCTGAGGCAGGAGAATCACTTGAACCCGAGAGGTGGAGGTTGCAGTGAGCCGAGATCGCACCACTGCACTCCAGCCTGGGTAACAGAGTGAGACTCTGTCTTAAAAAAAAGAAAAAAAAAAATGACATAGCAGCATGGGCTAGACTCTGCATATTGAATGCCCCCTGCCCATTGCTAGGAACCATGTATATGTCCCTGAAACCCTCCACCCACAGCTTCATGGTCCGTCAAACAAGAGTTCTTTCAACATGAATATTTTTAGAGCACCCATGTGCTCTAAAACAACAGCAGAGCAGTAAGAGTGCCTGGCACAGGGAGTTTCAAGGGAAGAGTCTGAGAAGTTACCAGAATGTTGTAATCTGTCACAGCAGGATGATTTGCTCTGATGGGGACCATACAGGGTACAAGGTGCATGCAGTTGGGCTATTATCAGGATGAATGGCATAACACATACTGGATAGAGAAGTTGGTGGTTTCCTGTGTGCCAGGCACTGTGTGAGTGCTTTGCAGAAACTTATTTGGGCCTTACAATTTCATCAGGTGGGTACCATTATGATCAGCCCGTTTAATGAGAGGAAGATGGTGGAGGCTCAGAGGGGTTAGATAACTTGCAAAGGCACACAGCTAGGCCGGGCGCACTGGCTCATCTGTAATCCCAAACTTTGGGAGGCCGAGGAGGGCGGACCACCTGAGGTTAGGAGTTCAAAACCAGCCTGACCAACATGGTGAAACCCCATCTCTACTAAAAATACAAAATTAGCCGGGTGTGGTGGCGCATGCTTGTAATTCCAGTTACTTGGGAGGCTGTGGCAGGAGAATTTCTTGAACCCGGGAGGTGGAGGTTGCAGTGAGCCGATATCACGCCGTTGCACTCCAGCCTGGGCAATAAGAGTGAAACTCCATCTCAAAAAAAAAAAAAAAAAAAATTAGCTGGGAGCGATGTCAGGCACCTGTAATCCCAGCTACTCCAGTGGATAAGGCATGAGAATCGCTTGAACCTAGGAAGCAAAGGCTGCAGTGAGCCAAGATTGTTGCACTGCACTCCAGCCTGGGCGACACAGTGAGACTCTGTATCAAAAAAAACAAAACAAAAAAATCACACAGCTAGCAGATCTGGGACCAGAACGTAGGCTGATGGGCTCTTGACCATAGGATCCCCTGGATCAGGGAGACTGGCAGGTGACACTGAATTCTCCTCCTCTGCACCACATAGGACAGATGAAGTCATGTGTACTGATCATGGGGGCAGGGAGGTCCCAGGGTTGAAGGAGCCCCTCCAGGAAGACATGTTTTGGGAACTTCAAATGAAGTCAAGGTCTGTCCCAAATCTCAGGCTCTAAGCTCTGGCCACATCCTGTCAGCAGCATTCCGCCAGGGTGTAGAGCAGAGCGAGGACTGGGAAGCGCTGGGGGTGCAGGGTGGCTGCGGGGTGCACTACCCCAGAGTTCTGTCCTCATGTCCAAACCAACCCTGTTCCCGTGGGCCCGGGGCCCCTGCAGGTTTCCTGAACCAGAAGCGACCTTTGCCTCTCTGCTGCAGGGAGACGTGGGTAAGGCCTCTTCAGGTTTTGGCTGTGCAGGGTAGCTGACCTTTCCCTGTCTCTGAGGACCTCTCCCCACTTCCCTTTTTGTGTCCACCCTACAGTCCGAGCATTATTCATGCCCAAAATATCTCAGAAAGCCACAACAGCCCTGCTCTCCACCCAGGACTACAGTCTCTTGGCCTGTGTTCTTTTATTTATTTATTTATTTTTATTTATTATTATTTTTTGAGATGGAGTCTCACTCTGTTGCCAGGCTGGAGTGCAGTGGTGTGATCTCGGCTCACTGCAAGCTCCGCCTCCCGGGTTCACACCATTCTCCTGCCTCAGCCTCCCAAGTAACTGGGACTACAGGTGCCCGCCGCTACACCCAGCTAATTTTTTTTTTTTTTGTATTTTTAGTAGAGACGAGGTTTCACCGTGTTAGCCAGGATGGTCTTGATCTCCTAACCTCGTGATCAGCTCATCTCGGCCTCCCAAAGTGCTGGGATTACAGGGGTGAGCCACCGTGCCCGGCCACTTTTTTTTTTTTTTTTTTAGTAGAGACGGGGTTTCACCATGTTGGCCAAGATGGTCGCAATCTCTTGACCTCGTGATCCGCCTGCCTCGACCTCCCAAAGTGTTGGGATTATAGGCGTGAGCTACTGCGCCCAGCCGCCTGTGTTCTTTTAAAAGGTCGTCTTCCTTCCTGCCCTTCATCACTTGCCCTCCATGGCCCTTCATGGCCCCTCTGCTTCCCTGGACAAAGCAGAGATGTGACTGGTGTTCCCAGCATTTGTCCACAGACACCATTTTCCTCTCAGGCCCTGAGGTGCTGGACTACAGAGCCGGCCTCCCAGCCACCTGCCATGAAAACCTCACCAGGACCAGTGGGACTCTGTTAAATCTGTTAACACCCCCACTTCGGCCTGCCCTAGACAACAGCTACATCTTGGAAAAAGGAAATGAAACTGGTTTAAAACCTCTCCCAACTGTTCAGAAGGCTCAGGCCCCATTTCCAAGACAGAAGGAGCCAGACTCTTCTGCGCATGTCCCTTTATTTATAGTCACCAGATCCTGGTCCCAACGATCAAGGCTCCTGGGTGGGGATGGTCCTGTGTGATGTATGCAGCACACTCAATGCCCCCCACCATGCCCCTTCAGCCTACACCACTCACCTTAGCCGCCAGCAGCCATGACTTTTTTCTTTTCTTTTCTTTTTTCTTTCCTTTCCTTTTCTTTGATTTTTTTCTCTTTCCTTCCTTCCTTCCTTCTTTCTTTCTTCTCTCCTCTCTTTCTTTCTCGCTCTCTCTCTCTCTTTTCTTTCTTTCTCGAGACAGGGTCTTGCTTTGTCACCCAGGCTGGAATGCAGTGGCAGGAACATGGCTCACTGTATCCTCGACCTCCAAGGCTCAAGCGATCCTCCTGCCTCAGCACCCCAAGTAGCTGGGACTACAGGAGCACGCCACCACACCCAGCTCATTTTTGTATTTTTCGTAGAGAGGGGGTTTCACCATGTTGCCCAGGCTGGTCTCAAACTCCTGGCCTCAAGAGATCCACCCATCTTGGCCTCCCAAAATGCTGGGATTACAGGCCTGAGCCACCACATCTGGCCATGCAGCCGTGACTTTTTCTGATCACAGGAGCTGGCTGTGCTTGCACACATGGTCGGCCGGAGGGTGGTGAGTTAACAGCCCCTCCTCAGTAAGCCCTCAACCAATGACTACTGGTAAATGCAGGCCCCAGCCCTTCAGATGCCTTGGAGGGTACACTCTACCTGGCCCTTAGGTTCCCCTGCAGGATGGAGCTCCAGCTGCTCGCAGGAGCAGCCCACTCATGAATGCACCTTTTGTGGGCTTCCTGTCTTTCCAGCCTCACCTCCCACCTCCCTTGCCAGCACTTCTTGGAATCATTTCCCAAATGAATAACTCCTATGTGAATCCTGGACTTGGGTCTGCTTTTGAGGAAACCCAAACTAAGACAATATCAAGTTGCCAACATTTATTGAGCACCGTCTCTGTGCTAAGCATCGTGCTCAGCATTTCACAAGTCTTAACTCATTTAATCCTATGACAGCCAGCACTATGAAGAAGAGACCGTTATCATTTCCGTTGTACAGACGTGGAAACTGACTCAGAGCATGGGCTTGAGGCCAAAGGCCTCTTCCACTCCACCCATCCTCCATCAGCCTGAATTGCTTTCATTTCCTCAAAATGCTGGGCTCCCACACCTCTTGATCTCTGCACTCTGGGGCACAGGGAGGTTAAATCACTTGGTGACACAGCAATTTAGAGGCTGAGCTACCCAGATTCAAGAGCCATCTCCAGGCTCAGAGCCCACATACTCTGCCACTGTGGTAAGCAAAATATTGGCCCCTCAAGGTATCCAAGTCCTAATCCCTGTAACCTGTAAATGTGACCTTACATGGCAAAAAAGAGACTTCACAGATGTGATTCAGTTAGGGCCCTTGAGATGAGGAGAGTATCCTGGATTATCCAGATGGGCCCCATGTAATCACAGCAGGCTCTGTAAGAGGATCTCCTCCTCCTGTCTGTCTTTCAGACAAAAGAAGATAGGATGACAAAGCAGAAGACCAGAGAGAAAGAGATTTGAAGATGCTACCCTGCTGGCTTTGGAGATGGAAGCAAGGGCCATGAGCCAAGAGGTGTATGTGGCTTTTGGAAGCAGGTAAAGGCAAGGATAGCCCCTGGAGCCTCCAGAAGGAGCCAGCCCTGCTGACGCCTTGACTTTAGCCTAGTGAAACTGATTGCTGACTTCTGGCCTCCAGAATGATAAGAGAATACAGTTGTGTTTTCTTGTTTGTTTGTTTTGAGACAGGGTCTTGCTCTGTCACCCAGACTGGAGTGAGTGGGTCCATTTTGGCTCCCTGAAGCCACTACCTCCCAGGCTCAAGTGATCCTCGCACCTTAGCCTCTCGAATAGCTGGGACCACAGGTGCACACCACCACACCCGGCTAATTTTTTTTTATAGATGGGGTCTCCCTATGGTGCCAGGGCTGGTCTCAAACTCCTGAGCTCAAAGGATCCTTCTGCCTTGCCTCCTAAAGTGCTGGGATTACAGGTGTAAAGCCACCTCCACATCTGACTCAGTTGTGTCCTTTTTTTTTTTTTTTTTTTTGTCAAGATAGAGTCTTGCTCTGTCACCCAGGCTAGAGTGCAGTGGCGTGATCTCAGCTTACTGCAACCTCCGCCTCCTGGGTTCAAGTGATTCTTGTGCCTCAGCCTCCTGAGTAGCTGGGACTACAGGTGCACACCACCATGCCCAGCTAATTTTTCTATTTTTTAGTATTTCACTATGTTGGCCAGGCTGGTCTCAAACTCCTGGCCTCAAGTGATCCACCTGCCTTGGCCTCCCAAAGTGATGGGATTATAGGTGTTGAAGCCACCACGCCTGGCCTAGTTGTGTTCTTTTATGTCATGAAATTTGTGGTAATTTTTTTTATTAAAGTAGCCACAGCAAATTAACACAACCACGGAGCCAGTCCCCACAGCCTGGTCAGGTGCAGCATGATTCCAGACAACAGCAATGAGGAAGCCAGCCTTGTGGAGCTGATGCCTGGCAGAGAACATCACTAAGCAACAGGCATCCTGAGTGCTTGGGTTTGAGGCCCAGCCTTGCTATCTCCCAGCTGTGTGATTTGGACCAAGTAACTCGATCTCACCTCACCTGCCTGATGAGATAACAGGATTTTGTGAGGTTTATATGTATCTTTGGCTCTTGGAACAATGTCTGGCACAGAGTAATTTACAAGGGCTCAGTAAATCTGTCATTTATGGCCTCCCCATGTCAGCAGCTAGGTGGCTGGCCACAGCCCTCGTGGTGGAGTGAGGCTGGGATCTGGGGCTGGCCAATGAGAGGCCCAAGTCTCCTTGACTGGGGGATCAGCCATGGTCACCAGAACCAACTCACATCAGCCCTGGACTTTGGCTGGAAGTTCTGGGAAAGAGGTGCTCTCTCCCTGTTGGGATCTTGTTGGGATTCTCGAGGAGCTCGGCCTGGAGAAGATGGCGGGCATTTTTGTCACCACGAGGGGACAGCCTGCCTGAGAAGGAAGCCAACAGGAAGGAAGGTGGAGACCAGGATGGAGCAGGGCAGCTCTTGATGACGTCACCAAGGCCCTAGATCCAGACTTGCCTGAACCACCCCTTGGACTGTCTGGTTCCAGGAACCAATCACTACCCCTTTTTGCTTTAGGAGTTTTATCTGGGTTTCTGCCACTCACAACCAGGAGAGTCCTGACTGATAGACAGGGACTCAATGAACACATGTTGATTGAGTGACTGAGTGAGCATTCAGGGCTCTGGCACTGTCCTGAGCCCAGTAAATTTTGGGATGATTGTGTGGTAAGTGTCTCGCCTTCCTGTAGGACCATAGGGACTTGCAGGGGATTCTTCATTTGACTTGGGAAGATGCCTTCTTCGTCCTCCCTGCTTGCAGGGCTTGGCATCGAAGTCTAGGTTCCTTCAAGAGAAGGCGGAGGTACTGTGCACCTGGCCCAGGAGGCCAAATCCCTGTTTTCTTCTCTCTGACCCAAATTTCCCCAAACAGCGAGGTCTCAGCTCCACTTGGAGAGGGGAGATGGGAAAGAGGCTGGCTGCTAGAGTCCAAAGCAACAGCCCAGGAAATAAGGGCCTTTATTAGTCCCATTTTACAGATGAAGACACTGAGGCCAGAGAGCCGAAGTTATCTGTCTTCAAACCCAGGGCCCACCAAACAGAACTCAACTCTATCCTTGCTTCCAAACCACTGCTTCCTCCTCCTTAGCCATTTTCCATCTGGTGTTGGCGTTTTTTTTCCTGGCTTTCTTGCCCTGTCATATTTGGATACTCTGTTTTTGTTTGTTTGTTTGTTTTTTGTTTTTTGAGATAGAGTGTCGCTCTGTCGCCCAGGCTGGAGTGCAGTGGCGCAATCTGGGTTCACTGCAACCTCCGCCTCCCGGGTTCAAGTGATTCTCCTGCTTCAGCCTCCCGAGTAGCTGGGATTACAGGCGCCACCACGCCCAGCTAATTTTTGTATTTTTAGTAGAGACGGGTTTCACCATATTGGCCAGGCTGGTCTCGAACTCCTGACCCCAGGCAATCCCCCCGCCTCAGCCTCCCAAAGTGCTGGGATTACAGGCGTGAGCCACGGCGCCTGGCTGGATACTCTGATTTCTTATAATTACTCACTCCTTGTTCTTAGGTCAACGAGAAGAATGCCTGGGAGTTGGCTGGACCTGCTTTGTGTCTCTGCTTTATGCTGTACAAGCTGCATGTCCTTGGGCTAACGTCTTCACCTCTCTGGGCCTTGGTTCTTTCAACCATGGTTGTGGAGATGGCAAAACCTGATCTTAGCCTTTTTTGAGGACTAAGTGAGTTAATACATGTAAAATACTTAAAGCAGTAAGCCCCTTTTTGTTGTTGTTTGTTTGTTTCTTGAGATGAAATCTCGCTCTGTCACCCAGGCTGGAGTGCAGTGGTGCGATCTCGGCTCACTGTAACCTCCGCCTCCCAGGTTCTAGCGATTCTACTGCCTCAGCCTCCCAAGTAGGCCCTTTTGAAGCACTCAGCAAATGGTGGCTTTTATTATTATCTGAAACATTAATTTCCTTAAGAAATTATACTGTGTAGTATCTCTTGGAATTAAATAGGGAGAAATGTCCCCAAAATCATTAAATAAATAACACAACTTAGAAAACTGCAGTTTCACCAACCTAAATTCTCATGTTTTGCTTTGAAATGTTGAATACTGTTTTTTTTGTTTTTTTTTTAAGGCAGAATTTCACTCTTACTGCCCAGCTTGGAGGGCAACGGCGCCATCTTGGCTCACTGCAACCTCTGCCTCCCAGGTTCAAGTGATTCTCCTGCTTCAGCCTCTCGAGTACTTGTGATTACAGGCATGCGCCACCACGCCCGGCTAATTTTGTATGTTTTTTTAGTACAGACGGGATTTCACCATGTTAGTCAGGCTGGTCTCAAACTCCTGACCTCAGGTGATCCACCCACCTTGGCCTCCCAAAGTACTGGGATTACAGGTGTGAGCCACTGCTCCCAGACAGAAACATTAAAGTCTTTACTCACATAGGCAGAAGAGCTAGGGCAGAGGTGAGAGGTTTGGGGCAAATATTTCCTGCTTCTCACCCTGGTGGACATACCAAGTCAACCTTCGCTCTGAGAACACCTAGACATGGCCTAGAAAGATGAGCTGAAATTTGAAGTTGCCCTCAGGCTTTGAGGTGGGACTCTAATAACCATGATTAATGCATTCAGGGAATAACATGACAAGAATGTCAGCAGAAAACTAGGAACTATAAAAAAGAATCATATGGAAATTCCAGAACTGAAAAATATGATACTGAAATTAAGATTTGCAGTTATTAAAATCACAGACTGTGAGCCACACTGCCCAGGTTTAAGTCCAGGCTCCAGTCTCTGCCATGTACAATGCCACACCTGTTTCTTTCTTTCTGTTTTTTTTTTTAATCGATGTAAAACTCACATAACACAATAAATTATTTTGAAATGTACAATTTGGCCAGGCGCGGTGGCTGTCTCTACTAAAAGTACAAAAAATACAAAAAGTACAAAAATTAGCCAGGTGTAGTGGCAGGTGCCTGTAATCCCAACTACTCAGGAAGCTGGGGCAGGAGAATCACTTGAACCCGGGAAGCAGAGGTTGCAGTGAGCTGAGATCGTGACACTGCACTCCAGCCTGGGCGACAAGAGCAAGACTCTGTCTCAAAAAAAAAAAAAAAAAATATGGCTGCGTGAGGTGGCTCACGCCTGTAATCCCAGCACTTTGGGAGGCCAAGGCAGGCGGATCACAATGTCAGGAGTTGGAGACCAGCCTGATCAACACGGTGAAACCCCATCTCTACTAAAAATACAAAAATTAGCCAGGCGTGGTGGCGCACGCCTGTAATCCCAGCTACTCGGGAAGCTGAGGCAGGAGAATTGCTTGAACTAAGGAGGCAGAAGTTGCAGTGAGTTGAGATTGCGCCACTGTACTCCAGCCTATTTATTAAAAAAATAATAATAAAATAAAATAAACACATAATATGTGACTTTTTTTGTTTGGCTTCTTTCACTTAGCATGTTTTTCAGGTTCATCCATGTTGTAGCATGTATCAGTATTTCATTCCTTTTTGTGGCTGAATAATATTTCATTGTATAGCTATACCATGTTTTGTTTATCCATTCATCCATTGATGAACATCTGGGTCGTTTCTGTGTTTTGGCTAGTATGAATAATGTTGCTATAAACATTCGTGTACAAGTTTCTGTGTGTGCATACATTTTCATTTCTTGGGTACATACCTGGGTGTGGAGTAAGTCTTTGTTCCTTTTTTTTTTTGAGACAGAGTCTCACTCTGTCACCCAGGCTGGAGTGCAATGGTGTGATCTTGGCTCACTGCAACCTCCACCTCCCGGGTTCAAGTCTTTGTTTCTTAAGGTCTTGCTGCAGTTTCCTTGTCTGTAAAATAGTGCTGGTGGTGGTACCTAATTTATAGGGTTACATGAGACAATGCAAAGTGCTTAGCTTGTTAAACAGTTGCTGTAGATCAGAATTGTGACTCAAGCTGGGCGTGGTGGCTCATGCCTGTAATCCAAGCACTTTGGGAGGCCGAGGTGGGTGGATCACCTGAAGTCGGGAGTTTGAGTCCAGCCTAACCAACATGGAGAAACCCTGTCTCTACTAACAAACATACAAAATTACCCAGGCGTGGTGGCACATGCCTGTAATCACAGCTACTGGGGAGGCTGAGGCAGGAGAATTGCTTGAACTCGGGAGGCAGAGGTTGCGGTGAGCCGAGATCGCTCCATTGCACTCCAGCCTGGGCAACAAGAGTGAAATTCTGTCTCAAAAAAAAGAACTGTGACTCAAGTTAGGTTGTATTTGTTGAAATGTCTGTCTCTTGAGGTAGACTGCAGGTTCCTGGAGGGCAGGGGCTTTCTGCGGGCTGCACCCTCCAGGGCCTGGCATCCTGCCTGGCATGGAGCAGACATTCAATAGCTGTCTCTGGAGTATTTGGAGGTGATTCTTTCCCATGCATGGCCTTGCCTTCCCCTTAGGCTCTAACAGGGACAAGAGAAACACAAATATTATTGCTCTTTTTCAGCCACTGAGGAAAATGAGGTTCCCTGAGGTTGAATAACTTGATTCATGTCACAGGACTAAAGAGAAGTAGACCCTGACCTCCAATCTAAAACTTCAAGCAAGGGTTCATTTATTCCACATTAATATATCCTGAGCACTTGTTGAATGCCAGGGATGTTGTAGGCAGTGGTATCTTCATCAGCTATTTGAGAAGGCAGAATATAAACAAGATAAATAAAGTATTTAGTGTATATAGGTGATAGACTACACACCAGAAAATGATATGTACCAAGGAGAAAAATAAGTCAGAGAAGGAGGATAGGGAGTTGCCAAGGGAGGAACAAGAGCCTTTCAATTTATATGGGATAGTCAGTGTATGCCTCACAGAGAACAGGACTTTTTTTTTTTTTTTTTTTTGGAGACGGAGTCTGGCTCTGTCGCCCAGGCTAGAGTGCAGTGGCGTGATCTCGGCTCACTGCAACCTCTGCCTCTCAGGTTCAAGTGATTCTCCTGCCTCAGCCTCCTGAGTAGCTGGGATTACAGGCGCACACCACCATGTCTGGCTAATTTTTTGTATTTTAGTAGAGATGGGGTTTCACCATATTGCCCAGGCTGGTCTCGAACTCCTGAGCTCAGGCAATCCGCCCACCTCGGCCTCCCAAATTGCTAGGATTACAGGTGTGAGCCACTGTGCCCAGCCCAGGACTTTTTTTTTTTAGAGATGGGGTCTCGCTCTGTCACCCAGGCTGGAATGCAGTGGTGGGATCATGTCTCAGTGTAGCCTTGACCTCCTGGGCTCAAGTGGTCCTCCCACCTCAGCCTCCCAAAGTGCTGAGATTACAGGTGAGAGCCACTGTGTCCAGCCTGGACTTTTGAGTGTGGATTAGAGGAAGGGAGAGGGTGAAGCATATGAATGTCTGTAACTGTGACTCAGTAGGATCAAACCAGAAGTAGATTTGAATGAAGATTTCTTTTCTTTTCTTTTCTTTCTCTCTTTCTCTCTCTTTTTTTGAGACAGGGTCTCAATCCCTTGCCCATGTTGGAGTGCAGTGGCACAATCATAGCTAACTGCAGCCTCGTCCTCCCAGGCTCAAGTGAGCCTCCCACCTCAGCTTCCCTAGTAGCTGGGACCACAGACAGACACCATTATGCCTAATTTTTGTGTTTTTTGTAGAGACAAGGTTTTGCCATGTTTCCCAGGCTGGTCTCGAACTTCTGGGCTTAAGCGATCTGCCTGCCTCAGCCTCCCAAAGTGTTGGGATTACAGCCACTGCACCCAGCTGAAGATCTTTCTTTTTTCTTCTTCTTCTTTTTTTTTTTTTCTGAGACGGAGTTTTGCTCTTGTCGCCCAGGCTGGAGTGCAATGGCGCGATCTTGGCTCACTGCAACCTCTGCTTCCTGAGTTCAAGCGATTCTCCTGCCTCAACCTCCCAAATAGCTGGGATTACAGGTGGGCACCACCACGCCGGGCTAATTTTTGTATTTTTAGTACAGATGGGGTTTCACCATGTTGGCCAGGATGGTCTCAAACTCCTGACCTCAGGTGATCCGCCCGCTTCAGCCTACCAAAGAGCTGGGATTACAGGCATGAGCCACTGCACCCAGCTGAAGATCTTTCTTAACAATGATGATGATGATGATGACAGCTACCACTTCTTGGTTACCTGCTTTGTGCCCAGAACACATTACTGACATTACTACATGAGCACCTCAGCACAGCCATGTGATCTAAATATTACTATTATTCCCGTACAACTCATCAATGCAGAATAAGGATTTGAACTTGAATCTGACTCCAGTACCTCACTATGCCTGGACTTCCCACGGTTTCCTGGGAGGTAGTATGGTGCTGTGGTTCCGAGCTTGGCTTTTGGAGTCAGACCTATTAACTACTTGCTTAATCTCACTGGGCCTCAGTTCCTACCTCGTGGGGTTATGTAAGATTAAATGTGGTGCCGGGTGCGGTGGCTCATGCCTGTAATCCCAGCACTTTTGGAGGCCAAGGCGGGCGGATCACGAGGTCAGGAGTTCAAGACCAGCCTGGCCAACGTGGTGAAACCCCATCTCTACTAAAAATACAAAAATTAGCTGGGTGTGGTGGCATGCGCCTGTAATCCCAGCTACCCAGGAGGCTGAGGCAGGAGAATCACTTGAACCTGGGAGGCAGAGGTTGCAGTGCCAAGGTCACCCCACTGCACTCCAGCCTGGGCAACAGAGCGAGACTCCGTCTCAAAAAAAAAAAAAGATTAAATGTGGCAACACACATAAAGTACATGGAGTAGTTGTTGTTATGATTATTATTGTAATTACTAGAGAAGTCTTGCATTCTGGAAAGCCATTTGATCCAGTAGATTCCCTCTAGTTCTAACCAACTTGGGACCCTGTGACTAGTCAGCCATCCAAGCCAACAAAGGTACTAAAATAAAAATGGTGAACCAATCACTCTAAAAATATAGGGGGGGCTGGCCAATACTTCATTAAACTTGACCAACCATGTTGTAATTGTTCTCTTGATATTTATCAATGAGCTTCTGCACCAACAGCTCTCCTAGTTTAGGATCTAGGGAAACCCAGGAAAAATGCACTGTGTTGACTCTCACCCTCCCCTCCCCTCCCCTCACTATTAAAGACCAGCCCAGCATTTGGAGGAAGGCCTGACCTCCAGCTATTTTGGAAGGACCTATCTCCTATCAGGGGCTGATTCTGGTGGGAGCTGGGAGTGTTATTTACTGGCCAAGGTCTGCTCCAAAGTAAACATGTCATCACATTCCTCACAGCCTGTAACCTCCACAGGGAGAAGTTGGGCCATTGTGGAGCAAGGGAGGTGAAGAAACCTTATCTCACTCCATTTCAGCAGGATCCCACTTCATATACTCTTCAGGGAAGACATGGGGGAGAAAAAGGAATAGATCATCTTAAATGAGTTGAACAAAAGAGCACCTTGGTGCACTTATCCTCTGCAGTGATAGGTAGGGGCGATGAGATTTAGAAGACAAACCTTTTATGTAGTGAAAGAGCATGCATTTTTTTTCCGTGGGTGTGCCTTTGAATTTATCCTTATTGCCTTTTTTCTGCTCATAAAAGTCAAACAGACTTGTAGGCTGGGCGCGGTGGCTCATGCCTGTAATTCCAGTACTTTGGGAGGCCGAGGCTGGTGGATCACTTAAGGTCAGGAGTTTGAGCCCAGCCTGGCCAACATGGCGAAACCCTGTCTCTACTGAAAATACAAAAATTAGCCGGGCGTGGTGGTGAGTGCCTGTAGTCCCAGCTACTCAGGAGGGTGAGGCAGGAGAATCATTAGAGCCCAGGAGGCAGAGGTTGCAGTGAGCCGAGATCACACGACTGCATTCCAGCCTGGGTGGCACAGGGAGACTCCGTCTCAAAAAAGAAAAAAAAAATTGAAACACACTTGTTCTTCCTTCCTTCCTTCTTCCTTTTGATGTAATTTTGTTTTGACGTAATTGACATACAGTAAACTGTACATATTTGAAATGTACAATTTTATAAGTTTTGATACCCACCCATGTATGTATATACACACACAGGAGCATATATATATATGTGTGTGTGTGTGTGTGTGTGTGTGCATGCATGTATGTGTGTATCCATGAAACCATTACTACAATCAAAACAGTGAACATATTCATCACCCCAGAAAGTTTCCAGGCCAGGCACAGTAGCTCACACCTATAATCCCAACATTTTGGGAGGCCAAGGAGGGAGGATTGCTTAAGCTCAGGAGTTTCAGACCAGCCTGAGAAACATGGTGAAACCCCATCTCTATTAATAATACAAAAATTAGCTGGGTATGGTGGTGCATGTCTGTAGGCCCAGCTACTCGGGAGGCTAAGGCCAGAAGATCACTTGCACCCAGGAGACGGAGGCTGCAGTCTGCCGTGATGGCACCACTGCACTCCGGCCTGGATGACAGCGGGAGACCCTGCCTCAAAAAGAAAAAAGAAAGTTTCCTTATATTCTTTTGTAATCTCCTCCTTCCATCTCTCTCTGCTTACCCCCTACATCTCCAGGCAAACACTGATCTGCCTTCTGTCACTATAGAGTAGGTGGCATTTTCTAGAATTTTATATAAGATGGAATCATACAGTATGCACTTTTTTTTTTAACTGGCCTTGCCCCCTTCACTTAGCATAATTATTGTGAGATTCGTCTGTGTCCGTGTCATTGTGTGCGTGGTAGGTAGTTCCTTTCCACTGCTCAGGTTGATTCCATTGTCTGGATGCTCCAGTTTGTTCATCCATTCACTTGTTAATGGACCTTTGGGTTGTTTCTACATCTTGGCAATTATAAACAAAGCTGGTATGAACATCCAAGTACACATGCTTTTATTTCCCTTGGGTCATTACCTAGAAGTGGAATGGTTGGATCATAGAGTAGGGTATGTTTAACTTTTTAAGAAACTGTTTCCCTGGCCAGGTGTGGAGGCTAATGACTGTAATCCTAGCACTTTGGAAGGCCAAGGTGGGAGGATTGCTTGAGTCCAGGAGTTAGAGACTAGCCTGGGCAACAGAGTGATACCCCATCTCTATCATTAAGAAAAAAATTAGGGCAGGGCGCAGTGGCTCATGCCTGTAAACCCAGCACTTTGGGAGGCTGAGGCAGGCGGTTCACGAGGTCAAGAGATCGAGATCATCCTGGCCAACATGGTGAAACCCTGTCTCTACTAAAAATACAAAAATTAGCTGGGCATGGTGGTGCACACCTGTAGTCTCAGCTACTTGGGAGGCTGAGGCAGGAGAATCGCTTGAACCTGGGAGGCAGAGGTTGCAGTGAGCTGAGATTGCGCCACTGCACTTCAGCCTGGCGACAGAGTGAGACTCTGTATTAAAAAAAAAAAAAAAATTAGGCCAGGCGGGCACAGTGGCTCACACCTGTAATCTCTGCACTTTGGGGGGCCAAGGAGGGTGGATCACCTGAGGTCAGGAGTTTGAGACTAGCCTGGCCAACATGGTGAAACCCTGTCTCTACTAAAAATACAAAAATTAGCTAATCATGGTGACGAGTGCCTGTAATCCCAGCTACTTGGGAGGCTGAGGCAGGAGAATCACTTGAACCTGGGAGGTGGAGGTTGCAGTGAGCTGAGATCATGCCACTGCACTCCAGCCTGGGTGACAAGAGTGAAACTCCATCTCAAAAAACCAAAACAAAAAAACCAGGCCAGGTGAGGTGGCTCATGCCTATAACCACAGGTACTCGGGAGGCTGAGGCACAAGAATTGCTTGAACCCAGGAGGCAGAGGTTGGAGTGACCTGAGATCATGCCACTGCACTCCAGCCTGGGCGACAGAGCAAGATTCTGTCTCAAAAACAAACAAACAAACAAACAAACAAACAAACAACCTGTTTTCCAAATTGGGTGTGTGCTATGATGCATCCCTACCAACAGTGTATGTTTTCAAAACATTAGAGAAACATTTAAGGTAGAAATAAAGTCCTTAAGGTAAAAAGTAAAAGTTGGCCGGGTGTGTTGGTTCACCCCTGTAATCCCAGCACTTTGGGAGGCCGAGGTGGGTGGATCATCTGAGGTCAGGAGTTTGAGGCCAGCCTGGTCAACATGGTAAAACCCCTTATCCACTAATAATACAAATATTAGCCAGGTGTGGCGGCATGTGCCTGTAATCCCTGTTACTCGGGAGGCTGAGGCATGAGAATTGCTTGAACCTGGGAGGTGGAGGTTGCAGTGAGACAAGATCGAGCCACTGCACTCCAGCCTGGGCGACAGAGTGAAACTGTCTTGAAAAAAAAAAAGTAAAACTTATCATTTTACCTCATCATGATTGCCTTGGCCCACTGCTATAAATCCTTTCAGGGTTTATTTTTTTTCTTATCCATGTACAGAACTGGACTGAGACATATAGGTGCCCTGGGCAGCCTAAAAAGTTGGCATCCCCTCAACCTGATATTTGTAAGATAGTTTTTCAAAATGTATTTAGGCAGAATGTGGAGAAACCAATTTTCTGTTAATGAAAAATAACATTCCTCTTTCTTTTCAAAATAAAGGATTTATTACAGGCACAGAATGTAAGCTGGCCTTTTGACTTATTTGGAATTGTCTTGGAATTGTAGTTCTCCAAGCCAGTCAGCTTTTTGGAGCTGCCTTTTTTTTTTTTTTTTTTGAGAAGGAGTTTCACTCTTGTTGCCCAGGCTGGAGTGCAATGGCACGATCTCAGTTTACTGCAACCTCTGCCTCCTGGGTTCAAGCGATTCTCCTGACTCAGCCTCCCGAGTAGCTGGGATTACAGGCATGCCACCACACCCAGCTAATTTTGTATTATTAGTAGAGACAGGGTTTCTCCATGTTGGTCAGGCTGGTCTTGAACTCCCAACCTCAGGTGATCCACCTTCCTCGGCCTCCCAAAGTGCTAGGATTACAGGCATGAGCCACAGCACCCGGCGGAGCTGTCCTAAAGGGAATAGGATCAGGAGCTGCGCTAACAAATCACTAGGTCTTGGGCGCAGCATGCAGCCTGGACCAAAGACTAAACTGACGTGACCTGACAAGTCCTGAGAGAATCTGTAGCTGGACTCTAGTGCTGGGGAGGAGGGTGTTTTCGTTTCCCCCAGTGGGTGCTATATACCTCTGATCACCGGGGGTTACAGGTCCACCTCATGTGGAAACCTGAGTTACCTGGCACCGTGTTTCCATTTCTTTCAGTCCTGTTTTGGCTCCCCTCCTAGACTGGTTCCCTGGGAGGCTGCCCGGCTGATGAGCAACTTAATCCATACATACATTAACATACATTAATCCATACATTAACATATATTAGTGCTTTTTTTTTTTTTTTATTTACAGACAGAATCTCACTATGTTGCCCATGCTGGTCTTAAACTTCTGGGCTCCAGTGATCCTCCTACCTCAGCCTCTCAGCCTTCCAAGTAGTTGTAGAGATGGGGGTCTTGCTATGTTGCCCAGGCTGGTCTCAAACTCCTGGGCTGAAACAATCCTCCTGCCTCAGCCTCCCAAAGCACTGGATTATAGGTGTGAGCCACCACACTTGGCTGTTAGTGCTTTTTAAATTGTTTTAACTTTACTTTTAATTTTTCTGAGACAGGATCTGGCTCTGTCACCCAGTCTGGAATGCAGTGGTTTCATCTCAGCTCACTGCAATCTCCACGTCCTATGCTCAAGCCATCTTCCCACCTCAGCCTCCTGAGTAGCAGGGGCTACAAGTGCACACCACCATGCCCTGTACTTTTTGTAGAGATGGGATTTTGCTATATTGTCCAGGCTGGCCTCGAACTCCTGAGCTCAAACAATCTGCCCACCTCTGCCTCCCAAAGTGCTGGGATTACAGTTGTGAGCCACTGCACCCAACTGCTATTTTTGTTTCTAAAATGTGCACACAAATTAAATCATACAAATTCATGCTGGTCTGTAACTTGCTTCTCCCCTCCTCCTGCTTTACAATAAATATTCAGATAAGCCTATATAGATCCATTACATTCTTTTAAGAAGTACAGCTGAGTGCAGTGGTTCATCCCTGTAATCTCAGCACTTTGGGAGACCAAGGTGGGAGGATCACTTGAACCCAGGAGTTGGAGACCAGCCTAGGTGACATAATAAGACCCCATCTCTAAAAAAAAAAAAAAAAAAAAATTATTTTAAAAGTGCCAAAGTAGCCCATCTGATGGATGTACTGTAATGCAGCTCCTTTCAAACTTGAATGAGCACATGGATCACCTTAGGGGTCTTGTTAAACTGCAGCCCCTGATTCAGTGGGTCTGGGTGGCACCTGAGATTCTGCACACTCCCAGGTGACGTCCAGGCTGCTAGTGGGACCACATTTTTTTTTTTTGAGACAGAGTCTTGCTCTGTCACCCAGGCTGGAGTACAGTGGTGCTATCTTGGCTCAGTGCAACCTCTGCCCCAGATTCAAGCAATTCTCCTGTCTCAGCCTCCCGAACAGCTGGGATTACAGGCATCTGCCATCATGCTCAGCTAATTTTTGTATTTTTAGTAGAGGCGGGTTTCACCATGTTGGCCAGGCTGGTCTTGAGCTCCTGACCTCAAGTGATCCGCCTACCTCAGCCTCCCAAAGTGCGGGGATTACAGGTGTGAGTCACCTCGCCCGGCCCTAGTGGGACCACATGTTATCAGTCCACTAGTGAGGGATATTTAGCTTGCTGTAAAAAGTGCTGCAATAAACTTCCTTGAAGATACATTCTGGAGTGCTACAGAATAGGTTTTGGAGTTAGAAAGCAAAAGGGTGGCTGGGCGTGGTGGCTCATGCCTATAATCCCAGCACTTTGGGAGGCCGAGGCGGGTGGATCACTTGAGGCCAGGAGTTCCAGACAAGCCTGGCCAACATGATGAAACCCTGTCTCTACTGAAAATACAAAAATTAGCCAGGTGTGATGGTGGGTGCCTGTAATCCCAGCTACTTGGGAGGCTGAGGCAGGATAATTGCTTGGACCTGCGAGGTGGAGGTTGCAGTGAGCCAAGATCGTACCACTGCACTCCAACCTGGGTGACAGAGACCCTGTCAACAAAAAAAGGAAAGAAAGAAAGAGGAAGAAAGAAGAAAGAAAAGAAGGAGAAAGAAAGAAAAGAAAGAAAGAGAAAGAGAGAAAGAAAAGAGAAAGAAAAGGAAGGAAAGAGAAAGAGAAAGAAAAGAAAAGAGAAAGGAAAAGAACGAAAAAGAAAGAAAGAGACAAAGAAAGAAAGAGAGAAAGAAAAGGAAGAAAGAAAGAAAGAAAAGCAAAAGTTGAGTTCTGATGCTGTCACTGTGTGACCTTGAGCAAGTCACTTCACCTTTCCGAGCTCTCCCCACTCCATAGCAATTCAATGAGTGATCATAAACGCCTCCACTCTTTTAGATAATAGGGATAAGAATAAACACTCTGTTCTCGGGCGCTCTGAGAATAATACTGCTAACTCTGGCTGGCGGAGGAGTAGATGAGATAAGGACAGAAAAGGGCTTTGTCAGCGTAAAGCCATTCGCAAAGGGGAAGCTCTGTTCCAGTTGGAAGGCAGACTGGCTTTGCCAGGTGAGCAGTAGCTAGACAGTTTTCTTTAGCAGAAAAGTGCTCTGTGGCATTTGTCTGCAGTTAAAACAAAATAAAACAGAGTCACACAAAAATCTTCTAAAGAAGTGAAAGTCAGACTGGGTGGAGGAAGACAGCCCACTCATTTGCAAATTGCACATGTGAGATTCTAGTGAGACTAAGGTGGGGTGTGAGGCATGCTCTGGCCATGGGTTCCACCTTGGGCTGGGAAGGGCCAGTGGGAGGAAGTTGAGGCCCTTAGCAGGCCCTGATTCCCCACCTCTGCTGAGGAACAACACGCAGATGTGGAGTGAAGGGTGGCTGCCGCCTTCATTCTCTTACCACAGAAAGGTAAGCTGTGCTTTGGGCAGTTAGGGCTGTGTGTTCTGAAGGATTGAAGAGATCTCCAAGATGCAGAGCTGGCTTCTAGAGTCGGTTAGACTAGGGTTCAAATTCAGATTCTGACACTTAATACCCACAGGAGCTTGCATAGGGGACTTTCTCTTTGAGCCTCAGTTTCCCAACTTGTGCTACAGGGATGATAATGTTAGTACAGTAGTTCTCCTTTGTCCACAGTTTCACTCTCCATGGTTTCAGTTTGCTACAGCTAACTACAATAAAAAAAACATGGAAAATTCCAGAAAGAATTCATGTTTTACATTGCACACCGTTCTGAGTAGCGTGATAAAATCTCACCCTGTCCCACCCTGTCCTGCCTGGGACGTGAATCATCCCTTTGTCCAGTGTGTACACATGCTGTCTACGCCACCTGCTCATGGTCCTCTTAGTTATCAGATTGAAAAAGCATGGGAAATATAGGATTCAGCACTGTGGGCAGCCTCACGCATTCACTGGAGGTCTTAGAACATGTGTGTCACAGATAAGGGGGGACTATTGTATCACACTCAGTAACACACACAGTATTCTTGAGATTTAAAAAAGGATGCGGTGGCTCACGTATGTAATCCCAACACATTGGGAGGCAGAGGCAGGCAGATCACTTGAGTCCAGGAGTTTGAGACCAGCCTGAGCAACATGGAAAGACCCCTATCTCTACAAAAAATACAAATATTTGGGCGTGGTGGTGATGTGCACCTGTGGTCCCAGCTACTCACAAGGCTGAGGTGGAAGGATCGCTTAAGCCTGGGAGGTCCAGGCTGCAGTGAGCTGCCATGACACCTTCGCAATCTGCCTTGGTGACGGAGTGAGACCCTGTCTCCAAAAAAAAAAAAAAAAAAAAAAAGAAAAAAGAAAAGAAAAAAGATAACCCATGTTAAGATACTTAGTGTGGCATTTCTTACATCTGTGAGGATCAAAGGAGAGACTATAGATACAATCACTTAGCCCACTGTGTGAATAAACAGACAGTAGAGAATTGCTGTCATGAAAATTGCTCTGCCCTGCCCCTTCTGATCTCCACCTTGGCTGCTGGATTAAGAGTGGGAGGGTTGGAGTGAAGGCCTGTGCCTTCTTTTTTATTTTTTGAGTCAGGGTCTCACTATGTTGCCCAGGCTGGTCTCCAACTCCTGCGCTCAAGAAATCCTTCCACCTCAGCCTCCCGAATGGCTGGGATTGCAAGGATGAGCCCCCCGGCCGGACTCCCATGCCTTCTTCAAGCAGCCTGCCTGCCAGCAGCCCCTGCCTTATCTCAGGTCAAGGCTGGCTGGTGGCGCCATTTTGAATCTGGAACTGCAAAATGCCATTATCTTTTGCTACCTGGTGGGGAAGGCCTGCCCTCTCAGCACTCCTCCTCTTCTTCCCACCTGAGTGGGCTTCCTCCCAGCACCCTACCCAGATGGTCTCAGGACCTTCACAGCCAGACTGGGGCTGGGGGGTGAGCACACCCACCTGTCTAGGGAGCTGTTGAGAAACCAGCTCCTCCTTCCTCTCAGGGTGGAGGCAAAGGAAATATGCTTCTTTATATTTTGCTTCTCTTTCTTGGTGGCAGGGTGTGGACATTGGTGTAAAATTACAACTGAGAAGGCCCCCGCCCTGGGGTGAGGACTCCTGGGGCCCCACCCTGGGGAGGACATGAATTCATTTTGCAAGTCCTGACTCTCTATCTCTATTTCCTTTGGAAAGCGGGCTTCTAAATCTGGAACCTTCAGCCTGCATTCTTTGGATGTTCAGTCATGAAGGTGCAGTGATGATCATGATAATAGCAGTATTAACTCCCTCAGTTGATACTTATTTGCTAAGTGCTATGCCCCCAGTTTCTCATTTATCAGAAACTCCTGGAAGACATGTTAACAATGGCGGTTACCTGTAAGGAAACAAACTCTGGGTAGCTCCAGGTCCTTGCAGTTAATCATAACTGTTCCCGGGGGACTTTTTTAGTATCCACGCTCTGCCACTCTGTGATCTCAGGCATATGACTACCCCTTTCAGCCTCAGTTGCCTTACCTGTAAAATGGGGATAATAACAACACCTCCTAGGGTTCTTGTGAAGACTAAATGAGATAACATCAGTACTCCAGAAATGGAAGCTTCTATTACTATGGCCACCACTACTTTTACTATTACAAATATCCTGACATTAATATAATGACTACAATAGTGGACCCCAGGACACTGAGAAACCACAGAATGAAGGTTCACCTGGGACCCCTCTCACAGAGCTGGGATTCCTGAATTGTGCAAGTGGGTTTCACATATAGAAATGGAAGTCCAAGCATTAGGAAAAATAACTAATGCATACTGGGCTTAATACCTAGGTGATGGGTTGATAGGTGCAGCAAACCATCATGGCACATGTTTACCTATGTAACAAACCTGCACATCTGCATATGTACCCTGCAACTTAAAAATAAATAATAAATAAATAAATATGCCAGGTGCAGTGGCTCATGCCTGTAATCCCAGCACTTTGGGAGGCCGAGGCAGGTAGATCACCTGAGGTTAGGAGTTCGAGACCAGCCTGACCAACATGGTGAAACCCCGTCTCTACCAAAAATACAAAATTAGGCTGGGCGCGGTGGCTCATGCCTGTAATCTTAGCACTTTGGTAGGCTGAGGAGGGCAGATCATGTGAGGTCAGGAGTTCAAGACCAGCCTAGCCAACAGGGTGAAACCCTGTCTCTACTAAAATACAAAAATTAGCCGGGCATGATGGCAGGTGCCTGTAATCCCAGCTACTCGGGAGGCTGAGACAGGATAATCGCTTGAACCCAGGAGACAGTGGTTGCAGTGAGCGGAGATCATGCCACTGCACTGCAGCCTAGGGGACTGAGAGAGATTCCGTCTCAAAAAAAAAAAAAAAAAGTAACTCGGTGTGGTGGCACATACCTGTAATTCCAGCTACTTGGGGGGCCTGAGGCAGAATTGCTTGAACCTGGAAGGCGGAGGTGAGCTGAGATCATGCCATTGCACTCCAGCCTGGGCAAAAAGAGTGAAATTCTGTTTTAAAAAAACAGATTAAAAAATAAATAAATAAATAAAAGAAAAAAAAGAAAGAAAGAAATGGAGGTCCCAAGGTTAGGATCTTGGTGAGACCACTATGGGTTGCCAACTTATTCACTGGTTTATTTCAACATCAAGCCTATCTCTACTCCTGCACTGACCCACAGGAAAGCCACCAGTAGCCAAAGGTGGCTGTTGAGCACTTGAAATGTGCCAGTCTAAGCTGAGATGTTTTTTAAGTATGAAATACATATTGGATTTCAAAGACAGTACCCAAACAAAGTAAAAATATAAAAATACTTTAAAATATCAATTGCATTTTGAAATGATAGCATTTTAGATCTTCTGGGTAGGGCGATCAGCTTGTTCTGGTTTGTCAGGGACTTTACTGGTTGCAACACTGATAGGTCTGCATCCCAGGAGATACCTTAGTCCTGGGCAAACCTGGTCATTTGGTCACCCTACTATCGGGTTAAGTATATAATTGTCATTAATTTTACCTGTTTCTTTTTACTTTTTTTTTCTTTTTTTGAGATGGAGTCTTGCTCTGCCACCCAGGGTGCGATGGCGCAGTCTCGGCTCACCGCAACCACAGCCTCCTGGGTTCAAGTGATTCTCCTGCCTCAGTCTCCGGAGTAGCTGGGGTTACAGGCATGCACCACCATGCCCGGCTAATTTTTGTATTTTTAGTAGAGATGGGATTTCACCATGTCGGCCAGGCTGGTCTCGAACTCCTGACCTCAGGTGATCCACCTGCCTTGGCCTCGCAAAGTGCTGGGATTACAGGTGTGAGCCACCGTGCCTGGCACCTTTTTACTTTTTGAATGACACTTAGAGGGGAGCCTTAGCACATTAGTGGCTGTTGGGCGGAGTTGATCACATTTGCTCATTTCACCTAGCAGGGAGGAGGGCCCTGGGAGTCACACTGGCTGATAAGTTTTGATGGATGAGTGCGAATGGAGGAAAGTATGAGGAACTGAGGGCCTTGGTCGTGGGGGAGGAAGAGGTTACCAACTCTGCCTGGAGTGAATCTGCTGCTCAGGGGCCCACGGAATGGACAAAACCATGTCCCAGGCTTGGGGAGACCACGGGGACCCTTGGGCAAAATACAGCCTTTGGAGTTAGACCCAGGTTCAAGTCCAGCTTTGTCCAGTCATTACCAGCTGACCAATAGCAAATCTTATCACTTAATCACTAATGAGGGGAACAAGCATTCAAATATAGTCATGTGTACATAATGACATTTCTGTCAACAACAGACAGCACAACACATTACTGTTGTGTTTGTGGTGATGCTGGTGTAATCATAACCTTCTGTGCTGCAGTCCAGTAAAAATATAGCACAGGCCGGGGGCGGTGGCTCACACTTGTGGAGGGCCACCTCCACAAGTTGCAGTGAGCTGAGATCGCACCACTGCACTCCAGCCTGGGCAACAAGAGTGAAACTCCATCTCAAAAAAATAAAACAAACAAACAAACAAACAAACAAACACTTTTTATTGCCTGGGTGTGGTGGCTCACGCCTGTAATCCCAGCACTTTGGGAGGCTGAGGCAGGAGGATTGCTTGAGCCCAGGAATTTTAGACCAGCCTGGGCAACATGGCGAAACCCTGTCTCTACAAAAAATACAAAAATTAGCTGGGCATGGTGGTGCGCCCCTATAGTCCCAGCTACTCAGGAGGCTGAAGTGGGAAGATAACCTGAGCCCAGGGAGGTCGATAATAAAATTTTAAAAATTTTTAGTAGAGATGGGATTTCACCGTGTTGGACCAGGCTGATCTCGAACTCCTGGCCTCAGGTGATCTGTGCACCTCGACCTCCCAAAGTGCTGGGATTACAAGCGTGAGCCACTGTGCCCAGCCAACATACTTGTTTATTATCAAATATTATATACTGTACATAATTGTATGTTTTATATATGTATGTATGTGTGTGTGTGTATATATATATATATATATATATATATTTTTTTTTTTTTTTTAGACAGAGTCTTGCTCTGTCACCCAGGCTGGAGTGCAACGGCACCATCTTAGCTCACTGCAACCTCTGCCTCCTGGGTTCAAACCATTCTCCCGCCTCAGCCTCCCAAGTAGCTGAGATTACAGGCACTCGCCATCATGCCCCACTAATTTTTTTTGTATTTTTGTAGAGATGGGGTTCCACCGTGTTGGCCAGGCTGGTCTCGAACTCCTGACCTCAGGTGATCCGCCTACCTCAGCCTCCCAAAGTGCTGGGATTAGAGGCGTAACCCACCGTGCCTGGCCAATAAAAAGTTTTAAATACAGAAAAAAGCTTACAGAATAAGGATTTAAAGAAAGAAAGAATTTTTGTACAGCTTATAATGTGTTTGTGTTTTAAGCTGTTATTACAAAAGCCAAAAAGTCAAAGAATTAAAAAATATATAAAATTAAAAAATTACAGTAAGCTAAGGTTAATTTCTTTTTTATTTTTCTTTTTTCTTTTTTTTTTTTTTTTGAGACGGAGTCTCACTCTATTGGCAGGTTGGAGTGCAGTGGCGCGATCTCGGCTCACTGTAACCTCCACCTCCCGGATTCAAGCAACTCTCCTGCCTCAGCCTTCCGAGTAGCTGGGACTACAGGTGCGTGCCACCCCACCCAGCTAGTTTTTGTATTTTCAGTAGAGACAGGGTTTCACCACGTTGGCCAGGATGGTCTTGATCTCTTGACCTCGTGATCCACCCGCCTCAGCCTCCTAAAGTGCTGGGATTACAGGGGTGAGCCACCGTGCCCGGCCTCTAAGGTTAATTTCTTATTGCAGAAGAAAAAGATTAAAAAAATAAACTTAGTATAGCCTCAGTGTACAGTGTTTATAAAGTCTACAGTAGTGCACAGTAATGTCCTAGGCCTTCACAGTCACGTACCACTCACTCACTGACTCACCCAGAGCAAATTCCAGTGCTGCAAGCTCCATTCATGGCAAGTGCCCATACAGGTAGACTATTTTTATCTTTTTATTTATTTATTTAGTTAGTTAATTTTTGAGATGGAGTCTCTCTCTGTCTTCCAGGCTGGAGCGCAGTGGTGCGATCTTGGCTCACTGTAACCTCTGCCTCCTGGGTTCAAGCAATTCTCCTACCCAAGCCTCCCGAGTAGCTGGGATTACAGGCGCCTGCCACCATGCCTGGCTAATTTTTGTATTTTTAGTAGAGACCGAGTTTTGCCATGTTGGTCAGGCTGGTCTCGAACTCCTGATCTCAAGTGATCCACCCGCCTTGGCCTCCCAAAGAGCTGGGATTACAGGTGTGAGCCACCACGCCCCGCCCAATTTTATCTTTTATATCGTATTTTTATTATACCCTTTTAATGTTTAGATTCACAAATACTTATTGTAACAATTGCCTACAGTATCAATATAGTAACTTGCTGTACAGGTTTGTAGCCCAGGGGCAACAGGTGATCCCCTCTAACCTGGATGTGTGGTCGCCTGTACCATCTAGGTCTGTGTGAACACACTCTCTGGTGTTCCTATCATGACAAAATCCTCTAGCATTCCTGTTGTTAAGCAACACATGAGTGTAGTTACTGAGTCCCTATTGTGAGCCAGGGCCGGGTAATATATTCTCTCCCCCAGGCTGTTGTGACCATTTCCAGTGAGTCAGTTCATCTGTCTGAACAAAGCACTCTGGCATTGATTGTATGCAAATAACCTGTTACAGAATGGTTCTACCCATAAACTGGCTGGCCTCTTTTGAGCAACCCTCAAAGTTGCAAGCCCTTGCCCTCTGTCCTGGTCAACCTCTCTTCCTCAGAAGCTTGCCTGCTCTGAACTCCTCTCCCAAACCGGGTTAGGAGCCCCTTCTCTGGTATCAGGGCACCCTGTGCCTCTCTTACAGACTTGCATTATGGTTCTAACTGTGCTGTGTGGCCTGGGCAAGCCGCTCAACCACTCGGTTATTTCTTCTTTTTTTTTTTTTGAGACAGAGTTTCACTGTTATTGCCCAGGCTGGAGTGCAATCTTGGCTCACCACAACCTCTGCCTCCTGGGTTCAAGCGATTCTCCTGCCTCAGCCTCCCAAGTAGCTGGGATTACAGGCATGCGCCACCACGCCCAGCTAATTTTTTGTATTTTTAGTAGAGCTAGGGTTTTTTCATGTTGGTCAGGCTGGTCTCGAACTCCTGACCTCAGGTGATCTGCCCACCTTGGCCTCCCAAGGTGCTGGGATTACAGGTGTGAGCCACTGCACCCGACTTGAAAGAAATTGCTTTGCACTGTGCTTGGCACAGAGGAACAGCAGGTGTTCATTCAATGCTTGCTGTTGTAATTATTCAGGCTTTTATCAACAGAGGGCTGGCCTGAGACTCTGCCATATCTCAGAACCTAGCACAGAACCTGGATGAGTACAGAGTAAGTGCTCAATGTATGCTGTGGTAGGCAGAGTAATAGCCCCCAAAGACGTTCACATCCTAACTCTCAGGACCTGTGAACATTCCCTTAAATGGCAAAGGGGAATTAAGGTTGCAAACAGGATTAGGGTTCTTAATCGGCTGATTTTAAAATAGGGAGATCATGTTGGACTAACCAGCTGGCCCAATGTCATCTTAAGAGTCCTTAAAAGGGCCAGGTGTGGGGAGGTTGAAGCTGCAGGGAGCCGAGATTGAGTCATAGCACTCCAGTTTGGGAGACGGAGTGAGACAAAAAAAAGGCTGGGCAAGGTGGCTCATGCCTGTAATCCCATCACTTTGGGAGGCAGAGGCTGGTGGATCGCTTGAGGTCAGGAGTTCAAGACCAGCCTGGCCAACATGGTGAAAGCCCGTCTCTATTAAAAATACAAAAATTAGCGGAGCGTGGTGGCGGGTGCCTGTAATCCCAGCCACTCAGGAGGTTGAGGCAAGAGAATTGCTTGAACCCAGGAGGAGGAGGTTGCAGTGAGCCGAGATTGCACCACTGGACTCTAGCCTGGGCAACGGAGTAAGACTCCATCGCAGGAAAAAAAAAAAAAAGGAAGATGTGCCTATGGAGAGAGGACTGTCTGAGGTCTGAGAGACTCCACCTGACATTGCAGGCTTGCTTTTCTGTTTTTTTTTTTTTTTTTTTTTTTTTTGAGACGGAGTTTTGCTCTGTCGCCCAGGCTGGAGTGCAATGGCACCATCTCAGCTCACTGTAACCTCTGCCTCCCAGGTTCAAGCGATTCTCCTATCTCAGCCTTCCCAGTAGCTGGGATTACAGGTACGCGCCACCACACCTGGCTAATTTTTGTATTTTAAGTAGAGATGGGGTTTTACCATGTTGGCCAGGCTGGTCTCGAACTCCTGACCTCAGGTGATCCACCCACCTTGGCCTCCCAAAGTGCTGGGATTACAGGTGTGAGCCATTGTGCCCAGCCCATTGCAGGCTTTCACAGAGAAAAGGGGCAGGAGTCAGGCGCGCAGGCAGCTTCTGGAAGTTAGAAAACACAAGGAAACAGATTCTTCCCTACAGCCTCCAGAAGGGAATGCATCCTGCCAACACTTTGTTTTTAGCTCAGCAAGACCTGTGTGGGCCATCGAACCTACAGAACTGAAGGATAATACATTTGTGGGTGTGTGTTTTCAAAGACACTAAGTTTTGGTAACTTGTTACAGCAGTAACTGGAAACTAAGACATGCAACAAGCCTTATTGTTCATTTTTACCACCACTACTGGGCTGTTGGTTATGGTGGAATTACACTTTTCTCTTCCATTAGGCTGTGTGAACTCCTTGAGGTTGTGCAATACGTTTGTCTGATTTACTACTGGTTAGCAGGCTCTGAGAAGAATGGCTGGTACACAGGCGGAGCTCAATAAAAGCCCTTACTGAATTTTATTCAATCTATATGTGGATGAAGACCTCCGCCCCGCGCGCCCCTCCCGCAAGTCCCACTGAGGCCCGACCCATTCTGTCCGGCTCCCAGCCCCCGCGGGTCCCCCCACCCCGGGGCTGACCGGGTGATTCAGGCAGCCCTACATCCTGCTGGGGTGGTGGGCTTCGAGCGCGGGTCCCAGGACGCAGTGGGGCGCAGTGCCTGCGGCAGGCGGCAGGAGGCGAGCGTGGCCCAGGAACTCCCGCGGGAGGGTCGGGACGGGGCGGGGCTTGGGGGCGGGGCGGCTCAGCGCGCAGGCGCGGGGCCAGGCGCCTCGCGCGGCCAGGGGCGGGCGGCCGCAGAGCAGCACCGGCCGTGGCTCCGGTAGCAGCAAGTTCGAACCCCGCTCCCGCTCCGCTTCGGTTCTCGCTCCTTCGGCCCTTGGGCCTCCAAACACCAGTCCCCGGCAGCTCGTTGCGCATTGCGCTCTCCCCGCCACCAGGATGCCGGTAACCGAGAAGGATCTAGCTGAGGACGCGCCTTGGAAGAAGATCCAGCAGAACACGTTCACACGCTGGTGCAACGAGCACCTCAAGTGCGTGAACAAACGCATCGGCAACCTGCAGACCGACCTGAGCGACGGGCTGCGGCTCATCGCGCTGCTCGAGGTGCTCAGCCAGAAGCGCATGTACCGCAAGTACCATCAGCGGCCCACCTTTCGCCAGATGCAGCTCGAGAATGTGTCCGTGGCGCTCGAGTTCCTGGACCGTGAGAGCATCAAGCTCGTGTCCATCGGTGAGTTCTCTGGCCGGGCCCAGGCGCCCACTGTGGTGCCGACCCGCCCCCGCGCGTGCACCCCTGCGGAGGGCGAGGATTTCCCGCAGCGCGCCCCCACCTCGGAGATAAGGGGGAGTCGTCCCCAGGGGTGGGTTATAGGGGGCCTAGACCCCCTCCCCGGTGTCTTCCCCTGGGATGGGACCTGTTGTGATCGCTCCCCGCCATCCGCCCCAGCAGTGCACCTTTGGCTGGCTAAGGGTTGAGGGTTTGGGCTGGGGTCACAGGAGGAGAGGTGGAGTTGTTGCATTTCTCTACACCTGGGGCGCCCCTATGGGAGCTAGGGGACTAGAAACCCTCGTTCGCTGTCCCCGGGGGCGGGCCCTAGGGTCAGATGCTCCGCGGAGTGCTCTCCCTGCTGCGCCCAGGTTGGTGCTCTCAGAGGCAGCTGAATGGGCGTTGGCTCGGAGGCCGGGCCGTGAGACCTGAGGAGGAACCGTTCTCTGCGCCTGGGGCCTCCCTGCCCAGGTGGAGACAGAGACCTGGTACCTTCCCCTGCCGTCGCTGGAATGGGTGTGGGCCCCGAGGTTGCAAGGGTAGGCGCGGGTGTGTGTCCTCGCTCTCTCTGCTCCCAGCTCAGCTCTGGCCGCGCGCCGCAGGTTGAACCCACTCCTTGCTGCCGAAGTTATAATTTAGAGATGGTGGTGGTAACAGTAATTGCTGTCTTGTAGGGAGCCCAACTAGCGTCCACTGTGTACCGTCAGCCTTCTAAGTTATCTCCGTCCCTACGCATCCTGCCATCTGGGGTGAGGCTAGACCCATTTTACAGATAAGGGGGTCCGGAGGGTTAATTGACCTGTCCAAGGTCAGCAAGTAGGGCCCAGCTGAGAACTGAAGGAAGTGGGCAACAGTTAGAAGGAGGCTTTGTTTTCCTCTCCTCTCCCAAACCTACACCAGGGTCTTCCTGAAAGGAGGGAGGGAATTGGTGTCTCTTGCTGGACTGGGCCTTCTGGTCTGGGGAGGAAGAATAAGGATGAAGTCTCCCTTGTGGTCTGAGATAGTTGGAGGCTTCCCAGAGGGCCACAAGGCTACTGATAGTGTGGGCTGTGATGGTAGGGGCTGTGATGTGTGTGTGCATGTGGGCGTTTGTGCAGAGAACGTGTGTACACACATAGCATGTGTGTATAGCATGTGCATATGCAAAGAGTTTGCATGTACACGGAATGTATGCAGAGAATGTGTATCCACCTACACGTGTGTATGGGTGTGTGTATGTGTGTGTGTGTATGTGGGTGGGTGGGTGTGGGTTGGGGCAGAGGAGGGTTCTGGGTCTGGATCTCTTCCTAAGGAGAACCAGGGACTGGCCCTGGCCTGTGATTTGGGTCTCTTCCTGAGGAAACCAGGTCACTATAGTGACCCTAGTGACAGGAAGAAAGGGAGATGGGTGTGGCTGCCAGGACTTTCTCCAGTGGAAAAGGGATTCCCTCTAGGCTGAGCCTCCCCTGGGCCTTAGGGCCTCACCCTTCCCTTCCCCCACACCTGTCCTGGCAGGTAAGGCTGCTTCCTGCTTCCTGGGCCCAGATGGCAGCCGCACCACCCAGCTGATCTCCAGCAGCCCTCCCCCTCCCCAAGGGTGGCTTCCCTGCAGAAGAATCTGCATGGCACGCTGTTGTCTTCTTTCTGGGGTCCATCTCCTGTACTGGGGAGGGAGAACCTCAGAATCTCCTGGAATTCTTTACCATTCAGAAACCAGCCTCCCCTCTGAAGAATCCCAAGGCCCAGCTGGGCTCAATTTGGATCTGTTCTTTGTTTTAAAAATGTGTATTTATTTAATTAACTGAATAAAGAAACTTAAAGTAAACCAGAAGTATCCAAATACGACATGAAATCTCTAAAACAACAACAAAACCAAACCAAACCGCAGCACTAGCAAATCACAGACTGCCTGATCTACCCACTGTTTACAGAGGCAGCAGCTACTTCCAGCACTGTCTCTCATCAGTGCCCGGGGCTGTGGGTCTCATTCTAGATTTTGTCTACATTTTTTTACATGGTTCTCCTGATTCCCTGCTCCCCCTCCCCACCACCGCCCCGCCTGGAGATGGAGCCTTGCTCTGTCTCCAGGCTGGAGTACAATGGTGCCATCTCTGCTCACTGCAACCTCCACCTCCCGGGTTCAAGCGATTCTTCTGCCTCAGCCTCCTGAGTAGCTAGAATTACAGGCACATGCCACCACGCCCGGCTAATTTTTGTATTCTTAGTAGAGATGGGGTTTCACCATGTTGGCCAGGCTGGTCTCGAACTCTTGACCTCATGATATGCCCGCCTCGGCCTCCCAAGTGCGGGGGTTACAGCCCTGAGCCACCGCGCCCAGCCCGGTCCTCCTTTTATTTTCGAATCCACTCAGGCCCTAGCTACTCCCATTGTCCCGACGTTCCAGGGTTAGTTAGCTTCCCTTCCTCTGTGCTGGGCCTGTGGGCTGTTGGCAGCTTCTTCCTGTTCCTACCACAACTTGCATTCTATTTTTTTCCTTTTTAATGATTTCTTGGATCATATTCCCCAGAGTGACATTCCTGGGTTAAAGGGTGTGACCACATTTATGACTTGTATCATTGGCTGCCTAATTGCTCTCCCGAGAGATCTTGCAACAAACAGGTTTTCCAGCCTCTGGAGACCACAGAGAGCCCTGGCAAGTGCCAGGACTGCTGTGGGGATAAAGCAGGAGGCTTCTTCCCTAAGCTCTTGAGGCTGTTGTGGGTAATGGTCCTTCATCCTTCAAGGCAAAGTTACCTCCAGCTTGGACTAAGGTTCATATATTCACTGCTTAGGTTGTGTTACATTGTGCTGACAATGACACTAGCTTCAATTTGGGGGCACCTACTGGGTGTTAAGTGTGTTCTGTTGATCACCCCATTGAATTTTCATGCTAATCATTGATTGACAGCAACTACTGCCCTATCTCTAATGATCTGCTTCTGCAAGTCACTTAGAGAGTTCAGGGCTTAACACTGTCCTGGGCATGTGTTGCTTAGAAAATGGCGCCTGTTAATTAAATAAGGTGCTGTCTAATAATTATCTCAAAAGTAATGCCAGGGCTGGATGCCGTGGCTCACGCCTGTAATCCCAGCACTTTAGGAGGCCAAGGTGGGTGGATCACCTGAGGTCAGGAGTTCGAGACCAGCCTGGACAACATGGTGAAACCCTAGCTCTACTAAAAATACAAAAATTAGCTGGGCATGGTGGTGCACACCTGTAGTCCCAGCTACTCGGGAGGCTGAGGCAGGAGAATTGCTTGAACCCGGGAGGTGGAGGTTGCAGTGAGCCGAGGTCTTTGTGTAACTGCACTCCAGCCTGGGAGAGCGAGACTCTGACTCAAAAAAAAAAAAAAAAAAAAAAGTCATGCCCGAATGGTTTGCACACCGAAGGGACGTTCAAAATTAGGGGAGAACAGCCTGGTTGTTTGTTTCTGTTTGGTTGATCATACTCTTGCCATGGTTAGTATTATTATCTTTATTTAAAGATGGGAAACAGGAGTGAAGCCACTTGTGGAGGTGACCCAGCTAGCTAGTAAATGGTGTCTGAAACCCAGGTCTGCCCAGCTGTTGAATTGGAGCCTTAACTGACTTGCCTTCCAGTTTCAGAGATGAGTAAAATACAGCTTTTCTCTCCACATCAGAGGGTCCCTGCAACACTAGGTTTGCAAGTCTTAGGTGTTAGGGTGGTGGCTGGATACCCACACTCTGAACCTCTGACCTTGGACAAAATAGGGATGTCAGGGCCTTCCATGATTGGCAGGATGAATCCTCTGGGCTGTGATGAAGGTCTCACAAGTTGAGAGTCAGCCGGGAATTAAGTGGGATCAGTTTGCCTCTTGTGTTTTCCTCATTGTGTTTTGGTTGGTTGGTTGAGATTTCCTACTACCCAATGGATGATGTTTTATTCCATCGTCAGGGAAGGTATCATTGAATGAATACAGGGTTTTGTATGCTTTGGATAAGACCAGACAGTTGTGGAGTCATTAGAATTGTGTACATGCCTCCAGCTCTGAGATAGGTGGTGTTTCAACAGCTGCCAGAGGACTCTGGCTTTTCTGCCTAGAATTCACTGAAAGACAACCCTGGCTATTGATTCACATTTGTGGTTCATTGTAAGGTAGGCCCCTAGGCGCCATCCAAAAGTTGAAAATTTCCTTACGTTTCTTGTTATGTGATGGGCAGTTCATAGTGAGGACTCAGTGTCTTTAATTCCAGCTGTTTGCCAGGAGTTGGCAGTTTTATTTACTTGTTTTTCCAAAAACCTTTCTGACATGGGGCAGTCCAGCCAGCTGGGAGGAAAAGGGGTCTCTCAGCCCAAGAATGATGATCAAGGCCTAGAAGTTTGGGTGGTGTGTTTTGTTTTGGGCCTTTAGAGAAAGGAATTGTTTCCTTTTCAGAGGATGTGGTCTAACCCTAAAGTTTACTTGACTGACTTAAACCAGGCCAGCGCCAGAGCAGGCAGGGTGCGTGTTCCCAAGACTTCGGGTCACTAGGCAGCTTCCAGGGTGGTGGGTCACTGGTCCAGTCAGCTCCTTTTCCTTCCTCTCCCTTTTGTGCTACTACTACCAAAATAATTTCCAAATAACCTTAAGTTCTGCTCTTTCTTGCATGTCTAGCAGATGCCAGCATGTCTTTTGGGTAGTACAGAGAGTGCTTAAAAAGTAGCAAAGTTGGCCGGACGTGGTGGCTCATGCCTGTAATCCCAGCACCCTGGGAGGCCAAGGTGGGTGGATCACCTGAGGTCTGGAGTTTGAGACCAGCCTGACCAACATGGAGAAACCCCATCTCTACTAAAAATACAAAATTAGATGGCCGTGGTGGTGCATGCCTGTAATCCCAGCTACGTGGGAGGCTGAGGCAGGACAATAGCTTGAATCCAAGGGCAGAGGCTGTGTTGAGCTGAGATCATGCCATTGCACTCCAGCTTGGGCAACAGGAGCAAAACTCCATCTCAAAAAAAAGTAGCAAAGTAGCATGCTTTGTCAGAATTATTAATAACAAGTTGTGGGCCATGTACAAGGTGGCACATTAGCATTCAATGTCACTTGTGTAGTAGTTAAGAGCAAGGATTCTTGGTTCAAATCCCACTTGCCACTAAGTAGCTATTAGAAACTTCTGTGCCTTGGTTTCCTTATCACTAAAATGGGGATAATAACTACCTTCTTAAAAGGCTGTTATAAAGATTAAACAAGTTAATAATTTTTAAAGTGCTTGGCACAGTTTATGGTACATAGTAAGTGCTCTGTGAATGCCTGTTAATTAAATAAGGCACTGTTTAATAATCTCAAAAGTCATGCCGGAAAGGTTTGCACACTGAAAGGGCATTTGAAATCAGCGCGCTCTGGGGAGAACAGCTTGGTTGGCTAAGGTTGATCCTACTTGCTAAAATACGGCTATGGACTGCCTAGAGGGTGTCACCTCCTTGAAAGGGGCTGCCCCCTGCTATGTTATGGCTGCCTCCAGGGCCCATTCACACCAGCTTTGTTTCCAAGCTGGACAGGGAGCTCCAGGCGTCTGGTCATTCCAGCCTCCCACCCCTTTCAGGAATCTCTGGGCCAAATCACTTCCAGATGGTGGTTGGGCCTCTGTGGAGTTCTCCCAGCAACGGCGGAGCCAGCATGCCAGTCGGCAGCCGCCTTCGTTCTTGGAGAGTCTGAGCTAAAGGAGGGCTTTGATTTGGAGCCAAATTGTGTCTCTTGGGTCCTGGTTTTGTGCTGTGAGGCAGGTACCATGGAGTGGGCTGCTGGCTTAGTTGAGGATGGCTGCCCTGCTCCTTAGGGGAGCAGATACCCAGGGCCTGGAGCCTTTAGGCCCTGCCTCCAGTAGCTCCATGGTCAGGGTGCCAGTCACCTTGCGTTTTCTTTTTCTTTTTTTTTGAGATGGAGTCTTGCTCTGTCGCCCAGGTTGGAGTGCAGTGGCGTGATCTCGGCTCACTGCAACCTCTGTCTCCCGGGGTCAAGCAATTCTCCTGCCTCAGCCTCCTGAGTAGCTGGGATTACAGGCGTGCGCCACTATGTCTGGCTAATTTTTGTATTTTTAGTAGAGATGGGGTTTCACCTTGTTGGTCAGGCTGGTCTCGAACTCCCAACCTCGTGATCCACCTGCCTCGGCCTCCCAAAGTGCTGGGATTACAGGCGTGAGCCACCGGACCCAGCCAACTTTGCTACATCAGTTTCCAGGTAGCATATCCTAGGCAAAACTGGATGTAGCCTAGTGATTCAGGGCCTCGGTCTGAAGCTAGACTGTCTGGATTCTAATCCGCACTCTGCCTGATACCAGCTGTGCAACTCTAGTCCACTGCTTTAACCTTTCTGTGCCTGCTTCCCTGTCTATAAAATGCAAGAGCAAAATAGTTGCTATCTTAGAGTTGCTGGGAGCATTATATTTGATGAGGTTAAGTTATAGCACAGTGTTGTCATTATCACTATGAATATTGTGCTTTTGGACCCAAGTCCAGGACTTTGTCTTGTCTTCTGTCTATTCTCTGGCCAGTCCAGATATTTTTGGAATCCTATTGCTGTCATCTGGTGTGTTAGCTGTTCCCTTTCTCCAAGTTCAGAACGTCTGATGAAGATGTCTCCCAAGATCCTTTCTTCCTTTCCTCATTCAACAAATATATGAAAGCCCATCTCTGAACCAGGCCCTGTGCTGGGTGCTAGGACAACAGGAATGAGAGGATCATGTCCTTTGCTTGCCTCAGATACTGCTCAGAGGAGAAGAGACAAGCAAGCAGGGAGAGCCATGCAGAGGAGAGCTGCTCAAACCTTCAGGCCCATGCTCATCACCTGGGGACTTTGTTAAAAATGCAGGTCTGATTGAGTAGGTGCTGGGGTGTAGGCTGGGATTCTGCGTTTCCAGTCAGCTTCAGATCCTGCTGTCTGTGCACCGTGCTGTAAGTAGCAAGGATCTAGGTGCCAAGCCCTCTGAAAAGGAGGAGCACCTGCCCCTAGGCTGGGTATGGGTAATCTAGAAGGTTCCCTGGAGGAAGGGACCTTTCAGCTAAGACCTAAAGCGTGACTAGAATTAGGCAGGCAAACAGACATTTACACAGGAGCAGACGAGTGTGTCAGTTTAGAGGTCTTGATGCTCAGGTCAGAGGGGCAGTGGAGGGGTGGGCAGGGCTGGTTTACCAAGGGCTTTCTGAAACTGGAGGCTGCCTATGGGGTATGCTCCTTGAGTTTGTTTGTTTGTTTTTTTTTTTGAGTTGGAGTTTCAATCTTGTTTCCTAGGCTGGAGTGCAGTACAGTGGCATGATCTCGGCTCACTGCAGCCTCCATCTCCCGGGTTCAAGAGATTCTCCTGCCTGAGCCTCCCAAGTAGCTGGAATTATAGGCATGTGCACACCTGGCTAATTTTGTATTTTTAGTAGATATGGTGTTTCACCATGTTGGTCAGGCTGGCCTCGAACTCCTGACCTCAGGTGATCCACCCACCTAGCCTCCCAAAGTGCTGGGATTACAGGCGTGAGCCACGGCATCCAGCCCCTTGTTTAGTGTAGGGTAGTAAACCCAGCCAAAAGGGGTCGTTTATCTCAGGGGTCTCACCTGTTGCTCCAGTCATTCCTATTAGCAGAAAGTTTTGTATGTGCCCCTTCCTCATATATATATATATTTATATATGTATTTATATATATTTATAAGTTATAAACATACTCTACTGTCAATTTGTATATTAAATATTAGTAAATCTTAGTTTCTTTTTAGATGACAAATCCAAATATAAAATCTGTTTTTTTCCTGGCTCTAACGGATTATCTTATGTCCCCTTGGGGTGGACATACCTCTTTTGGAGGCTCCCGTGAAGGTTTGTGTTTCTACATTTAGTTTTTTTCTTTTTTCCATATTCTTGTTATTCTGCTTTTAATTTTCATCTTTGAGTATTCTAAATTAAGGAGCTGGATCTGTAATTGTAACACCTTCCCCCAACAATAAGTTTAACTAATGAAAATATTCAATGGAATGAGCCATTTTAATCTAAATGGGGCTATTTCCTGCTTTTATAATGATTACAGTTGCTTTTCATGACATTCTACTAGAAGCCATCTTACATTACTGTTGTAAATCTAGTTATTCATTAAACGGGCACAGTAATCCCTAAATTGGCTCAGGTTATTGTATAATAAACAACAATACTTTCTTCTTCAGGAGCTTGAGAAGTGATCTTGTATTTTTAAGGTGCCTAACTAACTTTTCATGGGAAACTGAGTCCATGTACTGGGAAGAAAGCTTTTTGGGGAAAATGATTAGAAAACCAAATGGGTCTCTTTATGACTGAAGTGATGAACCAGCAGGTGAGAGTAGGTATAGATGGTACAGAGGACGGAATTACTGGGTATTTTAATCAGGCCCACTTAGTATCACAATTTATTATTCTATTCTATTTTTATTATTATTTTTTGAGATGGAGTTTCGCTCTTGTCATCCAGGCTGGAGTGCAGTGGCGCTATCTCAGCTCACTGCAACCTCCGCCTCCCGGGTTCAAGAGATTCTCCTGCCTCAGCCTCCCAAGTAGCTGGGATTACAGGCATGCGCCATCACACCTGGATAATTTTTTTGCATTTTTAGTAGAGATGAGGTTTCTCCATGTTGGTCAGGCTGGTCTCGAACTCCCGATCTCAGGTGATCCGCCCGCTTTGGCCTCTCAAAGTGCTGGGATTGCAGGTGTGAGCCATCGCGCCTGGCCAGTGTCAGGATTTATTCTGTGGGAGGGGAGGAGGACAAAGAAAAATACTGAGCTATGTTTGAAGCTCCTGCCCTCTAAGAGCCTTAGAGCAGCTGACTTAAATGTGTTCCTTTGATAAACTGTAGATGGTTGTTGTAACTCTTCTGCAAACTGTTTATTTTTAAAAACAATTTGATGAGATTTTACTTATGCCCATTGTTTGAGTACAGCATTTACCAAAGAACAATTTTGGCCAGATCCCATGCAGTAGAATGCCCTTGGCCAAAATTTTCTTGTACTATAAGCAAAGAAGCAGTTTGGTTTTTCACTTAGGCAAGACTGCCTATCAGACTGAGTTATTGTGACAGAGCCGCTGACTCTCTCCCTTTCCCCATTATCAAAATCTGGCTTTTCTAAGCAGCGCATGTAAAAAGCTTGGCAAGGAGGACCCTTGTCCTCCTACATATTATTCTTTGGCTCTTCTTGGTACCAAGAATACATACAAATAATGCTGGCTGTGTACTGAATGTTGAGGTGTGCACTGTTGAGGATATTCATCCTCTAATATAACATCTAGTATTTCTCACACCTTCCGTCTGCTGAGCATTGGTCTATCTTACTTATACTACTTCTAATCCTCGTGAACTCTGCAAAACTAGTGGCTTTACATCTATGAGAAAAGAAAAGAACTTTTATCGGAAGAAGGTGAGTCCTTTTAAAGTATCAGGCCTGGAAAGACATTAAATGAGACAGCGAACACATCCTGCTACCCTCTTTGAGCTATGTATTCATTGACTTTTTTTTTTTTTTTTTTTTTTTTTTGAGGCAGAGTTTTGCTTTGTCACCAGGCTGGAGTGTAGTGGTGCAATCTTGGCTCACTGCAACCTCTGCCTCCGGGGTTCAAGTGATTCTCATGCCACAGCCTCCTGAGTAGCTGGGATTACAGGCGCCTGCCACCTTGCCTGGCTAGTTTTGGTATTTTTATTTTTATTTATTTATTTTAAGACAGGGTCTCACTCTGTCACCCAGGCTGGAGTACAGTGGCGCGATCTTGGCTCACTGCAACCTCTGCCTCCCGGGTTCCAGCGATTCTCCTGCCTCAACCTCTCCAGTAGCTGGGATTACAGGCGCCTTGGCACCACAGCCAGTTAATTTTTTGTATTTTTAGTAGAAACGGGGTTTCAGCATGTTGGCCAGGCTGGTCTCGAACTCCCAACCTCAGGTAATCCGCCTGCTTTGGCCTCCCAAAGTGCTGGGATTACGAGTGTGAGCCATTGTGCCCCGCCTATGTATTCATTTCTTAAAATTGGTTGCTGGCTAGGTGTGGTGGTACATGCCTGTCCTATAATCACAGCACTTTGGAAGGCCGGTGCTGGAGGATCTATTGAGGCCAGGAGTTTAAGACCAGCCTGGGTGAGATCACATCTCTACAAAAAAAAAAAAAAAAAAAAAAATTATCTGGATGCAGTGGCACAAGCCTACATAGTTGTAGCTGCTTGGGAGGCTGAGTTGGGAGGATAGCTTGAGCCCAGGAGTTTGAGTCTGCAGTGAGCTATGATTGCGTCACTGCACTCTAGCCTGGGCGACAGAGTGAGACCCGTTTCTAAAACAAAGAAATTGCTATTGTCACAATTAGTTATAAATTAATCTAATAATGCTGCACGCAGTACCATAATCCACACCCTATAGCTTAACGATGGATGGCCAACCACTAATCAATGCTATTTCTGTACGCCAATGAGAATTCCTGACAAAAAACTTTGTATCAGCCCCACTCCCTGTCTGTCCCCTCTTTTGCTTTTAAAAACCTGCTTGTAACAAAGGCCAAACAGAGCTCATATCCAAGGTTACTTGGGCCTGAGTCTTTCAGGCAGCTGTCTTCACTTTGGCTCAAGTAAACTCTTTAATAGTTTAAATTTTAAGCCTCTGCCTCTTTCTTTTAGGTTGACATCTGTTTCCATTTTACAGATGAGAAAACTGAGGCTCAGCTCTGCCTCACTTTACAGGTCAGGCTTAATCCCTAATCCCTGCCTGCATCATGCTGTAAAGGACTTTTGTGTCAAAACTGAGTTTCACACTCTGTAAAGTAAAATAGATATATTGTAGTGAGAGGGTGTAGAAGAGACTGTTTTCTGCTTCTGTGGATTTTTTTTCTTCCTGTTTTGCTTTGCTCCAAACTTTACTCATTTGCGCTTGATTCATGTGAAACTGAAATTTCCTTCTACAGAACAAAACTTTTTGGGGGCTACTTACCATATCTTTTCCCACACCGTGGAGCTCTGACTGGGACCTTTTCCAGTTTTTGGAGACATTGCTCCAGTTCTTTCCCTGCCTTTGGTTTCCAGGGGGCAGTAATGTCACCGCAGGTGTGGACAGTAGGGACCAGCTAAAGGTTGCTTTGGAGGAGGTGGGCAGGGCTTTTGTTTGTGAGGTCTAGAAACCAGAGGTGAGGAAGGAGGTGTCCCTGGAACTCCCCCTGGCTGCAGGGCTCACAGCACACACCATGACACCACAGGGGTGTGTGTGTGTGTGTGTGTGTGTGTGTGTGTGTGTGTGTGTGTGTGTTGAGGGGAGTGTTGTTGAGAGCCAACTATGCCAGGAGATCCTTGGTGACAGCGGACATAGGCACAGCTATGCTCTGTCAGGAATGAGTTCACCCACACCCTTTTCTTCTGCTACCTTGTTTAACTGGTGGGAGGGTGTGCTGGGTTGTGTTTGCTGGTGAGCCCAGCAACTGCACCCTTCTTTCCAGGCCTAGCACCCAGCCTTTATCAGTCTCATGGCCCTGGCACAAGTGGGCAGCCTGCTTCCAATCCAAGCAGGCAGCTTTCCGCTCATCTGCAGGTAGCCTCGTGCTGTGGCAGCACAAAGTTGTGTGAGCCAGAGCTGAACTTGTGATCCCCACGGGCATCTCCTGAGGCGCACCTCTCCTGAGAGAGAAAGCTGGTCCGTCCAGCCCATTCAGGGCTCAGCCTCCCCAGCCGTCGCAGGGCTGGCTTGCTGAAAGGTCTGGGTGTTAACACAGCACTCCTGTTCTCTCTCTCTGAAGGCCCTTTATGCTGGCATGAATTCCTTTTCTCATAGAGATCTGAAAGCTCTTTTGACTAAATGGGTCACCTTTCTGAGTATTTTCATAAGGCTGTCAGCCTTTACCATGCCAGACAAGTTTTCTGGAATTTCCTTTCCAGAAAAAAAAAAAAAAAAGGCTACTAAAGAGGTTGGAGTTATTTGGAACACAGGGTGGAATTCTGGCATTCGAACTATAGGGAAACGGGTGGGGATTTGTGGCAGGCACTATGTAAATTTGCCGCAAGCCCATAAATTCAGACTTTAAGATGAAAGATGGCAAGCAGCAGTCAGCTTTCCTTCAACAGGCAGGAACGGTGCTACCTTCCGCCTGTGCTGAGTGTGACTGAGGGAGAGGCAGGCCTCCTAGGGAGGCCGGGGCAGGAAAGGTTTCTTGGTGGCTAAAATAGGATTTCTCAGTTTCCCCCGTGTCCCAAGAAAATAAGTTCTTATCATGCTTGTACCACACTTCTTGTGCGTATCACCCTGGTTTCCCTGCACCTCCTTGAAGTGGTTTATCAGATTCCAGGGACACAAGAATGGTTTGGCATCTACAGCCTATTGTGGGAGCAGGGGCCCGGCCTGGTGCTTCTTGCCCAGGAACAAACTGATTGTTCCCTTGGTGTGGGGTAAAGCAGGCCAGAGTATGGGACCAGGCCCTGCCTCCCAGGGGACCTGAGGTGCAAGGTCTTTGAGCTGAGACCCTAAAAGGCCTTTGTGAGTCTGTAGTGCTATCAGTTGAGCAGAGTTCAGGGTTCTGTTTACAAGATTCCCTCTCAGCAGAGGCAGGGAGGGGTACCTGCTGGAAGACCAGGAATGTGCTGCTGCTGGGATGGGGGCCCTCGGTGGAGCTTCTAGCCATCTGGAGGCAGAACCCAGAATGTGTTCTGAGTGAGGCGCCTTGGCAGAGTTGGCTTGAAAGCACCTAGGCAGTGGCTTGTCACATTCCTTATCTCCACCAAAGGAGGCAAGCTAGCACCTGGGGGATGGCTCTCCCATCAGGGAGTCCTTTACAGGATGTGATCCAGGTGTCACATTACACTTCCTGCAGGTGTGCACCTCTTACCTAATTGTCTCTCCTATCCCTTTTTCTCAGCACTATTGTCTGACATCCATGGGGAGTCACACCCAAAGTTGGGCATGAGGTCCTCTCCTGGGCACCCAACACCTTGTTTTTTTGTTTTTGTTTTTTTTGGAGATAGAGTCTTGCTCTGTCACCCAGGCTAGAGTGCAGTGGTGCCATCACAGCTCGCTGCAGCCTCGACCTCCTTGGCTCAAGCGATCCTCCCACCTCAGCCTCCCACGTAGTCAGAATTACAGGCACACACACCAACACTGCTGGCTAATTTTGTATTTTTTGTAGATTCGGTTTGCTATGTTGCCCAGGCTGGTCTTGAACTCCTGGGCTCAAGCGATCTGCCTGCCTCAGCCTCCCAAAGTGTGGGGATTACAGGCATGAGCCACCTCACTTGGCCACACTGCCCTCTTACTGAGCCGTATTGGTGTTCTAAATGGCCTTCTTACTCTCCCACGGGTCATCAGTGCTCCAGGGGCAGGCGCTGTGTCTCTTGTTTACCTCTGTGGCTCTGACCTTGGCACTTAATAGGAATTTAATAAATAACTTGTTAAATAAACAGTCTCTAGTATAATAGCTTGAGTATTAAGACTGGTACATTGACTTATTTGCAATTCAGAAAATGCAAAACAGTGGTTCTTTGCTGCCTTTAGTGAAGTGGGAATTATATGTAGTAGACAACTGGGTCTGGGGTCCCAGTGGAACACTTCGTTTTTGGACTGTGATGCTGAACTTAAAGAACTCAGCAGTTCATGTTCATTCTCTGGACATCTGTGATTTGCTTCAACAACTGTTAGAGAACAAGGCCTTTTCCAGGTGAAGCTCAGAAAATGAATTTAATAGGAAATTACTGAAAGTCACAATCATAGTAACAGTTTCATTAGTTACAGTGAATATAGAGAGAGCCCATACAAAGTACCAGGCATTGTGATAAACGCTTCTTACTAATAGCTATACAAAACATCATTGCAATTCTGAGAAGTAGTTATTGTTGTAATTCCCGTTATGCAGATGAGAAAACTGAGGCACACCCAGATTGGCCAGTGAGTGTGTGGTTATTACTCAGATTCTTGTCTGAGATTTTAATCTTCATATTTTACTGCTTTCCCAAGGAAAGCCATCAGCTCAGCAAGTCTTTGAAATTTGCTTCTTTTTTTTTTTTTGAGACAGAGTCTTGCTGTGTCTCCCAGGCTGGAGTACAGTGGCGCAATCTTGGCTCACTGCAACCTCCGCCTCCTGGGTTCAAGCGATTCTCTTGCCTCAGCCTCCCGAGTAGCTGGGAATATAGTTGCATGCCACCACACCTGGCTATTTTGTATTTTTAGTAGAGACGGGGTTTCACCATGTTGGCCAGCCTGGTCCTGAACTCCTGATCTCGAGATCCACCTGCCTCGGCCTCCTAAAGTGCTGGGATCAGGCTTGAGCCACCGAACTCGGCCTTTTTTTTTTTTTTTTTTGAAATGATGTCTCCTTTTGTTGCCCAAACTGCAGTCTTGGCTCACTGCAACTTCTGCCTCCTGGGTTCAAGTGATTCTCCTGCCTCAGCCTCCCGAGTAGCTGGGACTACAGGCACGTGCCACCATGCCCAGCTAATTTTTGTATTTTTATAGAGACAGGCTAAGCTTGTCTTGAACTCCTGACCTCAAGTGATCCACCTACCTGGCCCTCCCAAAGTGCTGGGATTACAGGAGTGAGCCCCTGTGCCCAGCCTGAAATTCAATTCTAATAAATTTTTATTGGAGCATTAAAAAGTTACATCTGTAGTTGTTACTCTTTGCAAAAAATTGCAAGAACACAGAAAAATATAAAGAAAAAAATCACCTGTGAAGAATTTTAATGAATCTTTTTCTACTTTTAGGGGATTTTGCTTACAGCTGCCTTTTAATCAGAATAGGGAAGAAAGAGATTCCTTTCTCAGGAAAAAAGTGACTGTGGACTGGAAATGCTTTGTGAAATAATTTTGGTCATACTGATGGTTATAACAAGATTCGTCTTCAATTGAGTTATTGCTGAGCTTTGTCCAACATTAAAATGAAAGGTCTCATTTGAGTCTCATTGTGGTTTGCAAGTCTCCCTTGGTCTAGAAATATGTTTGGTCAACCACGGCATGGAGGTGTTCCAGCCACTTTCTGTCTCTTAAAAGTTTTTAGGACCTACTTTTATTGGGACTGCCAGGGTCTCTTAATAATAGTTATTATACTTGGTAACTATTGTGACCTTGTCTCATAGGCAGCCCAGCATAGAAACTCATTTAGCTTTTAGTTGCTCAGCTCCATTAGCTGTTTAAACATGTTTCAGATGTGAGCCTGACAATGTACTTGGGCAGCTTGGTTCACCCTTGACTGCCTGGGAACTTTGAGAAGTCTGAAAATTATATGTAGCCCTAAGGTCTTCATGGTATTGTTTTTTTGGAGGCACCATTTCCCAATAGCCCTGAGGACACCAGGCCCATGAAGCCATCCTGTCTCAGCCAGGAGGCAGAGGAGATGGAATGGAAACCACTTCTGGATACAGATCCAGCCACTTCCGGAGTGCTTCAGAGCATGGGTCAGATAGACCTTGCTGCTTTCTAGCTGGCAGACTTGGGGAAGGTTGTTTGACCTCTCTGAGTTTGTGTCCCAGACTATAGCAGTACCCCCTTACTGGCGTTATCGAAGATAAAATGATATAATCCTGATAAATCACTTGACCCAGTCCTTGGAGGTGGTGGTGGGGGCTGGGGTAAGTGCCCCATGAATGGTGGTCATCATGCTCCCCACCAACCTCCTTTCTCTCTTCTCCTTTCCCGTCTTTCACACCCCTAATTCCTGGACCTGGGGGTGGTCTCTCCAGACTAGATGAAGAAGCAATCTAATTATCTAGGAAGGTGAAAGGTGGTTGGGAATACTCCCAGAAATAGGCCAAAGATACCGCCTCCTACCTAACAGACTCTTTTTAGAAGAAGAGGCAACCTGGGTTTTTGGATAACTGTTGAGTAGGAACCATCATGAGTGGCATTTCTGCATTTCTGGTCTTCTGGCCAAGCCTCCTTTTTTTTTTTTTTTTTTTTTTTTTTTAACCTTGAGACAGTCTTGCTTTGTTGCCAGGCTGGATTGCAATGGTGCAGTCTTGGCTCACTGCAACCTCCATCTCCCAGGTTCAAGCGATTCTCCTGCCTCAGCCTCCTGAGTAGCTGGTACTACAGGTGCCGCCACTATGCCCAGCTAATTTTTGTATTTTTAGTAGGGACGGGGTTTCATCATATTGGCCAGGATGGTCTCAATCTCTTGACCTCATACTCTGCCCGCCTCGGCCTCCCAAAGTGCCAGAATTACAAGCGTGAGCCACTGAGCCCAGCCTTCCTTTTTTTTTTTTTTTTTTAAGTAGCTCCATTGCCCTCCCTCACCCTTTCTTTTGTCTCCTGTAATGTCCTTCCCTTCCATTTCTTTTTTTTCTTTTTTCTTTTCTTCTTTCTTTCTTTCTTTTTTTTTTTTTTGAGATAGGATCTCATTCTGTGGCAAAGGCTGGAGTGTAGTGGCACATTCACGGCTCATTGCAGCCTCGACCTCCAGGACTCAGGTGATCCTCACATCTCAGCCTCCCGAGTAGCTGGGACCACAGGCACACACCACCACACCCGGCTAATTTTTGCATTTTTTGTAGAGGTAGTGTTTTGCCATGTTTCCCAGGCTGGTCTTGAGCTCCTGGGCTCAAGTGATACTCCCTCCTCAGCCTCCCAAATTGCTGAGATTACAGGCATAAGCCTCTGCACCTGGCCTTCCCTCTCATTTTTTTTTCTTTCCTGGTTTTGCCTGTCCCAGACCACCCTCTTGGAAAGATGCTCTCCCAGCAGCGGCAGTAAGGTCCTGGTCTTGTGTTTGCTCCTGGGCCTGAGTCTTGGCTTTGCTGCTTTGTAGCTAGCTGGCTGACACCAGGGAGCTGCTTCCCTCCAGGAGCCTGTCGTCCATATGCTGAATGTGATCCTTAAATGCTCTGTCTTACAGGGGCCAGACATTGTGGCTCATGCACTTCAGGGGGCTGAGGCGTGCAGATCACTTGAGGCCAGGAGTTTGAGACCAGCCTGGCCAACATGGCGAAACCCTGTCTCTACTAAAAATACAAAAATTAGCCGGAGGTGGTAGTGTGTGCCTTTAATTCCAGCTACTTGGAAGGCTGAGGCAGGAAAATCGCTAGAACCTGGGAGGCGGAGGTTGCAGTGAGCCGAGATCATGCCACTGCACTCCAGCCTGATCAACAGAGCGAGATTGTCTCAAACAAACAAACAAAAAATGTTCTGCCTTACAGAGTTCTTAGGTATAAAAGAGAAGGTGCCTCTAAAGCTCTTGGCACCGTGCCTGGCTTATAGTAAGTGCTTGGTAAACGTCAGCTGCTGCTGTTGTGGTGTTAGTATCAGCATTGTTGCTGTGAGACCCTGCACTTCCCACTTAGCCTTGGAAAAATAAGTCTTCACGTTAATGCCATGGGCTACCGCTTCTCTTTTCAGGGCTTCTTGGAGGAGGGTGGAGATGGAGAGACAGGTGGGGGACTGCCAGGGTTACATCCTCCATGAGGCTGAGGCTGTGCTGACTGCCTTGTGTGCTTTCAACCTGGAGTAAAGGGTGGCTGTGCCAGCTGCTCCCATCCCCCAGGAGTCTGACTCGTCCCTGCCTTGGCCCTGGGCAGCACTTTCCCTCCTAGCTCTTTGGCATCTGGGGTCATGGTGGGGCTGCCTGCCATCTGTCAAAATTTTTGCTGCCCTGGGTGTGGTGGTAAACCCCCGCACTATCCAACTTGGTGTCATGGAGCTGGCGACAATATTTTTACAGTGGTTAGTGCTTGGAAACTGGACTTCTGGGTTATGCCCTGTACAAACAGCATCAAAGTCGCTGGGCTAGGGTGACAGAGGAGGCTGCCAACAGGGAATTCTGTGGCTCCTGGGACAGGAATGGATATGGGAGGTTGGGGGCCAGTATTTTCGGTTCTCTTGAGGAGTTGGCGAGTATTAGTCTTTGCCCTGATGGATAGAAGGAATCTGTCTGTGTCTTGCATGAACCGTGTACTTCCCCCAGTTACTCCTTGGACACCAGCTGCCTGCTGTTCATAATTGGGCCAGATTTCTAATACTGCAGCGCTACCAAATGTCAGTTTTAGGCCATCTCTGGTGTAGCCAGGGAACGCCCAACACCTTTCCCAAAGGTAGAATTTGTGTGGGTTTTACTTCACTGAGTGACTAATGCAGATCTTTATGTTTTAATGATGGGAAGAAATTCGTCAGCCTGGGTACTTTTTCCATGTGATGGGGCAAAAATTTAAAACACTTGCACAACGGCTTTTGTTTCTCCAGCTACTAAAGGTGACTGTCATTTAGGCATTATCAGTATGATCAGCTGATGTTAACCCACTCCCCTTCTGGAGACCCGTTTCTGTTTCTGGGAAAGGTGTAGGACATGCTGGATTTGGCAAGATTGCAGGTCCCAGGCAGATGTCCGGACTTAGACTCTGGCTCTTTTTTTTTTTTCCAGACAGGGTCTCCCTCTGTCACCCAGTCTGGAGTGCAGTGGCGCGATCTCGGCTCACCACAACCTCCGCCTCCCAGGTTCAAGGGATTCTCCTGCCTCAGCCCCCTGAGTAGCTGGGATTACAGGCGTGCACCACTATGCCCAGCTAATTCTTTTTTTTTTTTTGAGATAGAGGCTCACTGTCACCCAGGTTGGAGTGCGGTGGCCCGGTCCGCCTGCCTCAGCCTCCCAAAGTGTTAGGATTACAGGTGTGAGCCACCGTGCCTGGCCTCAGCTAACTTTTGTATTTTTAGTATCAACGAGGTTTCACCATGTTGGCCAGGCTGGCTTTGAATTCCTGGCCTCAATTGATCTGCCCACCTCGGCCTCCCAAAGTGCTGGGATTACAGGCATGAGCCACCGCGCCTGGCCCAGACCCTGGCTCTTACTCCTAGGTCTACCTCTACCATCACTGGGGCCCTCGCCTGAACCTTTTGCCCCATCTATAAAATGGGAGAACTAGACTAGGTCTGTGTCCCCCAAGCTTCAATCATTTGTAAAGGAACCACCTTTACTATTTTGCCATATCCCACGGCTGTCTCTATTTCATTTTTCACTTAATATTATTTTCCCCTGCAGTTGACTCACTTGTAAAACAAATGTATTTGAAAAGGAGACTTTGTGTCACTATAATAACGGAAAAACAGCGTCACTAGGTAAATGGAAGGTAACCATAAATAAACCCCAAACAGTTATTAAATTCCAGCCAGCACTGTTGCCTGTTCACAACATGAGGCATACTCTCTTTTGGTTAAAAAGGGAAATTAGCAAGAGATGGAGAGGTGTTGAAGGTAACCTAGCACTACATTGAGCCTTTTCCTTGACCTGCTCAGGAGGATTGAGAAAGAACTAGGAGAACTGGGAAGAGAATAACGTCTTTTTGTGATGCAAAGTGCCTGAGTGTGACCAAGAGCTCAGAGTAGTAATGTATAGATGCTTTGTTTGGATACTTATGCAGCCATTACCATGTGCCAGGGGTGTAGAGGGGCTAGGAGTATAGAGGGGATTGGGACTTGTTCACTGACTTCTGGTTGCTTGTGGTCTAGTAGTGGGGAGGTGGTCATAGAATATTGAATACAAACGAAGATCGAACAGGCTGCAGGGGTTTAATAGGAAAATCACAGGACTAAATTCTGTCATGTGTACATGGGGTCTACAAATAAGAGTTGTTTAGAATTTTTTTTAATTTAAATTTCCCATGAAATATAAATCTATTTCATTCCAGAATGATTCTAGAGAAGCTCTAAATACATTAAAGTTGTGTTGGCTGGGTGCAGTGGCTCATGCCTGTAATCCCAGCACTTTGGGAGGCTGAGGCTGGAGAATCACTTGTGGCCAGGAGTTTGAGACCAGCCTGGGCAACATGGGAGACCTTATCTCTACCAAAAAAAATTTTTTTTTCTTTTCTTTTTTTTTTTTTTGAGACAAAGTTTCGCTCTTGTTGCCCAGGCTAGAGTGCAATGGCATGATCTCAGCTCACTGCAACCTCCGCCTCCCTGGTTCAAGCAATTCTCCTGCCTCAGCCTCCCAAGTAGCTGGGATTACAGGCATGTACCACCACACCCAGCTAATTTTGTATTTTTTTTAGTGGAGGTGGGATTTCACCATGTCGATCAGGCTGGTCTTGAACTCCTGACCTCAGGTGATCCACCCATCTCAGTCTCACAAAGTGTTGGGATTACAGGCGATAGCCACTGCACCTGGCCAAAAACATTTTAATAAATTAGCTGGGTATGGTGGTATGTGCCTGTAATCCTAGCTACTTGGGAGGCTGGGGCAGGAGGATCCCTTGAGCCCAGGAATTCCAAGCTGCAGTGAACTATAATCAGGTCACTGCACTGAAGCCGGAGTGACAGAGTGAGACCTTGTCTCTTAAAATAAATTTGTGTCATTGTTTGTTGTTTTTATGGTGTTATGACAATGATCCATCTTAACCCTTTATGTAGTGGTAACTAACTTTCTCTTTTCCTAAAAGCTGATTTGAGTTTTAGGTTCTCTTGGAGTCTGTGACAATTGTAAATAGATAAGATATAACAAAATGGCCTGAAATACTCTTGCAACACTCATATTTCCCCCCTCAGATTAGCATGTTCTATACTCTCTGCAAAGCAAGATATACACCAGAATTAGGCCTCTAAAAAGCCTCATACTGCTAATCTCTGGGAATGAATGGTGTTCTTTGGGATAATGGGATATGAAGCTCAGTCTGATTTTTCTGTTCTGCTGGTAGCTTAGGGCCCCCTTTCTTCTGTTGGGTTTTTTGGGAGAAGGGAAGTTGTGATTAAGAATGAGAATTCTTTTTTTTTTTTTTTGTCTCAAGAGTCTTGCTCTGTCGCCCAGGCTGGAGTGCAATGGCTCGATCTCGGCTCACTGCAGTCTTCACCTCCTGGTGTCAAGCGATTCTCCTGCCTTAGCCTCCAAGTAGCTGGGAATACAGGCACCTGCCACCATGCCTGGCTAATTTTTTGTATTTTTAGTAAAGATGGGGTTTCACCATGTTGGCCAGGCTGGTCTCGAACTACTGACCCCATGATCCCAACCCCCCCGACCTCCCCGGCCTCCCAAAGTGCTGGGATTATAGGGGGGAGCCACTGCGTCCAGCCAAGAATGAGAATTTGGGAGTCAGGCACCTCTGGGATTGAATCTGGAATTGACTGAGTGTACATGCTTTCTCTGAGGCCTCCGTCCTCACTGCTCTCATCTATAAACTGGGAATAATCATAGTTTCTATCTGAAACAGTGGGTGTGAAGATTTAACGAGCTAAATTGTAAAGTGCCTGAGACATGGGAAGAAGTCAGGATGTGCTAATGGGTAATCTTACACTTCCCCAATGGAAAGGGCCAGGTTTATATTACTCTAGGCTGGTAGTAAGCGAGGCAAAGGAGATATCAGGTTTCAGCTTTGTTAGAACATGCTAATGGCACCAGGACACTCAGAAGAGATACAGAGTTTGAGACAAATGGCACCATGAGCCCTGAGACATTGTGTATGGGGTGAATCGGATAGCAAGAATAGACTTCAAGGAGGGAAGTAGGGCAGTTAGAATCCTTTCAGCTGCAAGGAACTGAAAACTGGCTCACATAGAAGGAAAATGATTGGCTCATGTCAGCAAGCCTAGATGCAGAGCAAGTTATGGGTTTCAGGGATCCAGCATCTAAATGATGTCATCAAGAACCCAAGTTTTTTGGGTCTCTGCTCTGTTGGTTTCTTTCATCCTAAAGCTGGTTCTCCTGTGGTTTACCATAGTAGAGTTCCTGTGAGAACTCCACTCTGACCAATCAGGCCTTCCCAGAGCCAGGGATGGATGGAGTCGCTTCTTTTGAGGCCCATGGGTCCTATCTGGAGGGGATGGATCCAGACTCCTATCAGGAATCTAGGAGGGGCCGGGCACGGTGGCTCATGCCTGTAATCCCAGCACTTCATAATGCCAAGGTGGACAGATCACTTGAGGCCAGGAGTTCCAGATCAGCCTGGCCAGTATGGTGAAACCCCATCTCTACTAAAAATACAAAAATTAGCTAGGCGTGGTAGCAGGCGCCTGTTGTCCCAGCTACTCGGGTGGCTGAGGTGGGAGGATCACTTGAGCCTGGGCACAGAGGTTGCGGTGAGGTTGTGGTGAGCTGTGGTTGCGCTGCTGCCCTCCAGCCTGGGCAACAGAGTGAGACCCTGTCTCAAAAACAACAACAACAAAATCTTATGTACCCCATAAATATATACACCTACTGTGTATCCACAAAAGTTAAAAATTAGAAAAGGCAAATTGCAGAGATTTCCATATGCTATGATACCGTTTATATGAAGTTTTACATATGTCATAAAAATACAGATAACCTTTAGGGGAATGATCATTACCAAACTTTTGGATAACGGTTTCTGGGGATGGGCAGAGAGGGCTATACAGTCATGAAGAGGTGTATAGGGGCTTTCAACTCTTTGTAGTGTTTTATTTCTTCAGTCCCATGGTGGTTATATGATTCTTCACTCCCCTTTTTTTGTGTGGAATATTTTTCTTATAAAAAGTGTGTCTTTTATTTATTTATTTATCTTTTTCACATGGAGTCTCACTCTGTCGCCCAGGCTGGAGTGCAGTGTTGCGATCTCGGCTCACTGCAAGCTCCGCCTCCCGGGTTCGCGCCATTCTCCTGCCTCAGCCTCCCGAGTAGCTGGGACTACAGGCGCCCGCCACCACGCCTGGCTAATTTTTTGTATTTTTAGCAGAGACGGGGTTTCACTGTGTTAGCCAGGATGGTCTCAATCTGCTGACCTTGTGATCTGCCTGCCTCGGCCTCCCAAAGTGCTAGGGGATTACAGACGTGAGCCACCGTGCCCTGCCTTTTTTTTTTTTTTTTTTTTTTTTTAAAGGCAGAGTCTTGCCCTGTTGGCCAGGCTGCAGTGCAGTGGCCTGATAATGGCTCACTGCAGCTTCCACCTCCCAGGCTCAAGCAATCCTCCCACCTCAGCCTCCTGAGTAGCTGGGACTACAGGTATGTGCCACCAAGCCTGGCTAATTTTTCCATTTTTAAAGGTTTTGCCATGTTGCCCAGGCTGGTCTCGAACCCCTGGGTTCAAGCCATCCTCCCACCTTGGCCTCCCAAATTGCTGGGACTATAGACGTGAACCACTGCACCCCCATCCAAAAGTGTCATTTTAATGCTGACATACTGCATTACTAAGCTTGACCAGGGGAAGAGAAAAAAAAATACCTTGTGTTTATTATTTTGTTTGTTTGTTTGTTTGAGACAGGGTCTTGCTCTTTCTCCCAGGCTAGAGTGCAGTGGCATGAACATGGCTCACTGCAGCCTCCACTTCCCAGGGTCAAGCCATCCTCCCACTTCAGCCTCCCAAGTAGCTGGGATTACAGGTGTGTGCCACCACACCTGACTAATTTTTCTTTTTTTCTTTTTTTGTATTTTTGGTAGAGACAGGGTTGCCCAGGCTGGTCTTGAACTCCTGAGCTCAAGCAATCCTCTCTTCAGCCTCCCAAAGTGCTGGGATTACAAGTATGAGCCACTGTGCCCGGCCTGTTTGTTTGTTTTAAAGACAAGTTTGGGCCCAGTTTATAAGAAAAGAAAACAGACCATCCTTAGGGTGTCAGGATGATATTTTGACAAAGGCATTCATGCTTAGCAGGATTTCTCTCCCCCTACCCCCACCCCAAGTGTTGAAACGGCTGAGCTAATTACCTTAGAATGTAAGGCTTCCTCTGTTGCTTGTGAACGTGGCAGACTTGGGATTCTCAGAGACAGAGGGCTTCAGAAGCTTGCCTCTGGGAGCGTCCAGTCAATAGCTTTTTGTCTGAGCAGAAGGAGATATTGCTCAAGGTACCATCTCAAGGGACTGCTGAATCAGTTGCATTGTCTCTAAAAGTAGGTAAAAGTCTAGAGTAGGGCTGGTTCAACAGTGGAATGAGTGTTAAGAGAGAGTTGCATTCTAAGAACACCTTTACACTGTGGCCAAATTCAAGCAGGTCCATTTTGTGGTTTGGTGGTCCCCATCTAGTGGGATGTGGTCTGGTATCCCAGGCACCTGCATATATGAGCTCAGATGGGTTTAATTTTTGAAAAACTGCTTTATTGGCTGGGTGTGGTAGCTCATGCCTGTAATCCCAACATTTTGGGAGGCCAAGGCAGGAGGATCTCTTGAGCCTGGGAATTCAGGACCAGCCTGGGCAACATTGAGAGATCCCCATCTCTACTCCCTTCCCCGCCAAAAAAAAGCTAGGTGTAGTGACATGCACCTGTGGTCCCAGCTACTCAGGAGGCTGAGGTGGGAGGATTGCTTGAGCCCGGGAAGTCAAGACTGCAGTGAGCTGAGATTGCATGACTGCACTCCAGCCTGGGCAAAAGAGTGAGACATTGTCTCAATCTCCCCACCCCTGCCAAGAAAACCCAAAAAATATTGAGGTATAATTGTTATACAATGAAGAACACATTTTGATTAGCTTATACACACACTCCTGTGTACACATGTACACTCACACATCAGGAAACCATCACCATAATCAAGACAGCGAACCTCCCTATCCAGCCCCAGAAGTTTCCTTGTGCCTCTTTGTAATTCTTGCCTTTTATCTCTCCATGTCTTCCACACCCATGCTCAAGCATTCACTGATCTGCTTTCTGTCATTATCAGTCAGTTTTCATCTTTTAGCCTTTTATATAAATGGAATCATATAGTATGCTGTTTTGTTTTTTTTTGAGACAAGAGTCTCACTCTGTTACCCAGGCTGGAGTGCAGTGGTGCGACCTCGGCTCACTACAACCTCCATCTCCCCAGATTTAAGTGATTCTCCTGCCCTAGCTTCCCGAGTAGCAGGGATTACAGGCACATGCTATCATGCCTAGCTAATTTTTGTATTTTTAGTAAAGATGGGGATTCACCATGTTGGCCAGGCTGGTCCCGAACTCCTGACCTCAGGTGATCACCCGCCTTGGCCTCCCAAAGTGCTAGGATCACAGGCATGAGCCACTACGCCCTGCCAGTATGTACTCTTTTTGTCTGGCTTCTTCTAGCATAGTTATTCTGAAATTCATCCTTGTTGCATGTGTCAATAGTCCTATTCCTTTTTATTGCTGAGTAGTAGTCCATTGTATGGATATACTACATTTTGTTTATACATCCTTCTGTTGATAACATTTGGGTGGTTTCTTATTTATTTATTTATTTTTGAGACGGAGTCTCACTCTGTTGAACAGGCTGGAGTGCAGTGGTGTGATCTTGGCTCACTGCAACCTCCACCTCCCGGGTTCAAGCAATTCTCCTGCCTCAGCCTTCTGAGTAGCTGGGATTACAGGCATTTGCCACCACACCTGGCTAATTTTTGTATTTTTAGTAGAGACGGGGTTTCACCATGTTGGTCATGCTGGTCTCGAACTCCTGACCTTAGGCGATCCGCTCACCTCTGCCTCCCAAAGTGCAGGGATTATAGGTGTGAGCCACCACGCCTGGCCGGGTGGTTTCTAAATAAAGCTATCATGAACATCTTTTACTACTCTTTGTATGGATGTATATTTCTATTTTTCTGAGTGGAATGTTAGGATCATACATCATAGGTGTACGTTTAACTGTTCAAGAAACTGCCAAACTGTTTCCCAAAGTGGTTGTATTGTTTTACATTTCCACGAGCAGTGTTTGAGAGCTCCAGTTCTTGCACATCCTAGCCACAAAAAGGTTCTGTTTTTTAAAGACAATTTTTTTTTTTTTTTGAGAGTTTCGCCCTAGTCGCCCAGGCTGGAGTGCAGTGGTAAGCGAATCCCTGCTACAGGCCAGAGACTGTTCTCAGTTGGTTTTTACACCAAGTATCGCACTTCATTCTAACACTCCACCATTTTACAAATGAGGAAACCGAGGCACTGAGAGGTTTAGTAACTTGTGGCACAGCCAGGAAGCAGTAGAGAAAGACTTTGAATATAAATGTATCCATTAGGATGTATATGGTTCCAAGTCATGGGAAACCTACCTAATCCTGGTTTATCCAAAAAGGGAGCTCATTGGCTCTCGTAACTGAAAAGTCAAGGGGTAGGCAGGCAGTTGGACCTGGAAGTCTCCAGGGCATCAGAGAGCCTTGGCTCTGCTTCTCTGATTCTGTTGTCTCTCCACAGACGGGTGGGTGTAGCAGTCCCAGGCCCGCAGCCACACCCCACACCTCCCAGAGGAAGAAGGCGGGCCCTGATCCCAGCAGTCCCAGGAAAGCCCTGAGGTTCACTGTGATTGGACCAGCCTATGTCACCTGCTCACATCTCAGCCCACCACTGGCAAGGGTGTTTGACTCTTGGGAATGACTCTTGGGACTGGCTTGTCCTAGATCACATGTTCTACCTGAAATTGGGGACATTGCAGAGGATTGGTGGAGTGGACCTCAAGGAGGTGTTTCACGTGGCTTCCTGTGTCACTAGGTTGCCATTTATTCTTTAGAAAGCCCCTTTGTTTGATGAAACCCTGGTGTCACAGGCTGTGTGACTTAGGGTAATCCCCTTGTCCACATCTGTGAAGTGAGATTACCTCTTCACCTCACAGGCAGATCAAACAGGAAAACAAAAACAAAACCAAACCCAAAATACACGTAAATTGCAGAGTGCTTGAGGTTTCTTTTAAGCTGTCTATGTAATTAAAAGCTGTTACTTAGACTTGGATATGAAATAAAATCTGACTTCAAATTTAAGTGGTGTAATTTCCATGCCTCTTAAAATATCAGGTAACTTCATTTGTGAGCCTCAGTCTGTAGACTTGAGGGATTTCCATCTGAAGAGGGGGCAGAATGGTGGTTTAGGGAACGCAACATGTACCCCACCCCCAACTTTTTTAAGAGGAAGAGTTGAAAGAAATAATGAATGTGTGAGAAATAAGGGGTTTGATTGCCTTCCAGGGTCCATGTTGAAGGAGAGGAAAATGTAGCTCAACCACAGTGACTCTCCCCAATTAAAAACTAAAAAAAGATCCGTGGTTATAGGGCTTGGACTTCGGACAAGCCAGCAGCCTCAGTCATTGTGAGTGTGATTCCAGATTGGAAGGTTCTGCTAGGAGGAAAGTGGAAGTTTTGAGAATTCCTAGTTGGACAGAATGCCTCTTGATCACGGCCTTAGCTAAAGGAGACCACTCTTTGCTGGATGGATCAGTCAGCTACGTGTGAAGTTTGGCTCAGTACAACATTCTCGGCCTGGGGCGGCAGCATGGGAAAGATTTTTATTGGAATTAACTTTCTACAGAGATGTACTTTCAAATGAGACCATCCTTCTCTCACTGGTGAGCTCACCCGGGCTCTTATTCCACAAAGCTTAATTGTTTTGGACCCATACATTTAAACTCCTTAATTAATTGACTCAAGACTTAGGACAGATTTGCTTTTCTTTATAATGACTCCATGGCTGTAAATGCTGCTGATTCAGATGAAAGAGGACCCTAGAGCACAGAATGAGAAGGACGTGGACTCAGGATACCTGTTTCTTTATTCTGACTGTGCTCTTCGTCAGCTCTGGGGCTTTGGACCCCAGTTTTGTAACCACCTAACGAGTTCACCTTGCCTGCTGCCTAGACGGAGCTGATTTATCAAGACAGAGGAATTGCAATGGAGAAAGAGTAAGTCACCCAGAGCCAGCTGTGTGGGAGGCTAGAATTTTATTGTTACTGAAATCAGTCTCCCGAGCATTTGGGATCAGAGTTTTTAAAGATAATTCGGCAGGTAGGGGCTCAGGAAGTGGGGAGTGCTGATTGGTCAAGTTGGAGATGGAGTCACAGGGGGTCGAAGTGACGTTTTCTTGCTGTCTTCTGTTCCTGGGTGGGATGGCAGAACTGGTTGAGCCAGATTACCGCTCTGGGAGGTGTCAGCTGATCCATGGAGTGCAGGGTCTGCAAACTATCTCAAGCACTGATGTTAAGTTTTACAGTAGTGATGTTATCTCCAGAAGCAATTTGTGGAGGTTCAGACTCTTGCAGTTTCTGACCCCTAAACCTTAATTTCTAATCTTGTAGCTAATTTGTTAGTCCTACAAAGGCAGACTGCTCCCAAGGCAAGAAGAGGGTCTTTTTGGGAAAGGGCTATTAGCAGTTTTTTTTCAGAGTGAAACCATAAACTAAATTCATTCCCAAGGTTAGTTTGGCCTATGCCCAGGAATGAACAAGGACAGCCTAAAGGTTAGAAGCAAGATGGAGTCGGTTAGGTCTGACCTCTTTCACTGTCTATAATTTTTGCAAAGGCAGTTTCAGTTTCTCACCTGTAAACGTTGAAGACTGAGCCAGAATCAGGGTCATCAAATAGCACCCCGGCTATACTTTCTTCTCTTCATGACAAACATTGCTGGTCAGTTGATATGATGTTCTTTCCCACTGGGCCCAGACTTGACATTAGAGTCTTTTTTTTTTTTTTTTTTTTTTTTTTGAGACAGTCTCGCTCTATCACCCTGGCTGGAGTGCAGTGGCACCATCTCAGCTCACTGCAACCTCCGTCTCCAGAGTTCAAGCAATTCTCCTGCCTCAGCCTCTCAGGTAGCTGGGATTACAGGAGTGCACCACCACACCCAGCAGATTTTTGTATTTTTAGTAGAGACGGGGTTTCGCCATGTTGGCCAGGCTTGTCTGGAACTCCTGACCTCAGGCCATCCGCTCGCTTTGGCCTCCCAAAGTGCTAGGATTATAGGCGTAAGCCACCACGCCTGGCCGACATCAGAGTCATTTTAGCCTGCAATGCAAGTTGTCCTCAGTGGGCTGCTAGCATTGGCTTCAACCTTCATATCAGCCAGCTAAAGCCCCTTGTAATGAATGGGGAGGTTCCTTCACCCTTGCCTCCCGCTGCCTCCTCTTGACCACTCATTTTTTTTCTTGTAGTTCAGGAACCAATTCAGATGATTTCCCTCGTGAAGTCCTCTCGAAAGCCCCCAGGTAGAATTATTCATTTTTTCCCTTGCATTCCCACAGCACTGTGCACACAAATTAGAATCCTTGTAAAATGGCCATGATTCTGTTTATGACCCTGGCCCTCCACCAGACCAGCCTCTCTGCCCTCTGGCTTTTTTAGATCACTGGCATGGTTTCTGCCTACTCCAGGTGCCAGTATTATTTTGTGAATGTTTTTTTTCTTCATATCTACTCATCTTTATACTACTTTACTCGTAAAAGGAAACTAGAGAACATGATCTTAAATGAAAACCACGATCACTTGCCAGAAAGAACAGGTAACTAGGCTTTGAAAAAATAAGTTAGAGGAGATAGCATAAGAAAAAATTAAAAAATAAATAAAATCAATGAAAACAACGTGTTACTAAATTCTTGAAAAGTTTTTTGAAGACTTTGAGCCTGAGGCCTGTTCTTATTGTTTGTTTGTTTGTTTGTTTGTTTGTTTTTATGACAGAGTTTCGCTCTTGTTGCCCAGGCTAGAGTGCAATGGCATGATCTCGGCTCATTGCAGCATTTGCCTCCTGTGTTCAAGCGATTCTCCTGCCTCAGCCTCCCGAGTAGCTGGGATTACAGGTGCCCGCCACCATGCCCAGCTAATTTTTGTATTTTAGTAGAGATGGGTTTTTGCCATGTTGGCCAGGCTGGTCTCGAACTCCTGACCTCAGGTGATCCACCTGCCTTGGCCTCCCAAAGTGTGGGGATTACAGGCGTGAGCCACCATGCTCGGCCTGTTCTTATTGTTAAAAAGAGAGATTTGTGTGAAAGCTGCTGACGTCTTTTTGGCACCAAGTCAAGACTGAGTTAGTTCTTGTCAGAATCTGATTGTTTGTGAATTGATGGCTTTTTTTTTTTTCCTGAGTTGGGGGTCTCGCTCTGTTGCCCAGGCTGGAGTACGACCACTATAACCTCAAATTGCTGGGCTCAAGCAATCCTTCCGCCTCAGCTGCCCAAGTAGCTGGGACTACTAGGCATGCTCCACCATGCCCAGTTAATTAATTTTTTTTTTTTTTTGAGAGACAGGGTCTCACTATGTTCCCCAGGCTGGTCTCAAATTCCTGGCCTCAAGTGATCTCCTGCCTCAGCCTCCCAAAGCTCTGGGATTACAGGAGCGAGCCACTGTGCCTGGCCGGATTTTAAAGTTCTGCCCATGCACCTCCTTAGCTCTGGCAGTTACTACTTGCAGGCATCTCCTTTGTCTGCCCTGCCCCTTGTTAGGAAAGGCTGTGCTGACTGTCAGCTGGCACCCAGTGCATAGAAGAGATAGTTCTCTGTAGATGATGTTGAACAATGTGGTACTATAATCCCAACCTGTTGTATCTTTGTTTACTCTCAAAAGCAACAATTGGGCTGGGCATGGTGGCTCATGCCTGTAATCGCAGCACTTTGGGAGGCTAAGGTGGGAGGGTTGCTTGAAGTTAGTTCCTTTTTTTTTTTTTTTTTAAAAAAAAGACAAGATCTCGCTCTGTCACCCCGGCTGGAATGCAGTGGCATGATCATAGCTCACTGCAGCCTTGACCACGTGGGCTCAAGGAATGAACCATTGTGCCAGGAGTTCAACACCAGCCTGGATAACATAGCGAGACCCTGTCTCTACAGGAAAAAAAAAAAAAAAGAAGAATTGCATAAGTATCATCAGAACTGTTGAATGGAAAATCAGACTTTGTGGGTTTGGTTTGTTAATTACTTCTCGTTGGATTAGAATTTGATAGGTAAAAAAAAAAAAAAAGGTGTAGAAAAGTGATTCCAGTCTTGAGCAAATTTTTAATGGAAAACGGTGTCTTGGTTCTCTGTTCACTACAACTTGTATCTAAGGGAAAGCCTAGTGATGCAGACATTTCATTTCGTGATGGGAAAACTGATGCCCAGAGGTTCACAGCTGACCAGGGGCTAGTCTGACTGGGGGGATCTAGGTCACCACCCCCCTTGCCTTGTTTTCCCAGCTAGTGCATTTCCTACTAGACTTGACTCTACTGTAATTCAAGTTGCTGAGTAGCAAACAAGAACTACAATGACTAGAAGGAACAGAACTAGCTTTTTTGTGCTCTGAAAGTGGAAACTTATTGAGGGTTCTTTTCCTCCCAGAGAATGCAGAAGTGCCCTGATTTGCTTTTGGAAGGACACCATTCACTTTATTGCCTCTTTTCATTGTTGCCCAGAATATCACCATGATTTATTCATGGGTGGTGGGGAGGGTAGCACTAGTGTATGCTCCCAGCAAAGAGGAACATCTCACGTTGTGAAGAGATGCGCAAAACTAAGCCAGGGCAGGGTGTGGTGGCTCATGCCTGTAATCCCAGCACTTTGGGAAGCTGAGGTGGGCAGATCACCTGAGGTCAAGAGTTGAAGACCACCCTGGCCAACATGGTGAAACTCTGTCTGTACTAAAAATACAAAAATTAGCTGGGTCTGATTGCAGGTGCCTCTAATTGCAGCTACTTGGGAGGCTGAGGCAGGAGAATTTCTTGAACCTGGGAGGCAGAGGTTGCAGTGAGCTGAGACTGTGCCGTTGTACTCTAGCCTGGGCAACAAGAGCCATCTCAAAAAAAGAAGCAAGCCAGATCTTTGGGGTGCTGTGACGGCAAATCCCCCAGCGCTGGCCTCTCAGGTTCTCTTGCGGGATTAGTGTTTGTTGAATAATAAGCAATACACCCTGACCCAGCGAGCCAAAGCAAACAGGACAGTAACTGAAACTGCAGGGGAGTGTGAGTAAACAGTTACCTTCTACCCTCATGGAGCTGGCCTCTGGCCAGCAACATGATAGCTGTTTGCATCTTACTCTTATGGAGCCATTGGCCCTCTCATTAAGGTGGGGGCAGCTTCTGGTCCATGCCTGCAAGTCCTCATGGGAGTGGGTACCTGACAGGGTGTAAAGGGTAGGTCTGAGGACATGGTTTCTTTTTTTTATTGTTGTTGAGATGGAATCCTGCTCTTGTCACACAGTCTGGAGTGCAGTGGCCTGATCTCGGCTCACTGCAACCTCCGTCTCACTGGTTCAAGCGATTCTCCTGCCTAAGCCTCCTGAGTAGCTGGGACTATAGGCGCATCCTGCCATGCCTGGCTAAGTTTTGTATTTTTAGTAGAGACGGGGTTTCACCACGTTGGCCAGGCTGGTCTCGAACTCCTGACCTCAGGTGATCCACCCACCTCAGCCTCCCAAAGTGCTGGGATTACAGGCGTGAGCCACCGTCCCCAGCCAACATGGTTTCTTTAAAATATACTCCCCGCTCCATCCCATTCATGTGTGGGAGTTGAGCTGCATCTGGGTTTTTCTTTTCTCTTTTTCTGTAAATCTTTATTGTATTTTTTTTGGATCATAGAATGGATACATGTTTCTTAAAGTTTGATCATTATAGAAACTTAATTAGACTATTATTTGAGTGCTAACCATAGTGAGTGAGTGCTTACTGTGTGCTAGGTGGCTTTTTATGCCTCATGTCACTTACATGAGGTCTGAGGAACGGTGTTAATCCCGTTTTGCAGCTGAGGAAACTGAGGCTACATTTACGGTCACCTAGCTGGCAAGCAAGTGGCTGAGCCTGGAGCAGCAGCAGATCTGGGGAACTCCACAAACCAGATTTCTGTGTGGTATCCCTGTGGACACAAGGATTTAACTTGATTCTTTTTGCTTTCAGTATCACTTTATGATATTACAATGAGCTTGCAGTATTTATTTTCAGAAGAAAAGCCAGATTATTCCCATTTATGAGAGAAGCAGCCAGGTGGGCAGGGATTTCCAGCGCTGAACCAGCCAGTGTGTGCATTGTCTCTTCCCGCTGAGCGGCCCTGGTGTGCTGGGTTAGTCTGTGAGCCACAGGAAATGTTGTCAGGGCCTCTGGGCTTTTGGATGTCAGCAGGCCTTCAGTGGTGAGGAGGTTGTGGCTGGACTCAGAGGACTCCTTGCTTTTGCTGAACGACCCTCCCCACCAACCACCACCACCACCACCAGTGGGACTAGCCCATGAGCTGTAAGCCAACCTTTTCCTTCCTAACTTAATTTTCCAAAGAATAGTAACTTACCCACCACCACTGCAGTCACTGGGCCGGGAAGACAAGCACTCTTGCCTTGAATCCATGCCTTGAGCCAGTAGCCTTGACCCAGGGTAAAGCAGTTATGTGCTTGGGTCACCTGGGTCATGTTTTTGAAATTGCCTCAAGCCTACCTTACAAATCCTTCCTGGAACCCTGCTTGGCTTTTCTTTGTGGGCTTCCCTTAGGAGGGAAGCTTCCCGAGCAGCTTGTCTTGACTGTAGCCAGCTGGGTGGTCCCAGCCACAGAATTTAACTGTCAAACAGCACCAGAAGGGTTCCTCATCCAGCTGTCTTGCCCCAAGTGCCCTCTTTGCTTTCTTTTTAGAGAGTTCTGAGACTCATTAGAGAGTTTAGAGATTTTAGCATTCTTGAAGTTCTTTCTGTGGTCAGTTTGGTGAACCACTTCATTTCTAAAGTTTCTCAGTTGACCCCATTCTTCCCCAGCTTTGCATTCTCCATGAAGCCACCTGTGTTTGGTGTGTATGGGTTTTCTGCAACCTAGGTTGAACAAGTCCTCTAGAATCCTGAACAATTGGTGATTCATGCTGGCCTGGTTTTTCTAATTGGCCTGGAAATGTGGCTGTAGTGGACACAAGTGGACTTGGCCTCCTCTTTGATGCGGGTAAACTTTAGATTTGCATTAGCTCTGTTTGATTAGAGGATCTTACTGGTTTTTGTTGTTATTTATTTACCTTTTAGGAGCTTTAGTCTCTGTAGGTTTTTTTTTTTTTTTTTTTAAAGTCCGGGTCTTACTCTGTCACCCAGGCTAGGGTGCAGTGGCATGATCACAGCTCACTGCAGCCCCCACCTTCCTGGGCTCAGGTGATCCTGCCACCTTAGTTTCCTGAGTAGCTGGGACTACAGGCATGTGCCACCATGCCCAGCAAATTTATTTCTACTTTTTGAAAACAGGGTCTCACTTTGTCACCCAGGCCAGAATGCAGTAGCACGATCATGGCTCACTGCAGTCTCAACCTCCCAGGCTTAAGGGATTCTCCCACCTCAGCCTCCCAAGTAGCTGGGAGGCTACTTGGCATGCATCACAAGGCCCAGCTAATTTGTGTTTTTTCTTGTAGAGGCGGGGTTTTGCCATGTTGCCCAGGCTGGTCTCGAACTCCTGGGGTCAAGTTATACTCTCTCCTTTGCCTCCAGCCATGAGCCGTTCGTTGCGCCTGGGCTAGTCATTATAGATTTATCCCTTCTTTCATCTCATGCTACAAAAGCAGTTCTTGTATTTTTACCCGACTTGTGATTTTCTACTGGGAATGTTTGTTTGTGATGGTTAGCAGGGTGCTGAGAGGGAATTAATCCCAGGAGGCCCAATATTGGGCCATGTCGTGCTGTTGAGCACAGTCATTTGACACCTATAACTTCTCATCAATTCTTCTGATAGACTGAGGAGGAATTGGGAAATTTCCTAGAGTTTTGTCTGCATTATTGGGTTGTTTTGAGAACATAAACCTTAAACTCTAGCTATGTAAACTGGATAAGTCATTTTGGTAATTTGGCATTCCTTTTTTTTTTTTTTTTTTTTTTTGAGACAGAGTTTCACTCTGTTGCCCGGGGGAATGATCTCTGCTCACTGCAACCTCTGCCTCCCAGGTTCAAGCAATTCTTCTGCCTCAGCCTCCCAAGTAGTTGGGACTACAGGCACACTCCACCGTGTCCGGCTAATTTTTGTATTTTTAATAGAGACAGGATTTCATCATGTTGACCAGGCTGGTAATTTGGCATTCTTTTGAGTACAAGTGAGAGAAACTCACTTGAGCTGGCTTAAGTGAAAAAATTCTTTGTCAGGAGAGTTTTGTGAATTTCTGTTTAGTGGCAAGTTGTAGAAACCACTTGAAACTGCTTAAAGGCAAAAGAGGGAGCCACTTGTCCCAGTAACTGAGACATCCCAGAGCCGACTGCCCCCAAGCATTACTTGGTCCCAAGTTTCAAACGGGTCTTCAGGGTTTGATCTCTCTCCTCATCTCCAGTCTGCTTCATTCATTTTGGCTCTATGTGGTGGCAGAAGGGCTTCTGGCATCTCTGGACCTTTATGCCTCCCAGGTCCAAACCCAGCCAGAAAGGAGAGTGAGAGTGCTGAGTGCAAAACTCTCCTATAGCTCCTATACAAGTCCAGGATTTGCTATTAGACTCCTTGAATTATGTGCCCAGCTCTGAGCCAATGGCTGTGCTTAGGAGGCTCCTGTCTCATGCACCCACCCCAGTACTGGGCATCAGAAACAACCAGTGATCCCTATAATGAACCACGGGTTCACAGACTTAAGTGTAATCCTGCAGCAGGGCCTCAGGAAGACTTGAAACCCAAAATCAGAAAGCCATGGTTTCTTGTCTTCCTGGTGTCTGTTTTGTCCCTTCCCTCTGTAGAGGAGTCCTGCTATCACTGCAGGCAACGGGGCTGCCCTGCAGCTCCTGCTGTTTACATTTCACTCGGTGTAGCCATAGGCAGAGACCTCAGGGAGAACCTGATTCGGCTTGGATTGAGTCAGGTTCCACCCCAGTCCAGTCAGTTGTGGACTGAGAGGTGATGAGGCTGGGCCCTTTAAGACAAATCTGGGTGGGTGGAGTCTGTGCTTAATGAAGTTGTGATGTTAGCTGATGGCCCAGAAGGGACTGGTAGGTGCCTCTCATTGTCTGGTTGGGAAGCATTCTCTTAAGTCCAAGATGATGATAAATAGTATTAGGCCAGGTGCCGTGTCATGCCTCTATACCCAGCACTTTGAGAGGCCAAGGTGGGAGGATCGCTTGAGCCCAGAAGTTCAAAGCCAGAGTGGGCAACATAAAGAGACCCTGTCTCTACAAAAAACAAACAAACAAACAAACCAAAAAAACCCCACAACAATTAGCCAGGCATGATGGCGCACACCAGTAGTCCCAGCTACTCAGGAGGCTGAGGTGGGAGGATTGCTTGAGCCTGGCGGGTCGAGGTTGCAGCAAGCTGTGATCACACCTCTGCGCTCCAGCCTGGGTGACAGAGTGAGACCCTGTCTCAAAAAGTAAAAAATTCAAATAAATAAACAAATAATATCAAGGGCCTCTCTCCCAAGCTAGGAAGATATCAGCTGAAGCTCTAGCCCAGCTACGTGGATGGCTGCTTCCTGCCTGGAAGCGATGCCCAGATCAGCACCTTGGGACCCCCCTGAACTTGCCTCTGCTCCAGTGTGGGCCCTTCCTTCCTGCAGAGGAGACAGCACTGTCTGAGAGGCATGAATGAGAATTTCCTCCTTCTAGGCCCAAGTCAGCATGACTCGAGGATGGCTTTGACTGGAAAAACTGAATCAAAGAGTGTGCTACAGCCAAGGATTTCCCCAAACACTAATCAGTGCTGATTACTTCCAGGGTATTGCCTTTGGCTCTGTGGAGTTTTGTCCACTGTGGCTGCAATGTCTGGCTTCTGCTGCCCAGAAGATGAGAAATGAGTTTGTAGGGATGAGCCTGGGTGAAGGGATGTGCCCCCTCACCATCCTGACCTCTATTAGGTGTAAAAGACCCTGATTGCCAAATTCATAGGTCATGGGTTGGCTCTGCCTCCAGCATTAACACTTGGGGGTGGAGTTGGGGAATCATAGTATTACTTGCATAAATGGAATCCTAAAAGTTTGTTGGGACAGTTTCATAAAAATCCTCACCATGATCAGTTTGAAAATGACGTTCCCTTCACATGTTTGTCTTCTGAACTGAGTTGCAATGCTGAGTATGAGTTTGAGAGTCCCAAGACCATCTAAAGCAAGCCTGTCCAACCCACAGACTGCAGGCTGTAGGCAGCCCAGGACAGCTCTGAATGCGCCCCAACACAAATTCGTAAACTTTCTTAAAACATTATGAGATCCTTTCGCATTTGTTTTTTAAAGCTCATCAGCTATCATTAGTGTTAGTGTATCTTATGTGGCCAAGACAATTCTTCTTCTTCCAGTGTGGCCCAGGGAAGCCAAGAGATTGGACACCCCCGATTTAAAGGAAGTAACTCAATTTTGTGAACCTGAAACTTGATCTTGGATGAACCAAATGAAATTTTATGATTCTCTTAAGCTCACGAAAGTTCAATAACTGTGCTGTGTAAAATAGAGGTAAAAGACTTGAGTTGGACCAGGAATGGTTGCTCATGCCTGTAATCCCAGCACTCTGGGAGGCTGAGGCGGGTGCATCACTTGAAGTCAGGAGTTCAAGACCAGCCCGGCCAACATGGTGAAACCCTGTTTCTACTAAAAATATAAAAATTAGCCGGGCGTGGTAGTGTACGCCTGTAGTCTTAGCTTCTTGGGAGGCTGAGGCAGGATAATCCCTTGAACCCAGGAGGTGGAGGTTGCAGTGAGCAAGATCATACCACTGCACTACAGCCTGGGCTACAGAGCGAGACTCCGTCTCCAAAAAAAAAAAAAAAAAAAAAAAAAGACTTGAGTTGGTTCTAATAGAATACCTTGGAGAACCTCAAGATGCCTTCTGGTCCAGCCAGGTTTACAGATTGGAAGATATTCTGTTAATCAGAATCTCAGAGAGGGACAGGCCCTGATCAAGGTAACACAGTGAGTTGTGGTAGCTGGGCTGGGCTAGAACCTGGGCCTCCTTGGTTCCAGGTCACAGGGACCAAGGGATTTGGCTTGTCTTAGTCCTACTTGTAACTACAATACTGCCTTCTGCTAGGAAGAATAAGAGCTTGCAGGCTAGAGGAATTTATAGGAATTTTCTTTCTTTAAAAAAATCCCCCCAAAACCAGCTTTACTGAGATATAACTCACACACCATAAAATTCACCCTTTTAAAGTATGCAATTTTTAGTATATTCACAGAATTATGCAACTATCATCACTATAATTTTAGAATTGTTTTTTTTTTTTTGGAGACGGAGTCTTACTCTTGCCCAGGCTGGAGTGCAGTGGTGCAGTCTTGGCTCACTGCAACCTCCATCTCCCAGGTTCAAGCGATTCTCCTTCCTCAGCCTTCCGAGTAGCTGGGATTATAGGTGCATGCCACCACACCCAACTAATTTTTGTATTTTTAGTAGACATGGGGTTTCACCATTTTGGTCAGGCTGGTCTCAAACTCCGCCTGCCTTGGCCTCCCAAAGTGTTGGGATTACAGGTGTGAGCCACTGTGCCTGGCCAATTTTAGAATATTTTTATTGCCTCAGAAGAACCCCTGTATCCATTAGCAGTCACTCTCCCTTTCCCTTCCCCAACCAGGCCCAATAAACCACTAATCTACTCTGTCTCTATGGATCTGTCCATTCAGAACATTTCATATGGTAAAATCATACACGTGTTCTGGTGTTACTGACTTCTTTCACTTAGCAGAATGTTTTCAAGGTTCAGCCATGTTATGTCTGTACTTTATTCTTTTTTACGGCCAAGTGTTGGAATGTGTAGGATTTGAATTTTCAAATAAAGCTTTAAAGTTTTCAGATTTATTTTTACTTTGCCTGGTGTGTTTTTTCCTGGAAAGCCAACTTCTACATTTGGAGATTAAAAGACAAACTTTCTCAAACTCCCTGTACCTAAGTGGTTGCTGCTTTTCTTAAATGTTTTGACACCAAAGAGAAAAATTGGTTTCTGGAAGAAAGTGTGTTTTCTTTTATTGCCAAGAAAATTAGTGCATGTTAATTAATATAGATGCTCAGGACCCAGAGTTGTAATGAACTTTTTTCTTATATTTATTTTCTAGATGTTTGACTTATTTTAACAGTTTTCATTTTAGCAATAATGTTTCCTTCCCACTCCCAAATTTATTGGAAACCCTCAATCAACCCTATTTATTTATTTATTTTAGAGATGGGATCTCACTATGTTGTCCAGGCTGGTCTGGAAACCCTCACTCTTATAGATAGTATGAAAGAAGATTATAGCCAACTCTTATATAACCTTCCCCAGAGCCTCCAATTGTTAATGTTTTGCCATATTTGCTTGCTCTATCACTTGCTCTAAAGATGCATATCACACACTTTTTTTTTTTTTAATTTATTTTTGAGACAGAGTCTGGCTCTGTCGCCCAGGCTGTAGTGCAGTGGCATGATCTTGGCTTACTGCATCCTCTGCCTCCTGGGTTCAAGCGATTCTCCTGCCTTAGTCTCCTGAGTAGCTGGGATTACAGGCACGGGCCACCATGCCCAGCTAATTTTTGTATTTTTAGTAGAGATGGGGTTGGCCAAGCTGGTCGTGAACTATTGACCTCAAGTGATCCTCCTGCCTCAGCCTCCCAAAGTGCTAGGATTACAGGAGTGAGCCACCATGCCTGGCCACATGCGTGTTTTTTATTGAATCATTTGAAAGTACTCAGCTCGTATCATGACCCTTCACCCCCACATACTCCAACAAGCATCTCTAAGAAAAAGGACATTCTCCTAACCACAGTGTCTCTGCATTCCCAGGACATTCTTCTAACCACAGCGTCACTGCATACCCAAGAGGTTAGCACCGATACAGTAATAACATCTTGTGTAAAACTTCCCAAAATGCTCCCAAGTGTCCTTTATGACAGTTTAAAAAAAAATGGCATTTTTTGGGATCCAGGAACCAATTAACGATTACTCAATTGAATTTGGTTTCAAAGTCACATACCTCAACTTTTCCTTTAATCAAGAACAGCCCCCCTGCCTTTTACACATTTTTTTGTCTTTCGTGACCGTGTCATTTTTGAAGAAATCAGGCCCGTTGTCTTGTAGAACTGGTGTTTCTCAAGTGTGCTTGGGAGGGTCTTGGTAAAATGCACATTCTGATTCTGGAGAACAGGGTGGAGCCTGGGAATCTGCATTTCCAGCCAGCATCCCGGTGATGCCAGTGCAGCTGGTCTTCGGCTGTAGAATGTTCCACATTCTAGGTCTGTCTGTTTCCTTGTGATTAAATTCAAGTTGAATATTTTTGGCTAGGGCACTTCCTGAGGTCATAGGTACTTCCCACTGCCTCACAGCACAGGCTCACAATCTCAGTTTGTCCTGTTACTTCGTGGTGCTAAGTGTGGTCACCTGCTTCAAGTGGTGTCCGCCTGCTCTCTGTTGAAACAATACCTTTCTCCTAGTATAATGATTAGGTAACCTGTGATTGTAATTGGTAAGTAATCTTTGAGACTACATGAATATCCTGTTCCCCAGCAGTTTTCACTCATTGGTGAACTGTTTTGGGAAAAATAATAGCATCTTACAGTTATAATACCCTGCTGGTAACACATGGCTCTTACATAATCAGCAGTTAATTGTTTGTATGTGTGTTAATTTTTATTTTTAAAATGTAACTAGTGACTGGTAACTCTCATTTGTATTTTAAACATTGGCTTTTACAGCTTCTCAGTACATTTCACTCTGTGTATGTTTTTGGTAGAGCATTTGTTGTCCTGTATAATGGTTTAGGAAATCCTATAGGCCAAATGAAGGGCTGGAGACTCACCTGTGTTCCCACCACTGTGTTTCACTGTGTATTGCCAGAGAAAATACAGTTAAATTTGAATTTCAGATAGACAATGAATAACTTTTTAGTATAAGTATGTTCCAAGTGTGGCAGACAGCTCTCACAAGTTACAAGTCGTTGCGTAGGACATACCTATGCTAAACGATTTGATGTTTATCTAAATTAATATGTAACTGATATCTTGTATTTTTATTTGTACGATCTTCCAAGCCCACGTCCCACCGCCTTCTCGGGGATGGCCACCATTTGTGTTTGCTGCCTGGTGGTGTTTGCAGCTGCGAGAAGGGCCTTGGAGGAGGAGCAAAGTGTAGTGGTATCTCCGTGCTGTGGCCTTGGGCACTGGGGTGGGGGTTAGATGAGTAATTAGCTGAATATGACCTCACCCATGAAGAATGTGCCCTTGCTAGGTATTAGCAGAGGTTTAGGCTCCAGGGAGCCATTGTCAGAAGCTTGTCAGTGATGTCATCAGCTGGAAGGGCCAGCTTTCAGGCCTCAGGAAAAAGCTTGAAAGTCAGGGCTCCAGTTTTGGTAATAAATGGGAATGGAGTTTCACAGGTAGGGTGTGGAGGAATTTATTGTGACAGGAAGCCTGATGGAGCCTCTTGCCTGTGTGCAGCCCCCAGCCAGGTTTCTGAGTTCTGATGAACTACCAGAAACTTCCACCACGGCCTGTGATTACACTGTTGGCCCAATGCCCTGGAAAAATTGGCTTGCTCTCGGGGAACACTCCAGGAGCTGCAAAGGGGGTGTCAGGACTGTTGTGCAGCTCCCCTTAAATTGGGGAGGAGGGGTGGCTGATGTGGAAACTGTTCATTAGACTGCTCAGGGTAGTGTGAGAAAACGTGTAATCTGTGGGCATCTACCCCTAGCTGCCCCTCTGATCTCACCCACTACTGTGGGAGGACCCCGTGGATGGGGGCAGAGGAGGGTCTTCTGGATTTAGACACTCACAAAACTTCCTTTTACCTTGTTCATTGGAAGAAATAGAAAATGCCTTTTTTTTTTTTTTTTTCTTTTTTTTTGAGACAGAGTCTCGCTCTGTTGACAGGCTGGAGTGCAGTGGCATGATCTTGGCTCACCGCAACCTCTGCCTCCCGGGTTCTAACAATTCTCCTGCCTCAGCCTCTGGAGTAGCTGGGACTACAGCCACGTGCCACCACACCCAGCTAATTTTTGTATTTTTAGTACAGACGGGGTTTCACCATGTTGGCCAGGACGGTCTTGAGCTCTTGACCTCGTTATCCACCCGCCTCGGCCTCCCAAAGTGCTGGGATTACAGGCGTGAGCCACCATGCCTGGTCTCTTTTTCATTTTTAAAGGGTAATTTGCTGTGCAGGAGTGGGCTCTCAGACCAGAAGTGGGGACCTGAATGAAATCAAGGACTGAGTATGGTAACTACAGCCATTTAATTTTATTTGAAGTCTCCCGTAAAATGTTCTGGAAAAAACAGGGGTTCCAGGGCTGGGTGGGCAGTTTCAATCATGGACTGGATTTTGTGGTTCAGATTTCTCTGGGCCTGTTGGAGGTTCCCCTTAAGCAATTACCCAAGGCAGTTCTGCCCAGCTGAAGTACTGATTACCTGCACACTATACCAGTGAGGACTCATGGGTGAGCAGATGGGAGGCACTGAGCTTGATTCTGAAACCCTGGCCTCCATCCCACCTGACATTCAATGTCAGATTAGAATTTGGAAGACCCTAAGTCTCCAGATTGGTGCACTGGGTAGCTCCTGAAATGGGGTGGCTGAGACAGGTCCTCTGTGCCCCCTTCCACAGCTTCCTCTGGGGCCCTTCTGCTCACTGGCATGTGCTTCTGGGCAAATAGGCCTCTCCCAGCATTTGTTTTGGCTCTGTGAAATGGGGTAATATTTGTTCCTATTGCGGGTGAAGCGCTGCTGTTGGGATGCTCAGGTAACTCACTCCGTGGGTAGCTGATATTGCCTGGGCAAGTGGCATTTTAGAGGAAATCTGTGCCATCAAAAGAGTTGGACCTGATCACACTTTTGCTTTTGAATATGCTTTGTCCCAGCCTGGCCATTCGTCACTTGGGACCCCCTGAGTCTCTCTGACCCCACTGTAAAATGGATATGCCATGGAGTTGTCCCAGGAATCAAGGGCAGGTCCTCTCCAGTGAGTGATGGGCTTGCCTCTCACTTCTCTAACACCCTTCTGCTTCCTTGTGTAAGATTTCACTATTAGTGGCTATTCTCTTTTACAGAAGAAAAAGGGAGACGCATGCCTCTTCCAGTTCACTGTTCACCATTGCAGCATATTTATTCCAAGGGACTGGCCGAATCATCCCTTTCTTTGTTAGAATGTGGTTTTGTTGCCTTGAGACAAGTGGCCCGCATGTCTGCACTGAAGGAGGCTTTGCGCAATAGCCTTGGGCACCTCCGGTTCTGCAAGCATGTACAGTACTTGCTCTCCTTTCCCTTTCTTTGTATACTTTTTCTGGTCTGCTACGTGTCCATCTGCATGTGGATAAAGGGTCGTCGTCTTGAGTAGTGATTTTGCTGTGATGTGATTCCTGTGAGGTCTAGTTGCACACAGTGATTCCGAAGGTAGACCCAGCTGGAAAGCTTTTAAATTGCTGATACTCCAGCCCCACTCCCCAAGAGATGCTGATTTTGTTTTGTTTTGGGGAGGGCAGTTTTTTTGGGTTTTTTTTTTAAGCTTTTTGATGTGTAGCCAGGGTTGAGACTGAAGTGATTTTTGTGAGTAACGGAGAAGTGTTAAGGCTTGAGAAGTTGGAAGAGCCATGCTTGAGATAGGACCAAGGTCATATCCCCGGCATTAGCACAGAGCAACCCTGACCTGTTGGAGAGTTGGGCTGGATGGATGCGGTCAGGGGAGAGACTCGCTTTATTTTATTTATTTAGAGATACAGTTTCACTCTTGTCACCCAGGCTGGAGTGTAATGGCACGATCTCGGCTCACTGCAACCTCTGCCTCCTGGGTTCAAGTGATTCTCGTGCCTCAGCCTCCTGAGTGGCTGGGACTCCAGGCACGCGCCGCCACACCCTGCTAGTTTTTGTGTTTTTACTAGAGACAGGGTTTCACCATTGTTGGCCAGGCTGGTCTTGAACTCCTGACCTCAGGTGATCCGCCCACCTCGGCCTACCAAAGTGCTGGGATTATGGGTGTGAGCCACTGTGCCCAGCCTCGACTCGCTTTATTATATCCACACTTGGAATACAATTCGGATTGATTGTAGTGGGGCATTTTATAATTAGGAAAAATTAATCAGGAAAAATCACTCCATGTAGATTAGTACCACCATATGAGGGGACAAGAATTTCTTCAGATTAGGAACTTCTTCCAACAGGACTGACAGGGTCCAAAACTACTCTTGGATCCAGCTTTAAGATGGACCCAGCCCACTGTTGAGTCCCCTCTGAGGTCTTCTCTCTGTGGATGGATTTGATTGTTAACAATGGCTGAGTCATGTGGCACCCAGCCCGGTGAGTAAGACAGCTGAGTAAGAGGGGAAACAGGGCCTTTGGTCAGAAAAACCAGACTGACTTCAGTCTTATCTGTTTAGAGAAGCCCCAGAAGCTGCAAAAATTGCAGCTTCCAGACTTTAGTGTGCCGTGGTCATGACATCGGTGTGGATGGCAGGTTGTCATCTGAGCAGTCAGGGTGGCAGCACACAGCTTGCGGGCTGGCTGATGGCCGAGGTGTGTGAACTGACCTGCCCCAAGTGACTTCAGTGCTGGGCACAGCATAGGAGCAGTACTAATGATATGGACAGTATGCTCAGAGGACGTTAGGGAGCACAGCTTTGTGTAAAGGGCATGCCCTGCCCTGTCCGGATTTAAAGCAGCTATAGCACTGAAACCCCATGGTCACCCTCGCATTTCTACACTTCTGCCTGTGCCAAGTCTAGTTTGTGTGCCTCCTCCATTTTGTGTGTACATGGGGGTATTTTTTTCTGCTAGGCAACTGCTATTTATGCCTCTCAGTACTGTACTTAGTGTGTACCATTCCTGCAAGGTATAGACATTGTCAGCCCATTTTACAGATGAGGAAAATGGAGTTTTTGAGAGGGTGAGATCATTCAGTGGCAGAATGGAATGTTAACCCAGGTAGTCTAACCTCTCTGCTGTAGATCTGATGTCCATTTGAACTTTAGACTTCCCATCTGTGTCTACAGTCTAGCCCTTAAAAAATGTGATAAACAGGTTTTTAGGTAAGTCTGTTAATTTCAGAAAGACATTATTATTATTTTTTAGAAAGTTAGAGCTTATGTTAGGGCTCAGTCTATCCTCCTGCCTCAGCTGCCTGAATAGCTGGGACTGCAGGCACATGCCACCATGCCTGGTTAATTTCTGTGGTATACATCATTGATTACTGAGAAGTCACAGTCCGTTGTTAAATAACTGAGCTATTCATAGCCAAATCATTTTTAAAAACACAAATATAAGCAAAAACAAAACATTTATTTATTTATTTATTGAGACGGAGTCTCGCTGTCACCCGGGCTGGAGTGCAGTGGCGCTATCTCAGCTCACTGCAACCTCTGCCTCCTGGGTTCAAGTGATTCTTCTGCTTCAGCCTCCCCAGTAGCTGGGACTACAGACACCCACTACCATGCCCGGCTAATTTTTTTTTTATTTTTAGTAGAGACAGGGTTTCACTGTGTTAGTCAGGATGGTCTTTATCTCCTGACCTTGTGATCTGCCCGCCTCGGCCTCCCAAAGTGCTGGGATTACAGACGTGAGCCACTGTACCTGGCCCAAACATGTGGTTTTTTTAAATGAAAGTGTGTTCATTTTACAAACAGTGCATTCTTACTAATTTTACAGGCCCTGTGCTAGGGACATGGCCTCGTCTTCCGCTATCTTAGAGTGAAGAAGTAAAGACAGAGAAAGTGTTCACAAGTTGCTGCACAAGTCTCATTGCAGTGCCTCCCAGAGGCGCGAAGAGCAACACCTTTCACCTGGGCTGTCCTAGAAGGCCCGTGGCAGGGTGGGGTTGGTGAACACTGGGGCTTAAGGGGGTGAATTCAGAAGACAAAGGACCTTCTGGGCAAAGAAGGGCCCAGTAGTGGGAAGTGCAGGAGTGTGAGAGTGCCTGGAATTGCCCACTCACTGGCTCTGGAGCTTGGTGCTGAGTGCTTGGGAAGTGTTGGGAGGATCAGTTATATTGCTGGCTGGGTTCTAAAGAACCTCCAAAGTTTACATAAAAGTTACCTTTGATTTGACTGTTCTACCCTCCAGTCACGTGGCTAAATTAATTAAATCAAATTTAAAATTAAGCTCAGCCATACCAAGTATATCCAGTGTTCAATAGGTACATGTGGCTTGTGGCTGATGCACTGGACAGTGTACATATAAAACATTTCCATCGTTGCAGAAACTTCTATTGAACAGCAGTTGTATTAGTCCGTTCTCAACACTGCTGTGAAGAAATACCTGAGACTGGGTAATTTATAAAGGAAAGAGGTTTAATTGATTCCCAGTTCCACAGGGCTGGGGAAGTCTCGGGAAACTTACAATCATGGCAGAAGGGGAAGCAAACATGTCCTTCTTCACATGGAGGCCGCAGCAAGGAGAAGTGCAGAGAGAAGAGGGGGAAAAGCCCCTTATAAAACCATCAGATCTTGTGAGAACAGCAGCATGGGGGTAACCATTCCCCTGATTCAATTACCTCCCACCAGGTCCCTCCAATGACCTGTGGGGATTATGGGAACTACAATTTAAGATGAGATTTGGGTGGGGACATAGCCAAGCCACATCAGTGTTGTTACACACCACAGTGGTGCTGTGGTGTGTAGGTGGGAAAACTATGGCATGGGGGCCATATCTGGTCCTCTGCCTATTTTTATAAAGTTTTATTGGAACATAGGCCACACTCATTTATTTATGTACTGTCTATGGATGCTTTCACACTGCAACAATAGATCCAAATAGTTGCAAAGAGACTGTGTGGCCCACAAAACCTAAATATTTACTATCCAGGCCAGGCATGGTGGCTCATGCCTGTAATTCCAGCACTTTGGGAGGTTGAGGTGGGCAGATCCCTTGAGGTCAGGAGTTCAAGACCATCCTAGCCAACATGGTGAAATCCTGTCTCTACCAAAAATACAAAAATTAGCTAGGCTTGGTGGTGCTTGCCTGTAATCCCAGCTACTTGGGTGTCGAGACACGAGAATTGCTTGAACCCAGAAGGCAGAGGTTGCAGTGAGCTGGGATCATGCCACTGTACTCCAGCCTGGGTGACAGAGTGAGATTCTGTCTCTCAAAAAAAAAAAACTTACTCTTTGGCCCTTTATGGAAAGTTTGCTGACCTCTTCTGTAGATGGTAGGGTACGGTAGAAGGTGTTCAAGCCAGGAGTAACATGAATGATTGTATTTATGGCCTAAGAGGATAACTCGTGGTGGTGGGCGGGCCATATTTGTGGAGAGACCCATTTTCAGTGACTTCCAAGAGTCTGCGTGAGAGATGACTGAGGTCTTGCCCTGGCAGGAATGGTTCCATTAATCTGTGTCTCATTTGACAAATGAGGAACTACAAATGGGAACAGTTTAAGATGAGATTTGGGTGGGGACACAGCCAAACCACATCAGTGGTGCTAATAGACAGTGGTGCTGTGGTGTGTAGTAGGGAAAACTATGGCCTGTGGGCCAAATTTTGAAGTCCTTTTACTTTTTGGTTCTAAAAATTATTAATTGTAGCCAGAGTTGTTAACTTAATATGTCTTGGACCCCTTGGGCTCTCTGAAGACTGTACTCTTTCTTTCCACTTAATAATATACATGGAATTGCAAAGGAAACCAATGATATTGAAATAGATATCAGAAATAAAATTTTTAGATATAGCAATAAATGCACATCTGTATTAAAATGTGTAATAACAAGATCTAACAGTGAGTCTAAGAACTACTATAATTATCATGTAGCAATGGCATAAAGGATAGTTTGTGCTATCTAAAACAGTCAATGACAGGAGAAAATCTGATTTCTTTGGTGATAAAACGACAGGTGCTGCTAATACACCTGTGTTTTATGGTCTTCGTTTGTAATGAAAAGAAATGCCATTAATAAATTTTATTTATTTATTTATTTATTTATTTATTTATTTTTTTTTTTTTTGAGGTGGAGTCTCACTCTGTCGCCCAGGCTGAAGTGCAGTGGCATGATCTCGGCTCACTACTACCTCCTCCTCCTGGGTTCAAGGGATTCTTCTGCCTCAGGCTCCTGAGTAGCTGGGATTACAGGCGCCCACCACCATGCCAAGCTAATTTTTGTATTTTTAATAGAGGTGGGGGTTTCACCATGTTGACCAGGCTAGTCTCGAACTCCTGACCTTGTGATCTGCCTACCTCGGGCTCCCAAAGTCCTGGGATTACAGGTGTGAGCCACCGCACCCGGCCAGATGCTGGGATGTTTTTTAAGACCTTAGACCCTAAGCCTATCATATCAAATACAATGAAACACACCCACTTTTCACACTTTAAAAAAAGTGTGTTGGTGTTTATTGCTGTAAAATAGTTTGAAACTTTTTAAAAAAAGTTTTGGTCTTGCTCATACTTGTGTTTTAAAAAAGTATTTGGCTATGACTAACTCAGTTATGTATTTATTTATTTATTTTTGAGACGGAGTCTCGCTTTGTTGCCCAGGCTGGAGTGCAGTGGCATGACCTCGGCTCACTGCAGTCGCCGCCTCCTGGGTTCAAGCCTCAGCCTCTCGAGTAGCTAGAATTACAGGCGTGCTCCACCATACCCAGCTAATTTTTGTATTTTTAGTAGAGATGGGGTTTTACCATATTGGTCAGGATAGTCTTGATCTCCTGACCTCCTGATCTGCCTGCCTCGGCCTCCCAAAGTGCTGGGATTACAGGCGTGAGCCACCACGCCCTGTGACTAACTCAGTTATTTAACAATTGACTGTAATTTCTCAGCAATCAGTGTATACTTGGAAATTCTTGGGATGTGAGAAAACTAACCTATAACTCATTTTCTTTTTTCTTTGAGGTGAGGTCTCTCTTTGTTACCCAGGCTGGCGTGCAGTGGCATGAACAGGGCTCACTGCAGCCTTGACCTCCTGGGCTCAATCCTCCCACCTCAGTCTCCTGAGTAGCTGGGACTACTGGCACGTGCCACCATGCCTGGTTAATTTTTGTATTTTCTGTAGAAATGGGGTCTCACTGTGTTGCCCAGGCTGATCCTGAACTCCTGAGCTCAAGCAATCCACCCACTTTGGCCTCCCAACATACCGGGATTACAGGCATGAATGAGCCACCATGCCTGGCCTGCAACTTCTATAAATAGCAAAGTTAGTAATTAGTGAAGATGATGGTTTGCAAGCACTGAATTATACTTCTATTAATTTCATTTCCTTTCAATTTTCTAATGTTTTGTGCCCAATCTGTCCTGTCTGCCTCTACCTAGCTTTAGAAGTGTTTTGTTGGTTCCTGAGATGGAGCTGTGCCTGAAGGGTATGAGGTTACCCTCTGGGTTCAGCGGGGAGATTTGGGAAGAGTTTTGATTTGTAGGCCAGTAAAGGGGCCTGACATTAGATGATGGCTGCTGGGCTAGGGAACAACTTAGAGGCAGCTAACAGGATTCAGGGAGAGTGGATTTGGTGGGAGAGAGTAGTCTAGGATGAATCCAATTGGGTTTTTATGAGTAGTTTGGTAGTTGGTTGACTGGGTGGGTGGTCCCTTGGTAATTATTTGTTGATTAGTGGTTGTTGGGTTAGGTTGGTTACACTTACATTATAGTCGATGGAATCTCAGATTTGGATCTAATACCACATGTAAGTCGAGTGGATTTTTTTTTGAGACAGAGTTTTGCTCTTGTTGCTCAGGCTGGAGTGCAGTGGAACAGTCTCAGCTCACCACAACCTCCGCCTCCCAGGTTCAAGCGATTCTCCTACCTCAGCCTCCCGAGTAGCTGGGATTACAGGCATGCGCCACCACGCCGGGCTAATTTTGTATTTTTAAGAGTTGGGGGTTTCACCATATTGGTCAGGCTGGTCTCGAACTCCCGACCTCAGGTGATCCGCCTGCCTTGGCCTCCTAAAGTGCTGGCATTACAGGGGTGAGCCACTGTGCCTGGCCAGTTGAGTGGATTTTTTTAGCACTCAAGCTTCGTGGCTCATTGCTATTATTGTGCATGTGAGCGTTTTATCTTTCAGTAGCATTAGGGATGCTACTTGGATGTGTTTTAGTTATTACAGAAATAGTTTTTACTAACTTTTACTAAGTTATCTTTCCTCTCCTGTGTAGGAAGTTTAGAGTGAAGCGGCAGTTGGCTGGAGGTTCTGAAGGTTTCCCCCTTTCACATAATTTGATGTTCCAGTTGCCCACATCAGGACGACTCCCTCTCTTTCTACTGATGTAAGCAGTGGGCCAAATTATGGGGCTCCATCCCTGCATCTTCCTACTTGTCTAAATCTTCGTCACAGACAACATATTGCTCTAAAGGAAACCTAGAAAGGAGGAGAAGCTGGTTTTCGCCCAAATTCCTCAAAATCATCGCCTGTTGTTTAAGAATTACAGTTTGCACTGGAACAATAAGATGTTCCTTAATGTGGTTTTTAAGTGAGTTGGTTGTCGCCTGAATTTCATAAACACTGGCTAAGGATTGTGCAAAAGGGTGTGCTTCCCTTTAGCATCCTTAATTAGGGACAGCGTTTTGAAAACTGCTTTTTATTGTCCTTTATCTGCAAAACTTCTTGAATCCAAATAGCGAGATTCTCATTTCTTAATCACTGCCACAGAAAGTTGTAGATTAGAGAAAGCTCCAATTCCTTATTTCCTGTCTTCCTTTCTTTCTGTGTGTTTATTGCCTGTGTCTCATCCTCACTCCTGCCAGTTTTATAGAATGTAACCTCCCAGCCTCTGGGAATGTTTGGGAGACTTGTTCATAGAGGATCTGAAGAGCAGTTTAAAGTGGACTTACCCAAACTATCTTCTGGAGAACATTAGTCTCTTTGGAGATAAAATTTTTAAACATCCGCTAGTCCAATAGTGTTGGCAAATTCCCTGTGACACTGTAGCCCTCTCTTTGAGATTGTCAATGTACGTTGGCATGTTAAAGGCTCTGAGAAGTCCTGCAGCAGTTAAAAAATTGTTTAGTCTAGTGTGCCCCCAGTTGTTTGGCCACTGAAACCCCCTTTTCTGGAAAAACCAGCTAACATCTGGTAGTCTTTTCTAAGAGGTGGTACTGAAGATGATACTCATGTTACACATTTAAAAATTCTAACATGTGTTTTTCATGTGTTTATAAAATGCAACTAATGTATCAAACCTGTGATTTCCAGGACATAATTACTTAAGCTAAGGAAAAAAGAAAACATGAGTGAAGGAAAAACTTTAGTAAATAGGCCAGGTGGTAAGAGGAGAGAGCCTTGTCTGTGAGTGTGGTCTAGGGGGATGCTGGACCTAGCTTTTCAGAGCTAGGTTCAGGCAGAGCTGCTCTGAGATGTAGACACTGCAGCTGGGGTTCTTGTTGAGCCGGGAAGCAGCTTCTGACTAAGGTGCAGACTGTTTAGATGAGCTGGTCATAAAGAGCCCTGACTGTGGACTGCGTCTCCAGCCACGGCAGCAGCTGGTGGATGGGGTGATGCCTTGGATATTTATCGTGTGTTTCTTGCCTGGCCTGCCCTTGGACAGTGCGCCTCAGGAATGTTAGAATGTGTTCCCCCTTTAGCAGCAAAGCCGATCTGCTGTGTACTTGTTCTGTTTATCTTACTGCCACGACCGTTTATCACGGGCCAGAGTTCAGGGGCACACTGATAAATCTCTTTTAGGAGGATGATGTAACCCTCAGCATTTTCCCCCTACTTGGTTCTGAGTTTTTAAAGCTTTTGTAACACCATCATGTCCTTGTTTGGGCATCTTCCTGTGTACTCCCGTTTGGGTCTCCAGGGTGAAATAGCCAACAGTGGATTCTGGAGTCATGGCCTGGGTTCAAATTCCTGCTCTGCTGCTTATCAACTCTGACTTTGGGTTTAATTGACCTATTCATTATTTTTCTTAATCTGGAAAATGGAGCCAACAGCAGTTCCTCATAAAGCAGCTGTAAGGATTCAGGGGGGTAACTGCACAGGGCCAAGCCCTCAGGTTTCACCTCTCACTGGGAGGTCGGACCTCTGCATAATGGACAAGCTCTCCTAGGGTGCAAGTGAACGGGGGCGCAAGGGAGTTAGGAAGGTGGGTGTTTTTTGTTTTTGTTTTTTGGTGGCTTGAAAAACATGCCCAAGGCTGGGTGTGGTGGCTCATGCCTGTAATTCCAGCACTTTGGAAGGCAGAGGCGGGAGCATTGTTTGAGCCCGGGAGTTTGAGATCAGCCTGGGCAACATGGTGAGACCCTGTCTCTCTTTTTTTTTTTTTTTTTTTGAGATGGAGTCTCGCTCTGTTGCCCAGACTGGAGTGCAGTGGCGCAATCTCAGCTCACTGCAACCTTCACCCCCAGGTTCAAGTGATTCTCCTGCCTCAGCCTCCCAAGTAGCTGGGATTACAGGCGTGTGCCATTGTGCCCAGCTAATTTTTGTGCTTTTAGTAGAGATGGGGTTTTGTCATGTTGGCCAGGCTGGTCTCGAACTCCTGATCACAGGTGACCCATCCACCTTGGCCTCCCAAAGTGCTAGGATTATAGGCGTGAGCTACTGTGCCTGGCTGACCCAAAAAATTAGCTGGGCGTGGTGGCACACACCCCTGTAGTCCCAGCTACTTGTGAGGCTGGGGCAGGAGGATTGCTTGAGGCCAGCCTGGGCAACAGAGCAAGACCTTGTCTCAAAAAAAAAAAAAAAAAAAAAAAAAAAAAAGAAAGAAAGAAAAGAAAAGAAAAGAAAAGAAAAACATGCCCAAAGGCAACCAAATGACTCCATCTTTTGCAATGTAATCTTCAACATCGACTCCTCTGGCAAGCTGTTTGGAAATGGCAAAGTCCATCTCCTGAGGCTGGGAGATTGCTTGTCCAGGACGGGTGTGTCTGGTGAGGAATGGAAGGCATTTGGATGGCCACTGAGAAAGCTGAGCCAAGGAGCATCAGAAAGACAATCAGGCAAACCCACAGAGTCTCCAGGTATTCCTTTGCTGATAGGTAACATTGCACTAGCGATTTAAACAAACAGGTGAAAGGCCATTGCCCTACCACCCCACCTCACCTCTATTCCTTGCTGCTCTTTCCAGAAGCAACTGCATGGTCTGGGAACAGTTTTTTGTCTTGTCAAGAGACAGTCTGTACATAGATGAATTCAATTATATTACTTCTGTAGTACCCTGTACTCAAATTTGAACCTGTCATACACATTGCTTTTATCATTTCATAATACCTGTTGATTTTCCCACGTTAGTACCTATAGATCCTGACAAGCAATTTTGTTAAGATGAAGAGTTCTTCATATGTATTGTACTATGTTTCTTTTTTTGATGATGTATGTCAAGATTTATTATAAAAGTAACAGATGGGTAGGGCATGGTGGCTCATTCCTGTGATCCCAGCACTTTGGGAGACCGAGATGGGAGGATTGCTTGAGCCCGGGAGTTTAAGACAAGCCTGGGAAACCTGGCGAAATCCTGTCTCTACAAAAATTACGAAAATTAGCCAGGCATGGTGGTGACTGTCCCAGCTACTTGGGACCCAAATGTCCCAGATACTCAGGAAGCTGAGTCGGGAGCCTGATCCTCAGAGGTCGAGGTTGCAGTGAGCCGTGATTGCACCACTGCACTCCAGCCTAGGTGACAGAGTGAGACCCTGTCTCCCCCTGGCCTCCAAAAAAAAAAAAAAAAGTAACATATGTAGTTTAAATTTTAAAAATTAAATTTTTGGGGGGGCTGGGTGTGGTGGCTCATGCCTGTAATCCCAGCACTTTGGGAGGCCAAGGTGGGCAGATCACCTGAGATCAGGAGTTCAAGACCAGCCTGGCCAACATGGTGAAACCCTGTCTCTAGAAAAACACAAAAATTAGCTGGGCATGATGGGGGGCGCCTGTAATCCCAGCTACTTGGGAGGCTGAGGTGGGAGAATCGCTTGAACCTGGGAGGCGGAGGTTGCAGTAAGCCGAAATCATGCCACTGCACTCCAGCCTGGGTGACAGAGCGAGACTCCATTAAAAAATAAAAATAAAAAATCAAGCAATGCAGAATAAATAACAACAATAAAATGAAAGCCCATCTTCCACCATCAGCTTCTTAGTTTTCTTCCTAGAAGGAGCCAGTGAGGACAGTTTGGTGTTTATGCTTCCAGATCTTTCTGTTCAGATGCAGTCATGACTTCTGAAAAACAGGATTGTACAATTCATACTTTTCTACAAATTATCCCCTTCCCTTAATACATCATAGAAGCCTATTCATATTGGAACAAACAAACATTTCTTATTCTTTTCACAGCACCCTGTTTTCCTCTTGCTTGAATGTAAAGTTTATTTAACCACTTACTGTCAGGGAGGCATTTGTTTTCAGTTCTCCCTCCCTCCCCCCACCAGTTGTCTTGTAATGAACTGCTTTAATGGCTAAAGATCACTTTAATATCAAAACCTCCCCCACCTCCCATTAGAAAAAGAAATCATGTTAGGGAACTTCAAATTGAATTTACGGACCTTGTGTTTAATTTTCTATCAGCAGTGGCCCCAGCCTGGCCCCTGCAGACTGCCCCGGAATCTGTGGGAGGAGTTGGGGTGGCCTGCAGACTAGAGCACACTGCCAGTTCATTCAGCAGCTCACCGAGCAAGAAACATCTTGATTCTATCAGCCTTAATGCTGTGTCCCATTAGGGACCCAGCTCTTGTGGTCATTAGCAGATGGAATGCTCATCTGTGCTAGAAGGCGGAATTCTAGGGCATTCGGCTCTGAGCAGTCTTGAACCAGAATTGAATGGCTTGAATCCTTTTCACAATGCCAACGGGGAGGCACCCTTAGCTCCCAAACTTGTGTGTGTTATAATACTATGGTAGTAATAACAGTGGTTGTAGTAGCCCCCGTGAATTTGATGGGACAGTCGTCAGGCAGTGCTGCTTGCTTGCTTTACTCCATCGTATCACCGCAGCCTGATGAGGCGAGGGAGTTACGACTCTCATTTTGCAGGTGAGGACACTGAGCACAGGGAATCGACCCACTCATGGTCACACAGCTTGCCAAGTCGCTGTGCTTGGGAGGTGAACCAGGCTTCTCTGACGCCCCAGCAGGACGTCTGAACTTCTAGCTGCCCCATCACTAACTGACTTAATGCCCCTGACTCCTGGGTGACTTGGCCACCAGTTACTTCAGCCAGCGACCTGCCCTTTCTTTGAGTGGGTTCCACCCATCCCTGCACCATGCCTTTTACTTTGGATGTTGGTGGCATGGAATTCCACCCGTAAGAAGGAGGTCGGTCCCTGGGCTGAGAGAGTTTGCAGAGAGCTCTGTTGGGATTGGGTGGGACGTGTGTTTGGAGGCCTCCTCACATAATTGTGGGCTGAAAGGTCCAGATTTGGGGATATAAAGTTGAGCCGTCAGCTGAGCTAAAGACAGGGCACAGGGAGGAGCCATCCAGAAAGTGTCAGTGTAGGTAAAGCAGGCAGAGTTCCCCCTATCTGTCCTCTGAGGGCCTCCTTTCTTGTGGTTTCCTCCCTTTTCTGTGGTGATGGTCAGAGCCAGCGGTTATAAATTATTTGGAATTTTCCTCAGCTTGGTTCCTACTCAAGACTTTAAATTAGGAGTTTTGTTCCCTTTTATGACTTCACAATCTTTGGGCAGGCTGCCATCTCTACAGCAGGCTAATATGAGTTGTAACTTGAGGTGAGTTACAGGGGAAAAATGGAAGCTGATTTCTCCCCTTTTAAACCAAGGAAGCCACCTTGATCTGACTTTGTAACAAAGCTCAACTTTTGTAAGTTTGCAATTAAAGGATAAATACCTATCCTATTTATTATTATTATTAACTTTTTATTATAAAAGGGGAAAAAACTCCCAGGAAACATAGCCTAATATGAGGGACAAAAAGCCAAAAGGTTTTTTTTTTCTTCCTTTAAAAGGTCCTCAATGTCTTGCCCTGTGGAGACACCAGTTTTCATTATAATAACGCCATTATCTCTTTGTAGAGTCATTTCAAGCCAATTTAACTTTCTCATTTAAAAGTATAATTGGTATTCAGCACAGAGCTGGGAGCTCAGTAGGCAGTTAGAAAATATGTGTATATTTTTTGAGACGAAGTTTCACTCTTGTCACCTAGGCTGGAGTGCAGTGGTGCGATCTTGGCTTACTGCAACCTCCACCTCCCGGGTTCAAGCAATTCTCCTGCCTCAGCCTCCCAAATAGCTGGAACTACAGGCACTCACCACCACGCCCAACTAATTTTCGTATTTTTAGTAGAGATGGGGTTTCACCATGGCTGGTCTCAAACTCCTGAGTTTCGCCAGGCTGGTTTCAAACTCCTGATTTCAGGTGATCTACCTGCCTTGGCCTCCTAAAGTGCTGGCATTATAGGCATGAGCCACAGCACCTGGCTGGCAGTTAGGAAATATTTATTGAATATGAGAAAAGAAAAATAGAGCAAATTGAATCTTCAAGTAGTATGTGAGTAACTCTAATTCCTGTTTTCTGGAAAACACACAGGCTGATAGGTTTGGGTAAATAAGAGCAGAGCTGCATCTTCTCTCAAGTTCCCTGATTCCCTCAAGGAGTTACCTGAGAATAGCTCTGTGCCAAGCAGTGCGGCATGCATAGGGGACCTCTTGAATGGAGGGACAGTCCATTATCATTAGAATCCCCAGTTCCAGCCAGGTGCAGTGGCTCATGCCTGTAATCCCAGCACTTTGAGAGGCCAATGTGGGCAGATTGCTTGAGTTCAGGAGTTCAAGACTAGCCTGGGCAACATGGCAAAACCTTGTCTCCCCCCGCCACACACACACCACACAGACACACAGACACACACACACTGGCTAGGCGTGGTGGCAGGTGTCTGTAGTCCCAGCTACTTAGAAAGCTGAGGTAGGAGGATTGCTTGAGACTTGGAGGTCGATACTGCAGTGAGCTGTGATCGTGCCACTGCACTCCAGCTTGGGTGACAGAGCAAGACCCCGGACCCTGTCTCAAAAAAAAAATTCCCCAGTTCTCAGGGTGTGGTAGAGGCCGAGTCAGTCATGGCTGAGACAAGGGGACTGTGCTCTGTGTGCTTCTGTGCCCTGTGTTTATATGGTTCATACGCTGCCTGTCCACCATGTTTTTCCCGAGAGCCTCGGCAGCGCAGGCATCATGGGAATGACTGAGTCAGGTGGAAATTCAGAGGCCCTGCCCTGGTGGGCAGAGAAGCCTGGCTTACCTCCCAAGCACAGCATGTGTGTGGATCACTTCTGTGCACTGTCTCCTCATCTCCAAAATGGGAGTCATAACTGAACTCACCTCATCAAGTTGTTATGAGATGATGTAGATTCAGCGAAGTAGCAAGAGTAGGAGTTTGGGCTTTGATAACAGAGAGAAGTGAGTTTCCATCTAGATTCTCCCCCTGTGTCACTTTTGGCAGTTGGCTTCACCTCTGTGGGCCTCTGTTATGTCATCTGTAAAATGGGATTAACCCTAAAAGCCACCCTCACAGGGTCATTGTGAGGATTGCACAAGGTGATGCAAGTGGCACAGGGTCTGGCCCAGGAGAGGGGGCTGGAAGAGAGCGAGCTGCCATTGTATTTTGGTTGCTGTGGATCTAAGGAGAAGAGATGTTTAGGAGTCTTTCCCTGGCATGGTTCCTCCTGCCTTCACCCATCACTCTTTTCCTCGAGGGATTCCCTGTGGGGTGCACAGCCCCAGGGTGGGCCAGACTGAGCTCACAGGAGCATGGGCTGTGTTTCAGGTGAGGTGGCCTCACCACATGACAAACTGAGCTGGAGTCAAAGGGTCACGAGGACCTCCATTCACAGCCAGCATTTATTATTTCAGCTGGAAATGTTTGCCGAGCAGTTGTAGCTGGAAGCTGTGAGCGAGACACAGACTGCCATCAGGCTGAGGCCTCCAGAGCTCATGCTGGGCTTTAACCTGAGCCTCTTGGGGGCTGGGCTCTGAGCTCCTCCACTTCTGCTCATGCCCAGGCGTCCTTGGGGGCCTTGAACTGTCAGTTGTCCAGGAGAACTGTGTGGCAGCAACAGAATGAGTTTGTATAGCAACCTGTTGCTTTGAGGTTTAAAACTTAGTTTAGAACGCAATTGCTTTGACCATTTTGGAGTGTCTATACTTTTTTTCTTCTTCTTTAAGTTTTCTTTTTTCTTTTTTTCTTTTTTTTTTTTTTGAGACAGAGTTTTGCTCTTGTTGCCCAGTGGCAACAAGAGTGCAATGGCGAAATCTCGGCTCACCACAACCTCTACCTCCTGGGTTCAAGCTATTCTCCTGCCTCGGCCTTCTGAGTAGCTGGGATTACAGGCGCCCGCCACCATGCCTGACCAATTTTTGTATTTTTAGTAGAGACGGGTTTCACCGTGTTCACCAGGCTGGTCTCGAACTCCTGACCTCAGGTGATTCATCTGCCTTGGCCTCCCAAAATGCTGGGATTACAGGCATAAGCCATCAAGCCCTGCTTTTTTGTTTCCCTTCTTCGACCTTTCTAACAAGAGGTTGGAATCCTCGTTTTGACTTTTAAAGGATTTCCCAGTGCTAGAAAGTGGTAAGATAGTTACTGTATCCTAGGCCCTTTAGCAGACCTGTCTCATTGATCATTTATTTAGTCCAGTGTGGCTTTGTTGTTGGATATTAAGTAATTCTCAAAATTTTACCTTTTCAAAAGTGGCATTGAAAATAAAGGCATTGGGTGATGAAAATGGAACTTTTAAATACAGTGATTCCTGTTAACCAGAAATAGGGTGTTTGGGATAATTTATGAAGCAGTACACCATCATAGATACTATGAGCTGAAAGTTCACCAAACTCTCTATCCCAAAATAACAATAAGGTATTTATGAAGTGATTCGTTCCAACTATTTGAGGCAAAAATTGTCCAGCAAGTGAGAGAGAACAGAAGGAATAGTTGGCAAAATAGGGAATTTGAAGTCTGAGGTTATGCATAAGGAATGTGTTATGGGCCTATAGTAGAAATCTCAAATCAGGGATTAGGGAATGTTTACTCAGTTCTGTTGCAGAGAAATCCTGGCCACGACTCCCCCATGCCATGCCCAGGGCAGGCATTGCTAATCTTCACTGCCTCCATTCTCCATGCCCTGTTCACGGAAGACATTTCTAATGCATTTTAGCAGTCTTTTTTTTTTTTGCTGAATCCAGATGTGGCCTCAGAATCCTTCTCAACACAGTGTACTAGCACCACTTGGTGCTCCTGATCTACTGTATCATCTCTTGAAAAACTACTAACATGAAAAGACCTGCCAAGTCAACTTTATATTAACTGAACCCTTGACACAGTGATGGATAAAAATTAATTCAAACAGCTTCTTTGTGATCTTTGAGTAGTTCATGAGCAAGAAAGAGAATTGGAAATCCAGCCAACTTCGGCCCCCTTGTCTACTTGTATTTTACTGTGGTTTATGTTTTCTCTTACCAATTGAGATAGGCCCATGAGACTTCTGGTCTTCCAAAGCCCAGAACATCCCCACATTATAGTTTAACCACTGTAACAAAGAGGTTTTTTTTGTTTGTTTTTTTGTTTTTTTTTTGTTTTTTTTTTGGGACAGAATCTCGCTCTGTCGCCCAGGCTGGAGTGCAGTGGCATGATCTTGGCTCACTGCAAGCTCCGCCTCCCAGGTTCACGCCATTCTCCTGCCTCAGCCTCCTGAGTAGCTGGGGTTACAGGCGCCCACCATCACGCCCGGCTAATTTTTTGCATTTTTTAATAGAGACGGGGTGTCTGGATCTCTGACCTCGTGATCCGCCCACCTCCGCCTCCCAAAGTGCTGGGATTACAGGCGTGAGCCACCACGCCTGGCCAGAGGTTTTCTTAAAAACAATAACAACAAAAACAGTTGTGGAAAGCATGTAGAGTGTGGGTTTTTTCGGTCTTCAGGTTGGCAGGGCATCTGATACTGGGACCCAGGTTCCTTCCCTCACCTTGCTGTGCCTCTCCTAGTGCAGGCCAAAGCCAGGTGACTGCGCTGTCTGGGCTCCTGGCTGGCAATCGGGGAAAGAGTGCATGGAGCAGGCATGCCCACTGTTCAGGTCCTGAAGCCGTGGCTCATTTCATATCATTTGTTGCTTATTTGAAAGACAGGCACAGCACTGACTTCCAGGGGAGGCTGACTGACCATCTAGGTGGAAGTTGCATGCCTGGGAGGGAGAAGGGGACAAAGGCCACAGATAGGCATCAGTTATCAGGGCCTTAAGTCTGCCTTGTTGGCATGCAGCCTTTTATTGGATCAAGGCCCTGGAGAAAAGCCCTGAGCAGGAGGAGATAAGCCAGCTTGGTCCCCTTCATCCTACCCAGGGGCCTCTGGGGTACCTGAGCCAAAGTGCACAGTTCATTGGCTGTGTGGATGGAAGGGATATGGGACTTGAAAATGGGACACTGGTCCTGGGCAGCTGACCGACATGGTCCTCCTTAACCTGCTGTCTGGGGAGATGGGTTGCATCTGGCTAGGTTTTGACTGAGGAACTGAGGAGAGCTGTCAGCTGTCCCCGCTTTGGTTCAGAATGCCCTTTTGTTTGGACAGCTGAAGCCTACAATTCAGCCATGGTTTGTTTGGGCTCAGAAAACAGGCAAGGATGGAGAGAAACTGCAAAGCTGACCTGGGCTGTCAGTGGGCACCAGGTCCTGCTGGCCTGGGGTCTGGATGCAGGAGATCTGAGCTCTTCAATGTGGGGTGGTCTTGCAGCAGCTCTTCACAGGCTGCTGCTGCTGCTGCTGTAGGCTCACCCAAGCAGCCAAGACGGACAGGATCTATTCTAGTTTTGTGCAGAGTTGGATATAGAAGAGGCATTAGAGGGAGAGGGGATGGGGAAGGAGTTCCAGGCCAGGTGAGCATGGGGCACAGTAAACTGGGATGTTAAGGAGGGGCCAGTTTGTGACCAGCCTGGGCAACATGGCGGAACCCTGTCTCTATAAAAAATTAAATTAGCCAGGTGGGTGGCATGTGCCTGTAGTCCTAGCTACCCAGGAGGCTGAGGTGGAAGGATCGCTTGAGCCCAGGAGGCGGATGTTGCAGTGAGCAGAGATTGTACCATTGTATTCTAGCCTGGATGACCGAGACCCTGTCTTTAAAAAAAAAAAAAAAGGAGGGGCCAGACCCCTGACCCATATGTGCTGCTCTTTTCTTTCAGGGAGGTCTGATAAAATATCAGTAGTTCAATTCTTTTTTTTTTTTTTTTTTTTTTTCTGAGATGGAGTCTTGCTCTGTTGCCCAGGCTGGAGTGCAATGGAGTGATTTCGGCTCACTGAGACCTCCGTCTCCCAGGTTCAAGTGATTCTTGTGCCTCAGCCTCCCAAGTAGCTGGGATTACAAGGTGCCCACCGCCATGCCTGGCTGATTTTTGTATTTTTAGTAGCGACAGGGTTTCACCATATTGTCCAGGCTGGTCTCGAACTCGTGACCTCAGGAGGTCCTCCTGCCTCAGCCTCCCAAAGTGCTGGGATTATAGGCGTGAGCCACCATGCCCGGCCCATAGTTCAGTTCTTTAGGTGGTTCTTGGTGCTGCATATGAGATCTCTGCAAGAAGGACACGTCTGAGCCGGGTGGTTTAGAAGACCAGCATGGCCCAAGACCCTCAGAGCAACACCAAGAACCACCTAAAATTCTTTCTCAGACGTGTCCTTCTTGCAGAGATCTCACGTGCCCCAGGTTCGCTGCAGCGTTAGGGGTCAGCCTCCCTTTGGAGCAGGAGAGCAGGGGCCTTGGAGGTGGCAGTCATGGCCCTCCTAATTAATTGCTTGGCTCAGAGAAGTGACAAATTGAACATTTCAACCACCTGTTAATTCACAAGGTACTTCTTTTCATTTCTTGCTGCTTGCACAAAACACTTGGAGTATGGCTTGTGGATGTCTGGCCCTAGGGAAGAGTGTTTGGCACATAGCAGGTACTTAAGTATTAGGAAAATGAGGATGGAGGGGAGGGAGGGAACATTATTAAGCGGCCAACTGTGAGACAGGCATTGTGCTTGACTCTTTCTTTCTTTTTTTTTTTTTTTTTGAGACAGAGTCTCTTTCTGTCACCCAGGCTGGAGTGCAGTGGTGTGATCTCGGATCACTGCAACCGCGCCTCCTGGGTTCAAGTGATTTTCGTGCCTCAGCCTCCCAAGTAGCTGGGATTACAGGCGCCTGCCATTATGCCCTGCTAATTTTATTTTTAGTGGAGACAGGGTTTCACCATGTTGGCCAGGCTGGTCTCGAACTCCTGACCTCAGTGATCTGCCTGCCTCGGCCTCCCAAAGTGCCAGGATTACAGGCGTGAGCCACTGTGCCCGGCCGACACTTGGCATTCTCTAACCTACCTACTCCTTATAACAGCCCTGGGAAGTAGTTGACCATGGCCATTTCTATTTGGTAGATGAGGAAAAATAAGGTTCAGAGATGGATTGTTCAAACCGATGTATCTAGTCAAGCTACTGGTTCCCGAGCCTGTGTTTGCAACCCCTCTACCATGTAGCCTCTCCGGGTGGTAGAGATGAGGGGGCAGAGTGCACAGTGCATGGCATCCTGTTCCCCAGATGGCCAAGTCTTAGTGCGAGTGTGTGTGGCCTTGGTAACTTGTGTCAAGCACACACCCCATCTCTCTCTCTCTCTCTTTTTTTTTTTTTTTTTGAAACGGAGTCTCACTCGGTCACCCAGGCTGGAGTGCAGTGGTGCTATCTTGGCTCACTGCAACCTCTGCCTCCTGGGTTCAGGCGATTCTCTTGCCTCAGCCTCCCGAGTAGCTGGGACTACAGGCACATGCCACCACGCCCAGCAAATTTTTAGAAGAGACTGGGTTTCACCATGTTGGCCAGGATGGTCTTGAACTCCTGACCTCGTGATCTGCCCTCCTTGGCCTCCCAAAGTGCTAGGATTACAGGCTCTCTTGCTCTCTCTCTCTCTTGTTTTTTTTTTTTTGAGACAGAGTCTTACTTTGTTGCCCAGCTTGGAGTGCAGTGGCGTGATCATGGTTCACTGCAGCCTCGATCTCCTGGCTCAAGCAATCCTCCTGCCTCAGCCTCTCAAGTACTAGTTGGTACTAATGGGCATGCACCACTACACCTGACTAATTTTTTTTATTATTTGTAGGGACAGGGTGTCCCTATGTTGCCCAGGCTCTGGTCTTGAACTCCTGGGCTCGAGCTATCCTCCTGTCTCAGCTTCCCATAGTGCTGGGATTACAGAGATGAACCGCCTGGCCTACACACCCCTATCTCTCCTCGATTCTTTTTTTTTTTTTTTTTTTTTTGAGACAGAGTCTCCCTCTGTCTCCCAGGCTGGAGTGCAGTGGGGTGATCTTGGCTCACTGTAGCCTATGGCTCCCAGGTTCAAGCGATTCTTGTGCTTCAGCCACCCAAGTAGCTGGGATTACAGGCACACACCACCATGCCCAGCTAATTTTTGTATTTTGAGTAGAGACAGGGTTTCACCGTGTTAGCCAGGCTGGCCTCGAACTCCTGACCCCAAGTGATCCTCCTGCCTCGGCCTCCCAAAGTGTTGAGATTATAGGTGTGAGCCACCATGCCTGGCCTCTCCTTGATTCTTACAGTCACTTTGTTGGCTGTTTCTGACTCAGCAGCTACCTGCATTGTGGCCAAAGGATGACCTATTCCTTCTCAGGAGGGCAAAAATGTGGAATAGTGTCTGTCCATGCCTCTCCTCATGGGCTACCACCTCTGCCACCGTGGTTAATCAGTAACAACCAGGAGAGAAGCTGCTGGAACTGACCTCTGGGAACTCCCTGGATGGTTTGGTGCAGGAATGTAGTAGGCATACACGTGGTTGCGTGGATCTGGGCCCTCCTGATGTGAGTAGAGAGGTAAAAGGCCACCATCTCCTTGACCTCTGGGGAACTCATCCACAAAGAAGATGTTTCCAAGATGCTTCTGAAGATTGCCTAAAAATAGCCGGTTTCCACCCCCGTGAATGCATCCATTCTAGAATGCTCCTTCACCAGGACCAGAGAACTGATTTACAGAAGTGACATGAAAACATTCCATCCCAGAATTTGCAGTAGCTCAAATTAAGTTTCTAGCTATTAAAAAGAAAAGAAAACAAAACTAAACAAAACACACCCACCCTGCTCACTTAGAAGCAACACTGAGTAATTTTAAGTAGTTCGAGAAAATGTATGTGGTTTGAGGGTCAGGGTTGTCCAGAGCCAAGACCAGTTATGTGGGAATTGTTATTGGCTGGATTTGGGGAGGAGAAACCCATGGCCCAATTCCAACCCACTGAAATCTAAGCAGATTCTAGGTGGTTAGGCGGACCTGGTAGGCGTTGGTTTATTTTATTCCCGAAAAAGGCCCTGGAGCAAGTCTTCACATGGAATCCTGCTGAAAGGCTTCCGGCTCATCTGGCCTTTTCCTCCTCTTAAGGTTCTGCTCCATGTTTTACCCTCGGCGTAAACATTGCAGAGCACGTTCAGATCTGAAAAGTGTCTCATCTACGTGATGGTCAGACGTTGTTGACCCTGTGATGCTGTGTAACATTTCATTTTCGAGGCTTGGGGAGTCTCCTATTTCATGTGGATGGGAACCTGGAGGTCTTTGGGCAAGTCGCCATCTTTTTATTGTTCCAAGAGTTTGGTGAAGCGTTTGAACCTTCACCTGTCAAAATCAGTTTTGGAATGAGAACTGCTCTCTCTCTAGTCCTTATAATAGCAGAAGGAAGGTATCATTTATCCCAATGAGACCATAAAGGGGGCTTTCCCGTGTGGACACCCACCTTGAATTCAATTGGAAACAGAAATTCTGGGCATTGTATTTTTTGTAAATTTGGCTCAGACTTCAACTGGATCATATTTCCCCCAAAATCTTTTCGAAAAAGACTTGTGTCTCATTCCTTTAGACTAGCATGTGTAAGCTGGGTAAAAATAGAGCAAGCCGATTTCATGTTAATGATTTCATGTTAGGTTTGTGAATCAAATCTGCAAGTCTGCTTTTGAAAAGCATTTAACATATAACTTGGGAAAGTTTGAGTTTTGCAGACTAATGCCTGTGGCCGGATGAGACTTCATAGCTCCATCCAATCCCTCCTGGTGCAAGAGATCAATGCCTTGAGGGTGCCTGGCCACCACCATTACCCTGACAGTATACCCACTATTTATTTATTTATTTATTTATTTATTTACTTATTTATTGTTTACCCTTTTGAAGATTGCTCTTCTCCCTTTAACTTAAAGGAATTGGCATGGAAACTTGTTTGATCTGGAATTTCTGATAATCAGTAGGTAGTAACTCCGTAATCAATAGCACTTCAAAACAACAACCAAATAACAGGATAACTAATCCAAAAAATTCAGTCATGGTCAAGGACTTCCAGCTCAGGAAATGTCTGGTCCCGTGGGGTGGATTCCTTGGATAACCAAGTTCCGTGCAGGGCCTGGAGTTTTATGCAGACCATTGCTCCTTGATTGACCACAGGACCTCAAAAGGAGGGCTGGCTTCATGACCACATGACCCGTGTGCTCAGAAGGGCCCTGTACTTGGTTTATTGCTCTGCTGTTGCTGTCTTGAAGTTCTTAATTTTTTTTTTTTTTTTGGCACTGGGGAGTTGCAGTTTCAAACAACACTTATTCATTGTCTCACAGTTTCTGTGGGCCAGGAGTCCAGCCATGGCTTAAGACCAGGTCCTCTGCTCCGGGTCTCACGAGACTACAAGGAAGGTGCCATCTAGGGTGTGTTTTCATCTGAATGCCTAACTAAGGAAAAATCCACTTCATTCAGGTTCATTCAGGTTTTTAAAAGAATCCATTTCTGTGTGATTGTCCCACTGACAGGTCCCAGCTTTTTACTAGCTGTTGCTTGGAGGCTAACCTCAGGTTTTACAGGCTACGCTCATATCTCTGCCATGAGGCCTTCTGCATAGGCAATTCATAACACAGGTGCCTGTTTCCTCACAGCCAGCAAGAGAATCTGTCTCCTGTCTGCTAAAGTGGAGTTTCATGCATCGTAATATGGTCATGGGAGTAATAGCCCGTCACCTCTGCCATTTTTCTGTTGGTTAGAATAAAGGCACAGGTTTTCCCCACACTCAGGAAGAACCCATGATATAAAGGCTTTCAGTAAAGGAGACGACAAACAGAATATGGAATGATCAGAATTACTCTTATGACCCAGACCAAGAACATCAGCATTACCTACGAATTTATTGGAAATTCAAATTCTCCTGTTTCACCCCAGGCCTGTTAAATCAGAAACTTTAAAAGCGAGCCCAGCATTCTGTGGTTTAACAGATCCTTCAGGTGATTCTGACACCTGCTGAATTTTGAGAACCACTGGTCTAGAGGCAGGCAGGTCTTGCTCCCCTAGGAGTTAAGTTTGATGTATCTTCTGGTAATACTGAGAAATGAGCTGGGAAATGGTTCCAAAATCAGATTATCCTCCCCAGGATTAACAAGACTCATACTTGCAAAAGAGAGTGAAGAAGAGAAACTAAAAAAAGCAAGAGGCTGTGTGTGAAGCTAGATTCAAACAGTTAAAGACAGCAACACATGGCAAAGGATGGGAATTTGAGGAAGTGGGTAGTGAAAGCAATTCTTGAGCTAAATTACAAGAAAACACGGTGAATTTGTATCTGTTTCCTATATTTAGGGGGCTGGCTTAAACGTTAGTGATACATTTGGGGAGTAGAAAATGGATGTTGGTGTGAAGTTCTTAAGTTTTGGACAAGGAACCCTGTATTTTCATTTTTCTCTGAGCCCCATGAATTATGTAGACAGTCCTGCTTCGAAGTTATTATTTATACAATTCATTATAGAGAAAGTCCTTGGGAACCTTAACTTTGAGTGAGGATTGCTTGAGTTAGTTTTTCTTACCAGCCACTCCATGATACTCTTTGTTTTTTCCAGGTTAGATGATCGAGTTTTATTATGACTGAATCTGCACCTGCAAAATTAATTCTGATTAATTAATTTAATAATTAAATTCTGATGATTTCTCTCTGATGGTTTGGGTGTGGGCTCTTAAAGAGGGTCTTTTTTTGCAAGAGGATATAACAATAATCAGGTTAATTAAAAAAATAAGGCTCTCACCCTTTCATTTTTGAGTGGCATGCCATGCACCCCTTATCAGCATGTGAGTATGCTTTTCATGTGGTCGTGGTTGGGTTTCATTAAGTGTAATTTGGCATGTGTTCAACCAGCATTCAGGTGGCTCTTGGTGGGTGGCTGGGGAGACACCAAGATGCAGATAGCTCAGTCACTCCTCAACAAGCGGCTTAGTTCTGGAATGAGGTGGGAGGCCAAGGAACTCACACATAAATGCTGGTGGGAGTGAAGTGCCACCAGCTGTAGAATCTGGTGTCAGAATGATGAGCCAGGAGTTATCCCACAGGAGGATGGGTGAAGGTCTTCCCATCAAAGGGATAGAGAACATGTGAAGAGGTCCAGGGGCTCAGGGCAAGATGTAGTCCAGGAACAAGGAGTCTTTGAGCCTGCAGTATGGTGGGTGGAAGTGGCAAGAGTGGAAAGCGGATTGGATGGGGTTTATGTAGGTTCTGAGGTGCTGTGTATGTTTAAGGAGCTGATTGTGTGCAGCGGGAACCCTGGTGAATTTGGAAGCACAGAGGCACCTGACGAGAAAGATGGTTCTGGGGTTATGTGAACAGTGATTCGGCTTCAAGGCTATCAAAGACAAAAATGTTTATTGGGAGGGTATAGAAAAGGGTTTGCCAAAAGAGTTAGGTAGGGATAGAATTGACACATTGTGGAAACTATACCCAGAGTTTAAGAGGTGGAGTCCAGGATAGTGCCCATGTTTGTAGCTTGGGGTCCTGGTAGAATGGGAGCTGGCTATGGAGTATCTTTGTTGGAGAGTGGGTATAGGGAAACGGAGAGAGAGAGAAAGTTGCAGGGGGTGCGGGAGATGGATAGCTGCAGAGAAGGCAAGGGCAGGGAAAGTGGAAACAAATGGCAGTGAGACTCCTGGAAGGTGCTGGCCAGGGGCATGGCATGGCATGTTCTGTTAAGCAAGGAAAGGACTAGAAAGGGGCCATGATTTTGGCTGGGCACTTATCCTCCTCACAACAGGACGCATTTGTGTCATGGCTTACTCTTAAGAATGACTGACGTGTCAGAATAGCAAATATGAAAATGATTGATAACACCTAGCATTGGTGAGATTTGCAGGGATAACTAGCTGGCCTCTTAAATCTATAGATAGGAATGTAAACAGAAACAAACTTTTTATAGGGAAAAGATATCTAGGACATAATGATTAATGAAAAGAAAAAAATTCCTACCTATCGAAAAACGTGAATTCAGGCAGCAAACACACATGCATGTATACACATACACACGTGCACACACGCATACACACACAATCTGGTAGGCTGTATACTACCAGTTTAGCAGGTTGTTACCTCTGGGATGCAGTCACTCCTTTTTGTTGTGTATATTTGTGAAATGATTTCTTTCAATTTTTGAGACAGGGTCTCACTCTGTTGCCCAGGCTGGAGTGCAGTGGCGTGACGTCAGCTCTCTGCAACTTTCACTTCCCGGGCTCAAGCGATCCTCCAACCTCAGTCTCCTGAGTAGCTGGGACTACAGGAGTGAGCCACCATGCTCGGCTAATTTTTTTTTTTTTTTTGGGTAGAGAGGGAGTTTTGCCATGTTGCCCAGGCTGGTCTTGAACTCCTAAGCTCAAAGCAATCCTCCTGCCTCGGCCTCCCAAAAGTGCTGGGGTTACAGGAGTGTGCCACTGCACCTGGCCATTATTATGGAAAATTTTAGGCGTATACAAAAGTAGAGACAGTGGTGTCTTACATGCTCATGAACCCATGATCCAGTGACATCCGTTAATGGCATTTTGGAATCATATTTCATCTGTTTTTGTCCTCAAATGTTTTGAAGCAAATTTCAGCATTACATCATTTCACTCTTAAATATCTCAGTATGGTTCTCTAATAGTTGAAGACTCCATTTACATTTATATAAGGAGCATAATTTACACTTGTGTAACCCAAAGGAATGACCAAGCCTGTGCTTCTCTCCCCAGATAGCAAAGCCATTGTGGATGGGAACCTGAAGCTCATCTTGGGTCTGGTGTGGACGCTGATCCTCCACTACTCCATCTCCATGCCCGTGTGGGAGGATGAAGGGGATGATGATGCCAAGAAGCAGACGCCAAAGCAGAGGCTGCTGGGGTGGATTCAGAACAAGATCCCCTACTTGCCCATCACCAACTTTAACCAGAACTGGCAAGACGGCAAAGCCCTGGGAGCCCTGGTAGACAGCTGTGCTCCAGGTAAGTGGCCAGGGCTGCCTAAACCATCTGTCCAGGATGGGGGTGTGTGGGTCCCAAACATTCTGGTTTTCAACGGGAATGCTATCTTTGCTTTGATTAGCGTATTTCTCCAGGTCTTAGCCCATTATAAGCCCATTATAAGGAAACTAAAACTGGCTCTGTGTACCCTTCCAAGGGCAGATTTTCTAGGTATATCCATAGACATGTTTGAGCATCAAGTTGAGTCTTTTATCCAAATTCCAATGAAGGAGTTGGTGCTTAGAAGCAAGACTTGGGTTTAGGTTCCAGACTCCAAAATCCTGTGTCTTCCCACATTGGTGCTCAGTTTCTCATTGGATTTGGAGAAACATTTGGTCCTATTAGGTGGCTTGGCATGAAAATCTGAAAACTTCCATGGAGTGGAAAGTACCCATTTTTATTAACCACTGGTTTGACTATATATGGCATTCTCCACCCTTTTCTTTCTGTGTTGCTGTGAAATAGCATTTGGTCAGGATCCAGTTGGAGCCTTTTCCACCCTTGATGGGCTGCTCATTTCTTAGTGGTTGAGTGTATATGAAGGTTGTAATTATTCCCACTGGAGGGTTTAGATTGATGGGTAGAGTTTGCTGGTACACACTCAGTAGAAAGACCAGAGTCAGAGTTTACACACACCCCCTAAAGTTGATTTTAATAAAAAAAAAAGGTATTAATCATATTTTCCATTTACTGTGTATTCTGTATTTACTGGGCACATTAGTATTTAGTTAGTTAGTGGTTCTTGACATACTCAAAGCAGAACTAGTGTCAGTTGGGTAGGGGAGGGCTGAAGGCCTCATTCTTACTTGAGAGCCTATAAGTTGGTGTCATCCAGGAAAAATTCAAAGTGCAGCATTAATTGATTTCCTAATATCCTCTTCTTTACTTCCATTTAAGGACACATTTTAGGATACCTCTTTCCAATTTAAACCTGGGAGTTTTTACTCTAGTCCTTTACCTCATGTGCTTACAAAGGCTTTTAAGATAATTCTAGGTTTGTGCCTTTGAGCAAGTGGATTTTTGAATCACACAGGATGCTATTCTAGACTTTTTAGATATATCCAGGAATAGAGTAAAAAATAAAATCCCTCCTGCATAAAGGCACCAGGCTTTTTCCAAGCTTTGTTTATTTTTTAACACCACTTCTTCAAGGAATGGATAATCCCCATCTTCATGCAAGAACATAGCACCCGGAGGAGAAGTCTCAGTAATGGAGGATAGTTTACACCCTGGCACACTCATACCTGTGATACTTTTTGCCTATTAAATATATGATTTGCTCAGATTTTAGGAAAAAATCATTCTCTGAACTAAAAGAAAAAATGGGGTTAGTTTAGGCACATGGTTTCCTTTAATCTCTTTGGTCAGCTAATGCTAAAAGAATCTTTTGTGTTCTGTTAACAGGTCTGTGCCCAGACTGGGAATCCTGGGACCCGCAGAAGCCTGTGGATAATGCACGAGAAGCCATGCAGCAGGCAGATGACTGGCTGGGTGTCCCACAGGTATGCACAAGTGTGCCAGGTCCTGTGAGGCTGCCCCCACCCACTAGCTTGTTCTGTGGATGCCTTCCCGGGTCAGGCAGCCCGACCTTCTTGGCATTGAGACTTCAGAGAGCATTGCCTGTGATGCTCTCTCATCTTCCTCAGTTTACCCATAATAATAGTAGGTTCTCATTGACTCAGGTGCTTATAGATCTTAGTGTGTTGGTTTAATGTAGATCATCCAGAAATTTTCATGTCACTCTTCTTTGTCACACACTGGCAAATTTTCTAGTATTTCTTCTCTAAATATTTTGAAGACTACCTTTAAACCCCAGACTACAAATATGGACCCTAACTATTAGGTTGAGCCATAAGAAATTGATAGTATTTGACCATTTTTCAATCTACATTTTAAAAGGTAATTTTAATCCAATAGCTTAAGAAAAGTCACAGGACTTAAAATTTTTTTTTTTTTTTGAGATGGAGTCTCGCTTTGTCGCCCAGGCTGGAGTGCAGTGGTGTGATCTCCACTCACTGCAACCTCTGCCTCCCGGGTTCAAGCAATTCTCCTGCCTCAGCCTCCTGAGTAGCTGGGATTATAGGTGCGCACCACCACACCTGGCTAATTTTTGTATTTTTAGTAGAGACAGGGTTTTACCATGTTGGTCAGGCTAGTCTCGAACTCCTGACCTCGTGATCTGCCCGCCTCAGCCTCCCAAAGTGCTGGGATTACAGGCGTGAGCCACTGTGCCTGGCCGACTTAAAACTTTTAAAAACATGTAAGCCAGGATAATCCACCATTAATGGAAACTGTGGAAGAATCTCTATCACCCATAATCCTATCACAGGAATATAACAAGAGAACTCAGAAATCAAATAAGTCTTGGATACCATCTACAGTAGTCACATTGCTTAGTTGAAGTCTGATCTTCCTAGCTGGGAGGAAAACCAGTGTTTTCTTTCCAGAAACTCCCTCTAACAGTTAGGCACCATGAGTCCCGTGTCCAAAGGCTAGCCAGGGAAGATTGCAGGTAGCCAGTGCCATGGGACTGATGGCGTCACTATAGGCTGCATTGAGGTCTGAGTTCAGTGTATTTTGTAACAGGGTCCCTTGGAAGGTAGAACAACATGCCTGTTTCTTTGGTTTGGTTTTGGAGTCATGTCTCTCCTACATGGCTCATTGGTTTCTTGGCTCGTCCACCCTCAGGAAGTGGTGTGGTGTGTTTTTCATCTCCGCTTAAACCTAAACCGTCTCCTTTTTACGTTCACGTGATGTTGGCATGGGTGAAGTTGTTGAAGGAGCTGCTGGGAAGAAATGCCAAATCGACACACATCCTACTTTTTATGGAATGTATTGAAGGCGACTGTTCAAACCCAAGTAGCTCTTTTGTTCCTGCAGGCTAATGGTCAGAATGTTTTCTGGTGCTTTTTATCACATGGGGAGGGAAGTTGGACACATCTGTTGTTCATTGCACATGGTTAACCTGGTCCATGAGACAGAGCCTCTGTTCATCTGAGGAAGTGTGATTTACCTCCTTAGCACCATTACTGGAGGCAGGGAGGACTCTGCAAGCTGTTTAGGGCTGGGTCAGATGATGGTACTGAAACTGAGGTGGTGGCACCTTCAGGGAAGTCACCTGTCCAGGATGGGTCTAGTCTTGCTCCTAAGCTGAATATCAAGAGAAGTTCACCCATTCCCTATTTTTTTTTTTTTTTTTTGAGATGGAGTCTTGCTCTGTCACATAGGCTGGAGTGCAGTGGCACGATCTCAGCTCACTGCAACCTCCGCCTCCTAGGTACAAGCGATTCTCCTGTCTCAGCCTCCCGAGTAGCTGGGACTGCAGGTGTATGCCACCATGCCTGGCTAATTTTGTATTTTTAGTAGAAATGGGGTTTCACCATGTTGGCCAGGCTTGTCTTGAACTCCTGACCTCGTGATCCACCCACCTCGGCCTCCCAAAGTGCTGGGATTACAGGTGTGAGCTACTGCGTCTGGCCTTTTTTTTTTTTTTAAAGAGACAGCGTCTTACTCCTCTGTTACCCAGGCTGGAGTGCAGTGGCATGATCTCGGTTCACTGAAACCTCCACCTGCTGGGTTCAAGCCATCCTCCTGCCTCAGCCTCCCTAGTAGCTGGGATTACAGGTGTCTGCCACCACACTGGGCTAATTTTTGTATTTTTAGTAGAGACTGGGTTTTACCATGTTGGCCAGGCTTGTCTCGAACTCCTGACCTCAAGTGATTTCTCTTGTCTTGGCCTCCTAAAGTGATGGGATTACAGTCATGAGCTACCACGCCTGGCTTCCCTATTTTTTTAATGGCTCCTAATATATTGAGATCACATATCTAATATTTACATGTTATTTCTTTTTTATTTACCTTTTTTAATTAGTAGAGTTAATACAGATACAGACCATGAGTATACAAGCAAAGGAAAAAGCTGGTTAACCTGTGCACTTTTTTGTAACATGCTCTAATCCCATGTGTGCTTGTTTCTTCATTTTCCTGCCTTGCTATAGCTTATCCTTTTATCATTTTTGAAATTTTGACCAGAGGAGTAAATGGACTTTTGGGGAATGGGGAGGACAATGAACTTTTGGAAGTTACATGCAGAATTTTTTGGAGAGGGGCCCCTAGCTTTCAAAGGGGTCTGCAATTTCTCAAAAATGGTTAAAAACACTGATATTGGTGTGTTGGTTTAAAGTAATTTCACTTAATTGAGAAGCTGACTCAGTTTCTTAATATTTGTAGTGCTTGGTTTAAGAGGCATTTGCAAACACTTCAATAGTTGCAAAGTGATGTGTTCTGGGTGTTCATCCACCATGTCATTATCCTAGGTCATCACTCCTGAAGAAATCATTCACCCGGATGTGGACGAGCACTCAGTTATGACTTACCTGTCCCAGTTCCCCAAAGCCAAGCTCAAGCCGGGGGCTCCTCTCAAACCCAAACTCAACCCGAAGAAAGCCAGGGCCTATGGCAGAGGTGAGTGCTGGTCCTCTGGTGTTGTATTGGAGACATGTCCTCTGGTGTTGGAGATGATTTCATGGCTTCAAGAGTGATGTTCTTAGAATCAAAAATAGATAGGTGTAATCCTCAAAGAGACCCCAAGCCTCCTTTGTAACACATTTTATGACTGTTTTATTCTGCCTTGTTTTTCTAAGGCTTTAAGAAATGTTTCTGCTTAGATGGAAAGGGCAAGTTTGCTGCTTGGTGATTTTAGTGCAGTAGCCCATTGCTCCCATTTTTCAGAAGAGGAATCGCGGGGTAGGGAGTCGGGGGAGTTTGGTCTTGCCCCAGATCACCACAGTCAGTGATGGGGGTGGGCCATCTGGCTGCTGATTCATTTCTCCTTCTGTTACACTAAGCCTGCCTCAGATTTCCAGCCGGAGTGGGAGCTATTGTTAACCCCTGGCAGATACTTCCTTGCTAAGACATCCTGTTTATGACTGCGAGGCAGCTGCGGAACACCGTTTTGCTCAGAACATTATAGTGGGTAGAAGCCATTTCAAGGCATTTGGTGTTGTGATTGGCACCTGACTTCAAGCACACTAGCTTTGTGAAGAGAACAGTTACATGGCTGCAAAGTGTGGTTTCTGGTGAAGATCAACATGGCCAGATACAACTTAATGCCTTTTCTATGGGGGAGGGGAAGGAGTGCATTTTATTTCTCATTTTTCATAATTAAGAAAATATCGGCCGGGTGTGATGGTTCATGCCTATAATCTCAGCACTTTGAGAGGCCGAGGCGGGCAGATCACCTGAGGTCAGGAGTTGGAGACCAGCCTGGCCAACATGGTGAAACCCTGTCTCTACAAAAAATACAAAAATTAGCCAGGCATGGTGGCGGGTGCCTGTAATCCCAGCTATTCAGGAGGCTGAGGCAGGAGAATCGCTTGAACCCAGGAGGCAGAGGTTGCATCGAGCCGAGATCTTGCCACTGCACTCCAGCCTGGGTGACAGAGTGCGTGAGCCTCCGTCTCAAAAAAAAAAAACGAGAAAGAAAATGTTATCCCAGTGGGATAATAGTTATACACACAGTATTCTGTATATCTTCTCCCAGAATTGACAGTTGTTACCATTCTAGCTTAATAGTTTTCTCTTGCCCTTTGTGTGTGTTTGCATATGTGTTCATGTGTATGATTGCTGAATTATTTGAAAATAAGTTGCAAGCATGGTGACAGTTCTGTCCTCAGTACATCACTAAGCTTCTCCTAAGAATAGGATATCCTCTAGCATAACCACAGTATTCATTGCCACATGTAAGAAAATTAACAATAGTTTCATATAATCTAATATTCAGTTTGTTGTAGAATTTCTCTATTGTCCTAAGATTATCTTTTATAGTTGTTGCTGTTTTACAAACTAAGATCTGATTAAGGTTCACTTACTACATTTGTTTGTTATTTCTCTTTAGACTCTTTTCATGCTAAATAATTTCCCCAAACTTTTTTTTTTTTTTTTTTAAATGACACTGACTTTCTGAATAGTTAAGGGCATGTGTCTTGTAGGATGTTCCTTCCCTACAAATGTTCCCTTTGAATAAAGTATTTTCCTGCTTGGTATCAGCTTAGTCTTTTTTTTTTTTTTTTTTTTTGAGAGTCTTGCTCTGTCGCCCAGGCTGGAGTGCAGTGGCACGATCTCAGCTCACTGCAACCTCTGCCTCCTGGGTTCAAGCGATCCTCCTGCCTCAGCCTCCCGAGTAGCTGGGATTACAGGCATCCACCACCATGCCTGGCTAATTTTTGTATTTTTAGTAGAGATGGGGTTTCACCATGTTGGCCAGGCTGGTCTCCAACTCCTGGCCTCAGGTGATCTGCCCGGCTCGGCCTCCCAATCCGCTTATTCTTAAGACGACACATGGCTAGGGCAGTGATGCTGACCACGTGCTGTTCTCACCTCAGTGGTCGAGTCTTCTCATCTGACTTTTTGGGCATGATTTAGACCGGCAGATAGTTCTGGAACAAACCCCTTACCATTTGAGGTTCCGTTTGCAGTGGGTTGTGAGGTGTGTGAGACATCACTTGTGTTATGTAGGGACTAGGGACTTCAAAGCCCTCCTCCCATTCACAGTCACTTGAAGGCTGGCATGTCCTCACTTTCTTTAAAAGTGCTTTCTTTGGCCGGGCTTGGTGGCTCACACCTGTAATCCTAGCACTTTGGAGGCTGAGGCAGGCAGATCACAAGGTCAGAAGATTGAGACCATCCTGGCTAACAAGGTGAAACCCCATCTCTACTAAAAATACAAAAATTAGCTTGGCGTGGTGGTACAAGCCTGTAGTCCCAGCTACTCGGGAGGCTGAGGCAGGAGAATTGCTTGAACCTGGGAGGCGGAGGTTGCAGTGAGCCGAGATCGCGCCACTGCACTCCAGCCTGGGTGACAGAACGAGACTCTGTCTCAAAAAAAAAAAAAAAAAAGTGCTTTCTTTAAGGCATACCACAGGTGGTGGCTGGAATGAGGAATCTCTGACTTTAAAGGTTATGCTTCCTTAATGACAAAACAGTTGCAAACAACCAATTAAATCCTTTGTCAACCAGATTGGTCAAATGGACTGAATCTAATCAAGGCATAGTGTATGTTTGTAATAACCTTATCACTGGCCATCCGGCTTCCCTGTTGTTAATGTGAGACGGTTTCCTTTCACGGTGCTATTTTCTAGAAAATGATCACTTGTTATGGTTCAGGAATGTGGCTGGTCATTGCCATTTCCTTCATCTGCCTCTTAGCAAGTGTGGTGCACTTGTAGAGGAAACACACCCTTTTAAAAAAAAATTTTTTTTTATATGTGTGCTTTTTGCATTTTTTTAATTGTGGGAAAATATCCATAACATAAAATTCACTATTTTAACCATTTTTAAGTGTGGCATTAAGTGTATTCACGTTGTTGTGCAACCGCCACTGCTATCCATCTCCAGAACTTTTTCAACTTCCCAAACTGAAACTCCATACTCATTAAACAATAGCGCCCCATTCTCCCCTCTCCTCTGCTCCTGGTAACCTTTATTCTACTCCCTGTCTCTATGAATTTGCTTATTCTAGGGACCTCCTAGAAGTGAAATCATATGCTGTCTGTTAGGTACCTCCTAGAAGTGGAATCATACGCTGTCTGTTAGGTACCTCCTAGAAGTAGAATCATATGCTGTCTTTTTTTCTCTGGCTTACTTCATTTGTCATATGTTTTCAGGGTTCACCATGTTGTAGCATGTGTTAGAATTTCATTCCTTTTTAAGGCTGAATAATATTCCTTTGTACGTGTATATCACATTTTGCTTATACATTCGTCTGCTGATAGACATTTGGGTTGTTACATTCTTTTGGCTATTGTGAATAATGCTGCTATGAAAACATGGGTGTACAAGTGCTGTTTGAGACCCTGCTTTCAATTCTTTTAGGGATATACCCAGAAGTGGAATTGGTGGATCATATGGTAATTCTATATGCAGCTTATTTTTCAGGAGGAAGTGGCCTCACTCTGCTTTTTAAAGTAGGAGACAAAATGGTCATATTAGGTGACAGGGTCACAAGGCCACATGGGTGGGGCTGTGAGATATGTCCCTGTCATGTGGTTAGATGAAAGCCGGGGTCAGTTTTGGTCTTCTCTGTGTGACCACATTGCTTCATTTCTGCCACCTGAGCCCAGGAAGAGAGACCGTTTCATCTTCTAGTTTCTAAAAGATTTGAAAGTGTTGTTTTATTTTTTATTTCCTGATTGTTTAATAGATGCCAGTTGCCAGCCAGTTAGCATTTGTTGATCCATTCACTGAGTCCCACCTTGCTTAGTTCTAGTGGGTTGAAAGGAGAGAGGGCTGGGGTGAGGTGGACCTCCAGCCACAAACAGATCTTTGTGGTGGGCTTCCTTGCAGGGTTAGCTATGTGAAAAGCATTCGTCCATGAGCTAATCAGAAATCTTTGTAAAAATCTAGTTCTCTATGAAGCATTTACTGTAGAGCAATCCTTAAGCACCCTTCTATCTGAGTAATCAGAGGGGTACCAGTTGTCTCCTTTCATGGTAAGCAAAGCTCCGCAGAAGTTTACAGAGTTGGGGTGTGGTTCAACTTTCTAACCAGCCATGGTTAGCCACGGGTGACCAACCCAAGCCCAGACCTTTGACAAGCTGCAGAGTACGTTGTTTCTTAGGCTGCTGGAGTCACACGAAGTGGAACTTTTAGTATTTTAGGTGCATGTTTATTTACTTACTTATTTTTGTTGTTGTCGTTTTCAGATAGAGTCTCACTCTCTCTCTCTGTGTGTGGAGTGTCGTGATGCCATCACGGCTAACTGCAGCCTTGACCTTCTGGGCTCAAGTGATTCTCCCTCCTCAGCTTCCCTAGTAGTTCGGACCACAGGTGTGCACCACCATGTCCAGCTTTTTTTTTTTTTAATATTTTAGTTTGAGACCAGCCTGGCCATGTTGCCCAGGCTGGTCTCAAAATCCTGAGCTCAAGCAATCCCCCTGCCTTGGCCCCCTCAAAGTGCTGGGATTACAGGCATGAGCCACCATGCTTGGCTATTAGGTGTATGTTTAAATCCATTTGCTTATATCAGTTACATAACCTGAGTGTTATGTAAATCTTAAGCAAAAGAAAAATATATGAAATAAAAATTGAAACTCACTTCCCAACTGCCAATCTCATTCCTGCCTTCAAAGTTTCAGGTATTTATTTCTAGCCTTTTTTCTATGCTGAGTTAAACTGTGTATCTTCTTTGCTTTGCATTTCTTACTGAGCAGTGTGGGAAGGCTACCTTTTAAAATTTATTTGTAGTTCTTTATAATTTTTACCTTTCTTTTTAGGCAGAAAGATTATCTTATTATATAACAGTCTACGGCCATTTTTTCTTAAACTAAATTATTGGGAAATGAATAGAAATCCAGAGTATAGTAACAAATGACCTAGTGTCTTTAACAGATTGGTAGCTAGGAAAAGGAAGTGGTGGAGAGACAGCCGGAGATTAAATGAGACTTAAGAGACTTAGCAACCATTTGTAATATGTGACCTTATTTGGATCCTATTCAAACTAATGGTTAAAAAAATTCATGATAGCTGGGCATGGTGGCTCACGCCTGTAATCCCAGTACTTTGGGAGGCTGAGGTGGGTGGATCACGAGGTCAGGAGATCGAGACCATCCTGGCCAACGTGGTGAAACCCCCTTTACCAAAAATACAAAAATTAGCTGGGCATGGCGGCATGTGCCTGTAGTCCCAGCTACTTGGGAGGCTGAGGCAGGAAAATCGCTTGAACCTGGGAGGTGGAGGTTGCAGTGAACCGAGATGGCGCCACTGCACTCCAGGCTGGCGACAGAGCTAGACTCTGTCTCAAACAAACAAACAAACAAATAAAAATTCATGATAAAGCAGCAGCTCAAGGTGCTGTAAGAAATTCATGATATTTATAAGATAATTGAAAATTTGAACACTGAATATTTGACATTAAGGAATTATTTTTTTTTATATGGTATCGATATTGTGGGTACTTTGCAAGTATCTTTTAAGGATACATAGTGATTGTGGATAAAAAATCTGAGGTCTAGGATTTGTGTCAAAATAATACAGGAAGGGGAGGTGGCGGGAGTGAAGGTGAAACAAGACCAGCTGTGAGTTGATAGTTGTTGAAGCTGGGTACAGGAGGTCCACTGTGCAGTGCTCTCTACATCTGTGTTTGTAATTCTTTTTTTTTTTTGAGACGGAGTCTCACTCTGTCGCCCAGGCTGGAGTGCAGTGGCATGATCTCGGCCCACTGCAACCTCTGCTGCCCGGGTTCAAGCGTTCTCCTGCCTCAGCCTGCCAAGTAGCTGGGATTACAGGCGCCCACCACCACACCCGGCTAATTTTGTAGTTTTAGTAGAGATGGGGTTTCACCATCTTGGCCAGGCTGGTCTTGAACTCCTGACCTCGTGATCCACCTGCCTCGGCCTCCCGAAGTGTTGGGATTACAGGTGTGAGCCACTGCGCCCAGCCTTTTTTTTGAGACAGAGTTTCGCTCTTGTTGCCCAGGCTGGAGTGCAATGGCACGATCTCGGCTCACTGCAACCTCTGCCTCCTGGATTCAAGTAATTCTCCTGCCTCAGCCTCCCAAGTAGCTGGGATTACAGGCATGCACCACCACACCCCGCCAATTTTGTATTTTTAGTAGAGACAAGGTTACACCATGTTGGTCAGGCTGGTCTTGAACTGCTGACCTTGGGTGATCTGCCCACCTTGGCCTCGAAAGTGCTGAGATTACAGGTGTGAACCACGGCGCCCAGCCTTTTTTTTTTTTTTTTTTTTTTGCTGAAGTTTCACTTCTGTTTCACAGGTTGGAGTGCAATGGTATGATCTTGGCTCGCTGCAACCCCCGCCTCTGCCTCCTGGGTTCAAGGGATTCTCCTGCCTCAGCCTCCCGAGTAGCTGAGATTATAGGCATCTACCATCACACCTGGCTAATTTTTGTATTTTTAGTAGAGACGGAGTTTCACCATGTTGGCCAGGCTGGTCTCGAACTCCTGACCTCAGGTAATCCACCTGCCTTGGCCTCCCAAATTGCTGGAATTACAGGTGTGAGCCACTGTGTCCAGCCTAGTTTGGAATTCTTCATAATAAAAAGCTTTTTAAAAAGGTAATATTTGGACTTCTGCTCCTGGGAAGATGGAATAGGACTTTTCCTAATTCTTTCTTCTAACTACAACTAAAACCCCTGGGCTATACATAAGGAAAACACAGGGAGCCTCTGAAAAAGGATGAGGCAGACCAACCAGGGATCTTGGGACTCGAGGAATGACACAGTACTGAGTTCCTTGGGTTTACTTTGCTTTATATATCCCAGACTTGGAGCCAAAGAAAGAAGCTGACAACCTGAAAATGCCAGTGGGCACAAACACAGAAAGTGCCAACAAAAGCTCCCCTGTCCAGCCAGAAGACCAGGAAAGGGCAGCCCAGTGAGGCAGAAAACTTAAAGAGTCACTGCTCTACTCCAGGTCCACACCATAGAAAAAACTATGCAGCCCCACACTTACACCCGCAGAGGTGAATGGGGAGCCTAGGCTTTGACAACAGTCTAGCAATAAGGAAGCCACTCTCCGGGGCCATGGAGGAGCAGTAATGAGGCACTCCTACTTCCTCCAGCCAGAACTCCCACCTTCACGCACCAGTAATGAGCCCCCCAATCTTGAGCATCAGTCGAGGTTGAATGGAGAGCCTAGACTTCTTCCCCCACTGTTAGTAACAAGGTGTGTACCCTTCCCTCCCCTGCCACAGTGGTATCATAAAATGCCAGCTACAACAGAACATTTACAGAAGACCCAGAGTCTCATTACATGATACCCCAAATATCCAGTTTCAAAAAAAAAAAGAAATCACTTGTCATACCAAGAACCAGGAAGATCTCAAACTGAATGAAAAAGACAGTTGATGCCAACACTGAGGTGATAGAGATGTTAGAATCCTATGACAAAAATTTTAAAGCAGCCATTAAAAAAGGCTTCAGTAGCCAGGCGTGGTGGCTCACTTTGGGAGGCTTGTAATCCCAGGACTTTGGGAGGCCGAGGCGGGCAGATCACCTGAGGTCAGGAATTCGATACCAGCCTGACCAACCTTATGAAACCCAGTCTCTACTAAAAATACAAAAAATTAGCCAGGTGAGGTGGTGGGCACCTGTAATCCCAGCTACTCGGGAGGCTGAGGCAGGAGAATCGCTTGAAACTGGGAGGTGGAGGTTGCAGTGAGCTGAGGTCATGCCGTTGCCCTCCAGCCTGGGCAAGAAGAGTGAGACTCCATCTCAAAAAAAAAAAAAAAGGCTTCGGTAGGCAGTTAAGAACAATCATGAAAAAAATGAAAAAATTAAAAATCTCAACAAAGAAATACAATGTCCCAGCAAAATAATAATAAAAATTTAGGAGATAAAAAGAACCAAATGGACATTTTAGAATTGGAAATTGCAGTAACTGAAATAAAAACTTATTGGATAAGCGCAATAGCAGGGTGGAAGGACAGAGAAAAGAATCCTTCAACTGGACAACAATTGGTTGTTTTGTTCTGAGGTGGAGTTTTGCTCTTGTCACCCAGGCTAGAGTACAGTGGAGTGATCTTGGCTTACTGCAACCTCTGCCTCCTGGGTTCAAGCTATTCTCCTGCCTCAGCCTCCCTAGTAGCTGGGCTTACAGGTGCCCACCACCACTTCTGGCTAATTTTTTTATTTTTAGTAGAGACGTAGTTTCACCCTGTTGGCCTGGCTGGTCTTGAACTCCTGACCTTAGGTGATCCACCTCGGTAATCCACCTTAGGTGATCCAAAGTGCTGGGATTACAGGTGTGAGCCACTGGACCCGGCCTCTGTAAGCTTTTTTCTGTGTTTAAAACTTTTCATTTTTGTACTTTTAAAACTTTTTTTTTTTTTTAAACACACACATTAGTCTAGACTTACACAGGGTCAGGATCATCATTATCACTATCTTCCACCTCCAAATCCTGTCCCACTGTCCCACTGGTAGGTCGTCAAGAGCAGTAATGTGTGGAACCGCCGTCTCCTATAATAACAATGCCTTCTTCTAGAATATTTCCTGAAGGACTTGCTTGAGGCTGCTTTACAGTTAACTTAATTTTTAAATAGAAGATGCCCACTCTAAAATATAATGATAAAAAGTATAGCATATTAAATACATAAACCAGTAGCATTGTCATTTATCATCAAGTATTATGTATTGAACATAATTGTCTGTGCTATATATGTTTCTATGGCCGGTAGCCCAGTGGGTTTGTTTATACCAGCATCATCACAAATACATGAGTAATGCGATGCGTTACTGTGACGTCAGTAGGCAACAGGAATTTTTTGGCTCTATTTATAATCTTACGGGACCATCATTGTATGTGTGGACTATTTTTGACTGAAACTTCATTATTTAGCAAATGACTATATTAGCAAATAAAATTGAGCTGTATATAATGAAGAAGTATGCATTATAACCAAGTGGGGTTTATTGCAGGGATGCAAGGCCTCGTTCACTATTAGAAAATCAGTCAACAGCCTGGCTCGGTGGCTCACGCCTGTAATCCCAGCACTTTGGGAGGCCGAGGTGGGCGATGGGCGGATCATGAGGTCAGGAGATCAAGACCATCCTGGCTAACACGGTGAAACCCTGTCTCTACTAAAAATACAAAAAATTAGCTGGGCGTGGTGGTGGGTGCCTGTAGTCCCAGCTACTCGGGAGGCTGAGGCAGGAGAATGGCATGAACCCGGGAGGCAGAGCTTGCAGTGAGCCAAGATTGTGCCACCGCACTGTAGCCTGGGCGACAGAGCGAGACTCCGTCTCAAAAAAAAAAAAAAAAAGTCAAATAGTAAAGATACCACCTCTCCTCAAATTGTCATTCAGGTTTGATGCAATTGCTGTCAAAATCCCAGCAAGAGTTTTTGCAGATAGCAAGATTATTATTTTAAAACCTATATGAAAAGGCAAAGGAATTAAAGTAGCAAAAACAATTTTGAGAAAGAAGTACAACATGGAGGAATCAGCCTTCCTGATTTCAAGACTTGCTGTATAGCTACAGAAGTCCAGATTTTGTAGTATTGGTCAAAGGATAGACATTATAGATCAGTGAAACAGAATTGCAGCCCCACACAAATATGCACAACTGATTATTGACAAAGGTGCAAAGATAAGTCATTGGGGGAAAAAACCTTTTCGGCACATGGTGGCAGAGAAATTGAACATCCCTAGGCAAAACAAAACAAAAGCAAACCCCAAACCAAAAAACAAAAAACCCATATAACTATAAAACTTTGAGAAAAAAACATAGAAGAGAATCTTTGAGATCTAGAGCTAGGCAAATAGTTCTCAGATTTGACACCAAAAACATGATCCATTAAAAAAAAATAAGTTGGATTTCATCAAAATTAAAAACTTTTTAATGTTTTAAGAAGGATGGTCTGTCTCAAAGACTCAACATGGTACATGGTGGTTGGCCTTTATGTGCTGTTGAGGGTTTTCCTGCATTGAAGGGTGCACTCCTGGGTCACCTACTGTCCTGCAAGACAAGCTGTCTTAGCCCTCACACTATAAAAGCCACCCGGACACCGTCTCAAACAGAACTCAAAATGTTGCTGAGACTGGGATCTGGGGGCTGGATTTTACTTTTACAAACAATTTAAAACTTTTTACAGTTAAGAGGATGAATATACAGGCTAAAGACTGGGAGAAAAAATTTGCAAACCATATGTCCAACAGAACACTAGTATCTAGAACATGTAGAAAGAACTCTCAAGTCTTAGTCGTTAAAAAACAGACAAACATTTAACCAAACAACCCAATAAGAAAATGGGCAAAAGACATAAACAGTTTCTGCTGAAGAGAACGTCCATATGACAAAAAAACACATCGAAATTTGTTCAGTATCATTAACCATGAGAAAAATGCGAATTAATCCTAGTACACACTATCAGAACGGCTAAAATAAAAAATATTAATACTGATAACACTAAATGCAGAACGGATGGAGAGAAACTGAATCTGGATCACTCACTCATACATTGCTGGTGGGAATGTAAAATGGTGTAGCTACTTTGGAACACTGTTTGGTAGTTTCTTAATAAAGAAATAGGCTGGGCACAGTGACTCCCTTCTGTAATCCCAGCACTTTGGGAGGCTGAGGCTGGAGGATCACTTGAGCCCAGGAGTTTGAGACCAGCCTGGGCAACATAGGGAGATTGCATCTCTACAAATAATTTTTAAAAATTATACAGGTGTGGTGGTATGCACCTGTGGTCCCAGCTACTCAGGAGATTGAGGCAGGAGGATTGCCTGAGCCTGGGAGGTCGAGGTTGCAGTGAGCCGTAATTGTGCCACTGTGCTCCAGCCTGGGCTACAGAGTGAGACTTGGTCTCAAAACAAAAACAAAAACAAAACCTCAAAAAACAGTACATGCAACTACCATATGGCCCAACAATTGCACTCCTTGGCATTTATCCCAGAGGAATGAAAACTTACTGTATATGAGAGCCACTGTTTTTCCTTCTATAGTCTCACAGCTAAAGAAAAAAAACTTTTCTCATCTTCTCTACTACTCCTCTCAGTATTTCGCTTCCGGTCACCAAAATCTATGGATTTCTGTCCCCCATACTGACAAGTTCTCCAATTTTATGTGGACAACAAGTAGGTGTCCTATAATCAATTCCCTTCAATTCTGACACTATCTACCTGAAGTTAGTGCAGACGCCATTAAGGGCTCGGTCCCTCAAAACTGCCCCTGACTTCAGAGGCCAGTCAGAAGTGGTGGGTCCTCAGGTAACCCACAGCTTCTGTCCAGGTTTGCTACAAATCAGAAGGTCCCATTACCCCTTCCTCATGTTATGTTATTTGCTAGAGTGGCTCACAGAACTCAGGGAAACACTTACCTTTAGCAGTTGTGTAGTGAAGGATATGATAGAGGATACAGATGATGCCCCAGATGAAGAGGTGCACGGGGCAAAGTTTAGAGGCGTTTTGAACACAGGAGCGTCTGTCCCCATGAAGTTGGGGTGGGCCATCCTCTTGGCACATGGATGTGTTCACCAACCCAGAAGCTCTCTAAACTCCATACTTCAGGGATGTGGAGGCTAAGTCACGTAGGCGTGATTGACATTAACTGAGACTACAGTTCCTCTCCCTTCCCTGTAGGATGGGGAGTGGGGCCGAAAGTTCTAAGCTTCTGATCATGACTTGGTCTTTCTGTTGATTAGCCACATCTTGAAAGCTATCCGGGAGCCCACTAAGAGTTGCCTGATTAGAACAGAAGATGCTCTTGTCACCAAGGACATTCCAAGGGGTTTAGGAACTCTGGAACCAGGGGCAGAGACCTATATATATAATTTCTTACTATTTTATACTTATGTTCACACACACACACACACACACACACACCCCTATGCACAGATGTTTACAGCAGCTTTATTGGTAAGAGACAACTAGAAACAACCCAGATGTTCTTCAGTGGGCGAATGGTTAAACTGTGGTACATCTATACCATGGAATATTAGCTACTCAGCAATAAAAAGGAAAAAAACCATTGACAGAAGCAACAACCTGGGTGAACCTGTAGACAATTATATGTAGTGAAAAAGGCCACTCCTAAAAGGTTACATAGTTATGATTCCATTGATGTGACGTTACCGAAATAATAAAATTACAGTGTGGAGAACGGGTTAGTGGTTATCAGGGCTAAGGAGAGTGTGGGTGTGGTTATGCAAGGGCAGCAGGAGGGCTCCCTGTGCTAAAGGGAATGTTCTCTATTTTGATTGTATCAACGTCAATACCCTGGTTGTGAGATTGAGTCATAGCTTTTTACCGTGTTACCACTGGGGAAACTATTTTGAGATGGAGTCATGCTCTGCCGCCTAGGATGCGATCTGGGCTCACTGCAACCTCCACCTCCCTGGTTCAAGCAATTCTCCTGCCTCAGCCTCCCAAGTAGCTGGGATTACAGGCATGTGCCACCACGTTGTATTTTTAGTAGAGACAGGGTTTCACCATGTTGGCCAGGCTGGTCTTGAACGCCTGACTTCAGGTGATCCACCTGCCTCAGCCTCCCAAAGTGCTGGGATTACAGGCATGAGCCACCGCTCCCAGCAAGGGCATTGTTTCTTACACCTACAGGTAAAATCTGTCTCGATGAATTTGCTCGATCATCTTAAAATAAAAAGGTTAATTAAAAAAATGATTGAATATAATTTTTAAAAATGTCAGGCAATACAATAAATGCTGTTTAATGAGAAATAAGCTTCGCTCCTCCCTGCTGTGTTGCTTCCATCAAGGCAAGCTCTGCTACTACTTATTAACCACATTATTTCCACAATTTTATATAGACTCCTGACTGAGGTTCTCTGAATATCAAAATTGGATATTACTTCAATAACATGGGCAAAATTAAGGCTTTCGACCTGCCTGATTTTCCTTGTCAAGGCAGTTTGTCCCCATTTCCCACATGGGATCTGCAGGGCTGGGTCCCATCTCTCAGTTCCCTGAAAGAGATGCAGTGGGCGATGGCTCATGACACACCCTCGCCTGGCTTCTAACATGTCTGTGTAAACCTGTGGCAGGAATCGAGCCCACTGGAAACATGGTGAAGCAGCCAGCCAAGTTCACTGTGGACACCATCAGCGCCGGGCAAGGAGACGTGATGGTGTTTGTTGAGGACCCAGAAGGGAACAAAGAGGAGGTATGTTGGAGGATGCTGCCTCTCCTTTCCAGCACCTCATGGAGCTTTTGGGGCTTGTAATGCGGCCAGGGACTGTGCCTCCATTTTCATTTCAGCTCACAACCAAAAGTGTTTTTTACCAAAAGGATACTGAGGCTTATAGCTGTTAAAGTAACCTGCCCAAGAGGTGAGCCTTGAAATCAAATTTAAATTGATTGCCAGGGACACAGTGTTTAATGAAATAAAGGATACTTTGGATTTAGCAAAGGTGCCTTGTCAGTTGAGGTTTATGTATGTATTTATTTATTTATTTATTTATTTATTGAGACAGAGTTTCACTCCTGTTGCCCGGGTTGGAGTGCAGTGGCACAATCTTGGCTCACGGCAACATTCACCTACTGGGTTCAGGCGATTCTCCTGCCTCAGCCCGGCTAATTTTTGTAACCCAAGTAACTGGGATTACAGGGACCTGCCACCACGCCTGGCTAATTTTTGTATTTTTAGTAGAGACAGGGTTTCACCACATTGGCCAGGCTGGTCTTGAACTCCTGACCTCAGGTGATCCACCTGCCTCTGCCTCCCAAACTGCTGGGATTACAGGTGTGAGCCACCGTGCCCAGCCTCAGTTGAGGTTTTATATACTGATGGCCAGAATAATAAGAGTCTTGCCCTGCTCTCTTCCCACATTGGCCATTCTTTGGTTCCTCCCTCAGAGCCTTTGCACATGCTGTTCTTTCTGTCACTTATTTTCGTAGGACCATATTTTATTCTTGGCATTTAGCATAATTTGCAATTCTAAGTTTACAGATGGATGGTCCATTTCCCCCACCGGGGCAGGGATTGTATCTGACTTGCTCATGTTTTATTTTTAGTACCTAACACTGGGCCCTGCATTTCATAAGCTTTCAATGAACTATTGAGTGGATAAAGGTTTAAGTTTCTTGCTTCATATTCTCTCTTACCTAGAGAGTGCCAGCCTGACACTGGACACTGGAGAGTCCTGACTCTGTTATGCCTCTGTGCTGCATGGTTTTGTTTCTGTGACTTCAAGCAGTTTCTCTCTAGGGGCGTTGTGCAAGAGGGACAGGAGCTCGCCAGCACCTTCAGTGTTTCCGACCTGGCAGCTCCTGCAGAACCCCTGCTGACACAGCATGCTCCTTACTCACACCCGGCACCTTTTCTAACTGTTGCCCACCTTCCCTCCTAGGCACAAGTGACCCCTGACAGTGACAAGAACAAGACATACTCTGTGGAGTATCTGCCCAAGGTCACCGGGCTACACAAAGTAAGATGAAGCAGCATGGCTGTGGCTTGGGCTGCTCTGGGGCTAGGAGAAGAAAGATAGCCCAGGAAGAAGAGTGTTTTTCTTAAGTGAATTTCTGATTTTCCTTTCTGATTATAGAAGGATCTATGCTCATGATAGAAAATTGGAATCACTAGGATTCCCTCTACTAGCTAGGATGAGTTGTTTGCAATGTCGTAAGATTTTTCCAACTCCATCTAGGTAACTAATGGTTGCAGCTGTGTGTCTGGAGTGTAGATGCTGTGGTGACTACACTATAGATGGGTTCTTTGTCCTTGATTCTTTTTTTGGAGACAGGGTCTTGCTCTGTCACCCAAGCTGGAGTGCAGTGGTGTGGTCTCAGCTCACTGCAACCCCCGCCTCCTGGGCTCAAGCGATCCTCTCACCTCAGCCTCCCAAGTAGGTGGGATTATAGGCACCCACAACCACTCCCAGCTAATTTTTGCATTTTTAGTAGAGACCAGGTTTCACCAGGTCACCTAGACTGTTCTTGAACTCCTGACCTCAAACTATCCTCCTGCCTCAGCCTCCCAAAGTGCTGGGATTATAGACATGAGCCACCACACCCTGCTGGCTCTTTGTCCTTAATGCTTTCTTAAGAACTCTCCTTGGAGGTGCTCTGGAGGAGCTGTCAGCATTGAAGGCTGAGGATGGAGTAGTTCAGCTGAATATAGTAGAGGGAAATGGCCCTCTCAGCACCTGGAGAAATGATAGGGATTGAGGCCTCAGGCTCTTTGTCTTGGCAGCCTTTCGAGTTCTGTTTGAGATGACATCCAGGTGACCTATAGGGCAAGGGCTGAGAGAGCCTGTCTTGCAGGAGAGTGGGGTGACCCAGGAGTACACTTTTCATTGGAAGAAAGCCCTCAACAGCACATAAAGGCCAATCCCATCATGTACCTGCCCAGACTTTGGAATACAGACTGTACTCACCACCTTGGGCTTTAGTGAATTCACCTGGAATGATGGCCTTAGCGTTCTCTTAGACTCTTAGACTATGATGCATTTGGAGTAAATGCTCTTGAAGGGAGCATTTATAATGTAATTAATTAATTCCAGTCAAGTATAGGTTCACATGAAACCCAACCCAATTACCCCCCAAAAATTTCAGAGATGAGAACAGTGACTCAAGTTTTAGATGGAAATCATTCTACTTTGTCCCAAATCCATGTATCTAAGAATGATTTTCGTCCCTTGAAAAAACAGTTTGGCTGTGGATTTGAAATCCTGGAACTGCATATTTTATTCTGAGGGATAGTGGCCCATTCAGCCCCCGAAAGGACTCAATGTCCAGAGATTGAAATGTGTTTGTTTCCTATTAAAGAGACTAAGTGTATATAAGGTCAGCATTTTTATTTTGCTAAAGGTGTGATGTCCCAGACCCAGCTGTATGGCTGAAGGGGCCAGGTGGGAGTCCCATTCAGGCTGTTAAACTTGGTTCCAGGGCTCCTTATTCTAGACACCTTGTGTGTGCCATCATGGGAGGGTAGGAGAGGTGATCATCAATGTATGTGGCTTGATGTCAGTCTTGCTGGGCACAGAGAAGTGATTATGTATTTCTCACCTATCTGTCACCTATAGGTCACAGTCCTCTTTGCAGGACAGCACATCTCCAAGAGCCCATTTGAAGTGAGTGTTGACAAGGCCCAGGGAGATGCCAGTAAAGTCACTGCAAAAGGTCCAGGGTTGGAAGCTGTAGGGAACATCGCCAATAAGCCCACCTACTTTGACATCTATACGGCAGGTAACGTGCCTCTCCTCCATGGATCTGACCTTTGCGCTTTCTTCCAGAGGCTGAAATATAATCCTCGGGGACTTGAAGGCCTGACCTTTTGTCTTTTAAATCAAATAAATAATCACAAAGACAATTTTTTCAAATGTGTTATATTAGATTTTTCAAAACCAGCTTTTCTTCTCTAAAATACTCAGGCTTCACTTGAATAAGACATACTTCTTGAATTGTTGGCTTCTTTTCCATGTAGTAAATAGAAAATGCAGAAGAAGGAAACATTCAACCATAAACCCTTCAACCCCTAGAAAATAGTTGTTAACATCTTGGTGTGGACCTCTCTGAGGGCCTGTCTCCTGTTTACTTGTTTTGTTGTTGTTGTTGGGGGAACAGAGAATCACTCTATTGCCCAGACTGGAGTGCAGTGGCGTGATCTTGGCTCAACGCAACCTCCGCCTCCTGGGTTCAAGCGATTCTCATACATCAGCCTCTCAAGTAGCTGGGATTACAGGCGTGCGCCACCATGCTTGGCTAATTTTTGTATTTTTTTTAGTAGAGACGGATTTCACCATGTTGGCCAGGCTGGTCTCGAAATCCTGACCTCAAGTGATCTACCCACCTCGGCCTCTCGAAGTGCTGGGATTACAAGCATGAGCCACCACACTGGTCCTGTTTGCATTTTGCACTCAGCAGCAGTGAGCTTTCAGAGAGGGTGACTTGGGCTCATGGAATGCTTGCTTTCTTGTAGGAGCTGGTGTGGGTGACATTGGTGTGGAGGTGGAAGATCCCCAGGGGAAGAACACCGTGGAGTTGCTCGTGGAAGACAAAGGAAACCAGGTGTATCGATGTGTGTACAAACCCATGCAGCCTGGCCCTCACGTGGTCAAGATCTTCTTTGCTGGGGACACTATTCCTAAGAGTCCCTTCGTTGTGCAGGTTGGGGAAGGTGAGTGCTGGGCTGCTGGCCACATGTGCTTCTCATAGGGAAGCTGACTGCACAGCTGGGCAGGGAGGCCAGGAAAACAGTCAGGGCCCAACATTGACCTTATGCCTATCCCTTTTCTGCCAGGGCTACTTCAGCAGTAAGTGGCTTACTTTGTCCTCAATATATTAATATTAATATCTTCTATGAGCCACGCAGAGACCTAAATGCTTTGCTTATATTAACTCATTTACTTCTCTCCAAAACACATGTACAGGAGAGTAATTATCCTCATGGAGGGAGGTGGGACTGAGGCAGTGGGAGGACTCGGTAGCATAACTGAAGTTAGCAGCAGCAACATGGGCCCTGCAGCCTCCATTGCTTGGCCTTTACTGGCCCAGGCACTTACCATGACTGCATCTAATCATTGCACCAGCCTGTGTGTTGCAGGTGCTATTATTATCCCTAGCTTGCAGGTGGAGATGCTGAGGCTTAGATAGCGTTAGGTATCAGTACTACAAGGCATCAGCAGGGCTAGAACCACAGACTCTGTTGGCCTTACCCTTAACTACTCTGCTAAACTCCCTCTGGCGCTGGGGGTACGCATTTTTCTCAAATGTTAGACTCTCTCCCTCTGACTTTGTTGCCCCTTTTTTTCTGTTTTGTTTTGTTTTGTTTTGTTTTCCAACTGTACTACCTTTTCTAACCCACACTTGCCTTTCCCTGTTCTGTCCTCTGAATCTGCGTCTGCAGACGTGGCTTCCTCTTCCGAATCCTACCTCTGGGCCAGCCTGGACCCTGAAGCTGTTGGCTTCCTAGTTGAGACCACTGGGCCAGAGGCCTCTTGCTTGGTAAGGGCTGGTTGGGTGGGACTTCCTTGCCAGTTCTTTGTGCTGCTTGTGAATGTTAGCTGGGCCCGTGTTCTGTGTGATTTTAGGAAACTCTGTGCAGGTGTTATTATTACAGCCTGTCCAGCCGGAACCCAAACCCACTGTCTAATTGCCTTTAAACACATCTAGGGCTTTTTTAGATGGTGAAGGAGCTGGTGGTGCCCTTCAGACTCTAGCCCCATTTAATGTTTATATGAACTCAGCAATTACTCTTTTGATGTTGAGACTGTTGCACATGTTCATAATTTCCATGAGTGTGTGTGTGTTTCTTAAGACACATTAAAGCCCTCCGAGGAAGTCCTGTCATTGTATTGTGACTGACTTCTGGTATGACCAACTTTTCTCCCCTTGACAAAGAAAAAACAGGCAAAAAAAATTCTAACATATTCCTAAGCAAAGCTCTTTTTTACATAAGAGAGCATTTTGAATAGCTTTCCTAATTCTACTATTGTTTTCCAACCTTTCCTCACTCGTGGACTTCCTTTTTCTTTTCTGGCCTGTACATCCTATACTATTTAGCATTTAATGAATAACCTTTTTCTTTTAATTTACTAACATCCTCTCTCCCACCTAAATGATTTTACATATGTAAAAAAAAAATATATATATATTTGCAGGGGCGCGGTGGGAAGGATACAGGGTCTCACTCTGTCTTTTGGGCTGGAGTGCAGTGGTACCATCATGGCTCACTTGTAGCCTCGACCTCCCAGGCTCAAATGATCCTCCCACTTCAGCCTCTTGAGTAGCTAAGACTGTAGATGTGCGCCACCATGCCTGGTTACATTTTTTACCCTTTTTTTTTCTTTTTCTTTTTCTTTTTTTTTTTGTTTTGTTTTGTTTTGAGACAGAGTCTCACTCTCTCACCCATGCTGGAGTGTGGTGGTGTGATCTTGGCTCACTGCAGCTTCTGCTTCCCTGGTTCAAGTGATTCTTGCCTCAGCCACCTGAGTAGCTGGGACTACAGGTGCACACCACCACGCCTGGCTAAGTTTTTTTGTACTTTTAGCAGACACAGGGTTTCACTATGTTGGCCAGGCTGGTCTCGAACTCCTGATGTCAAGTGATCCACCTGCCTCGGCCTCCCAAAATGCTGGGTTTACAGGCATAAGCCACCATGCCTGACCTAATTTTTCTTTTTTTTGTAGAGGTGGGGTCTCACTCTGTTGTCCAGACTGGTCTTAAACCCCTGGACTCAAGCAATCTCCCCGCCTCAGCCTCCCAAAGTGCTGGGTTTACAGATGTAAATTATTTTATGTTAAAAGAAACTTTATATCACTTTCACAATGGAAAACCAAAGTCACTTGCCATAAAGTGCCACCGTAAGCTTATGTTCATCCATAAACCATCTAAAATCATCTCTAACTCCAAGGGTATGTGTATGACTCTTTGGGAAGCAGTTGTTTGCCAAATAGCCAGCTAAGGCCATTGCAGGAAGGAGGAACCAGAGGAGGAATTACCTTCCGTCTGTGGAGTAGAGTCCCGTCTTCTGGAGTCTGTGACCTTCCTGTATAGAGATTTGTCAAATTTTCAGTGTTAGATTTGGAAAGGAAAAGCCACTTAATAACATGACATTTTCCCCACTAGTCTCCCGTTTCTATTTACTGAAAAGGTTGTCCGTGCTGGGCAGAAGATTTATTCTAGGGCATAAAGGTATCTTTTATCAACCTCTAGATACCATGGAACAGTAGTTCTGTGGACATTTCAAGTAAGGCATATTGGAAGCTATCTTCGCCCTTAACTTTTAGACTTACAACTCTAGGTTTTCAAGCTAGACCCGGAAATGAAATCAGCAATGGTGTTTACTGCTAATTATTGCCTTTATAGCCACCCACATTCTGAAGGCCTTGTAACAGACAGCACGAAAAGATTGGTCTGCCTCAGCCAAGGTGGGGCTGAACTGGTCTCTTTCCAAGCTGTGTTGGTTGTTTTTGCCTGGTTGTTCAGGCGGAAGACAACAACATTTAGACACTTAAAAATGGCTGACCCAGGTTTTGGAACCCAGACAGGCATTTTCAAGTACTGCATTTTCCAAGAAGACTTGAAAAAGTCCAGTCTATCCAATTACTGAGCCCTTGAGTATGGCAGTGAGGTTTGAATAATGTCCAGCACTCGGCCTTAACTCCCTTTCACAAATGAAAGGTTAAATGCTGGAAGCAGGAGCACAGCATGGATTTGCTGTGCTCTCCTGTTTTCTTTGCCAAAGTCACTTTTCTCCAGTCCTTCTGTGGTGTCACTGGACAAAGTTATATTGTGTCTGTATTTGCTAGCCTGGTGTGCTCCCTGAGTGGGACCCCTGGTCTTGGGCAACTACTGCATACTATTTGTGCAAAGCAAATATTTTCTTGGCGGGTGGCTCCAGGTTACCTTGGCTTTCACGACTCTGACTAAAGAATGAAAGATTGAATTGATGTCAAAACTGTGCTTGCAGCCTGCAATCCAAATGCCTGCCGGGCCAGTGGCCGAGGCCTACAACCCAAAGGCGTCCGTATCCGGGAGACCACAGATTTCAAGGTTGACACCAAAGCTGCAGGAAGTGGGGAGCTCGGTGTAACCATGAAGGGTCCTAGTAAGTGTTCCTTTGTTTCTCTATCTCAGGTGTGGTTTTGGCTAACTTTGCAGCCATGGCATATGGATTTCATCCCACGGCCAGTTGTCCTCAATAATCCCAGAAGGCTATGTCAAGGATTTGAGGCTATCTGGGCTCCTTGGGGAAGACGGCAGTGATTGATTAGTAATGTCTGCCCTGGATGCGGCCAGTGGGTGGCTTGACAGCTTTACATTACATCAAGACTTCTGGGAGTAGAAAAAGCAGTGATGTAAAGGAGTTGGGGAAATGCTGCTGTTGGAACAAGTGGCTCATTTTTTATTTTAGACATCTGGGCTCAGAGAGGAAGGCTCTTGCCTAAGGTCATACAGCGTTTGTAATCATCTGAGCTGGAATTCAAGCACAGTCTCCAAAGCCAGTGATTTTCCCACTACAGGTTACATTTTATAGAGTATGAAATTATGTCAAGTACTTAATTACTATGATCAGTGCTTATAGAAGGAGAATAAAATTCCCTAAGATTAAGTTTTCTTTGTAGATAAATGCCATTTGTGGAGGTACAGGTTAAACCCTGCAACCCATTCTCTCTCCCTCTTTTGGGGAAGGAGACAGCAGATGTGGGGATGGGTGTCTTCACTTTTTTCGTTGGAACAGAGAAGCATTTCAGCACTTCTAGTCTCGGGTGTAGCAGCCTTTGGTGGTTTTACTCCCATGCCTGTGGAATCTTGAGCTTCCTGTACCAGGATTGCTCTTACCTTCTGTGTTCCCAACAGGCTGGGGCAGGAGCATTCTGAGCTCCAGAAAGTTAATATTTGACTTCACAGCACCAGGCTTTGGGTCAGGCTGTGCCCTGAGGGTAGCCGAGGTTCTAGACTGCCCAGACCTGGAGTCAAGCTGCTTGGGGACTGTCTTCCCTCCCAGATTATTCCAACAGGAGCCAAGGAGGGTGTGTGTGTGTGTGTGTGTGTGTGTGTGCACGCGCGTGCATGCCTCTGCGTATGTGTGCGTACGTGTGTGTTTTCTCCTGACCTTGAATACTTGCTTGACTCAACGGCTTTCCTGGCCAAACCTCAGGGCTCAACACAAAACAAGTTCCTGCCTGATGGCTGGGTTTGGAGTTTGCAGCGTCACATCTAAAACCTGTCCTCTTGCAGATAGCGTCTGAGGACTTTCTTGCTTTTGTTGTCCAGCTTTAGATGGAAAAGTATACGCTGGAACACTGAACCTAAAACTCATACCAAATACTTCTAAAGGTTTACTTCTTCCCCAGTTTTTGTGGGGGACTAGGAAGGGTAGCTATGATTATTGGGAAATACTGAAATGTGACTGGATTTATCTTTATGCAGGCCCAGGGAGTTCAGGACCTCAGGGCCCCTCGTAGCCAAGCAAGATTTCTAAAGCCAATTAGCTGGGAAATCCTCCATTTCCTCATACCTTGAAGCAGAGATGGCTGTGTTTTTAGCTTTGAAATAATCTCCCAGGCTTTGAGGGGAGAGGTCCCATACTCTGGGGCAGCCCACTTGGTTTTTATGTATGGTTTATGTTTTGTTCAGTGTGGCTGCCTCTCTGTTCTTGTCCTTTTGATTCTCATTTTGGGCCTAGGATTGTGTTGGAAAGATTATCTCCTTCCTTCCCACAGAGGGTCTGGAGGAGCTGGTGAAGCAGAAAGACTTTCTGGATGGGGTCTACGCATTCGAGTATTACCCCAGCACCCCGGGGAGATACAGCATTGCCATCACATGGGGGGGACACCACATTCCAAAGAGGTGAGGCTCCTGCTGCAGAGGGGTCTTCTCTGGAGGGTGCTCGGCCCAGGGCGGACTCATGGGTAGTTGCTTCCCGGGCTGCAGGAGGGAAAGAGATCTGCTTTGTTGAAAACTTTTTTTTTTTTTTTTTCGGAGCAGCACAGACATTTGGCCTGTTCTCAAAAGCAGCAGAAAGTTGCTGTGGTTTTAGCTGACTTGCTTTAAATCAAATGCTGGTGGTTAGGGGCTGGTGGGAGGCAGGGGAGGCAGAAGGAGCAGTTAGAGCAAATGGGCTGTGTGTCTAGATGCCCGCATATAAACTGAGATTCTCTTTTTCAATGAACTCCTTTGTTCATGAATGCCACGGGGCAGAATCTGCTGTGGTTTACATTAAGACCGTCTACGTGAGTGCTGTCAGGGGCCAAGGGACGCAGTCTACAGCTTTGCCTTGTGGGCATTGCACTTGCCCCTCTGCGTTCTGTGTTTTCCAGCTCCCCTGGAGGTGCAACTTTAAACTCCGAATAAATTCAGTTAGCCTTGAGAAATATTTGGGCATTATTGGGTTCCGAATACCTACCACGCTTTTTTTTTTAAGCCTCCCATGCCAAGGTTACAGCACATTCATTCATGTATGAGATAAAGCCCATTCAACCAAGTTTTCTGGTTATAGCATAAGCAGGATATAGTGTGTGGACTCTCTCACTTTCCAGGGTCATAGTCTGGGGAGGCCTGCACACAAAGGTAAAGGGCCAGGAGGCTGGTGCAAAGCAGCGTGGCTTGAGTGCCAACCCAGTGGCCACCTGAGCTCCCAGAAGCAGTCACATTACATTATATTGTTGACATAACAGTAGCTATGGGTGAGAGGCCTGCAGGAGGAAGGGCTTGGCTGCAGTTTGGGATGCCAGATGAAAGGATCAGGCAAGTGGAAAGAATGTGCAAAGGAACTGCAGCTTATGGCTATAGTGACACCTTACTTTACTCTTCTTTGATGCTTCTTCTATTCCTTTCCCTGTAGCCCCTTTGAAGTTCAAGTTGGCCCTGAAGCGGGTATGCAGAAAGTCCGTGCTTGGGGCCCTGGGCTCCATGGTGGGATTGTCGGGCGGTCAGCGGACTTCGTGGTAGAATCCATTGGCTCTGAAGTGGGGTCTCTGGGTAAGTGGACACAGCTGACCAGCATCTTCTGGAGGACTGAGGATTACAGGGCTTCCGGGCTGTGTCAGGCTGGATGTTGGGGCCTTGCCTAGCCTCAATACCTTTAGCTTCCTGGCCTCCTGGCCACCCTAAGCCATCTCTGCGTGCTGCTGTACATTTGCAGTTGCCTCTGATACCAGCATTGATTCATTCAGGAGACCTTGAGGGCAGAAACCTTATGTGGGTATTGTGCCTAAAACAATGCTTGGAACGTAGTAAACACTTAGCAAATAGTGTTGACTGACCTTTATAGTTTAGATGAATGAATGAATGAATTTTGCTGAAATTTGGATTTGGAAGATAAATATTTCCTTTGGAGCACAGCTGAAGTATATTTTAAATACATGTCTAATGTATATATGATCATTTTATATCAGGAGTCAGCCAGCTTTTTCTATAAAAGGCCAGATGGCAAATATTTTCCACCTGTGGGCCTTATGGTCTCTGTCACAGTTATTTGACTCTGCCGTTGTAGCCTGAAAGCAGCTATAGGAATACGTAAACAAACGTGTGTGGCCATGTTCCAGTAAAACTTTATTTGCAAAAGTAAGCAATGGGCCAGATGTGGCCTTCAGACTGTCGTTTAGCAACCCGTTTTAGGTAATAGCAATAAGCAAAAGAGAAAAATAAGAAATCACATTTAATTTTCCCTTCTAGAGAGATGATATGAATCGTCTTGTATATTCTTAGTCTAGAGATAATATTAAGTCTTTTAGTGTATCCTTCTAGACTTTTTTCTCTATATATGCATGCAAATATTGATTTGGTACAGAAAATATCTTAGACAAGTCTTTATATCTTTATGCGTAAATATAGGGTATGCCTTCATTTTCCATAGCTTCCATGGAATTCCATTGTATGGCTCTATCCATTGTCAGGCTCTTCAGTTATTTCCAGGGTTTTGCTATAAAAACAGTGCTGACTGTGTATCCTTGGTAATTGCCTTCAGATAAAAACCCAGAAGTGGATTTGGTGGTGCTAAGAGTGGGTGTTGGTTCAAGGCTTTTGCCACATGTTGCCACATCTCCAACAGAAGGGTTTGCTGGTTGGACTTCCCCTGTTGGATGATGATAAAATACATATAATGTATTTAATACTATATATATATATATATATATATATCCTCCTGGCCTCAAGTGATCCACCTGCCTCGGCCCTCCCAAAGTGCTGGGATGACAGGTGTGAGCCACCACACCCAGCCCAGGCCTACATTTGAAAAAAAAAAAATATATATATATTTTCCACCCCTTCCATCTCTACTGAAGACTTAATGAGCTTGGTTTTGGAAGAAAGGGATACAAACAGATTTCAATCTTCTGGCCAACACTTGGCTTTTAGGGAGGCAGCGGGAATGAGCTGTCGTAACATAGAATAGGTGCTTTCCACCATATAACCAGGGAGACCCTTCCACCTCCACCCCCTAGGGTTTGCCATTGAAGGCCCCTCTCAGGCAAAGATTGAGTACAACGACCAGAATGATGGATCGTGTGATGTCAAATACTGGCCCAAGGAGCCTGGCGAATATGCTGTTCACATCATGTGTGACGACGAAGACATCAAGGACAGCCCGTACATGGCCTTCATCCACCCAGCCACGGGAGGCTACAACCCTGATCTGGTGAATCAGCTGCTGTGCTTCTGTCTTCTTGTCCCTGGCCCCTGGTTCCTCACCCCCATGCCCGAAGTTGCCTTAAGCAGCATGTTGAGAGATGGCAGAGAGGAATCATTTGGATTTTAGGAAGGAAACAGGCCTGCATTTGTTTGTTTGTTTGTTTGTTTGTTTGTTTGTTTTGAGACAGACTCTTGCTCTGTCGCCCAGGCTGGGGTACGGTGGCATGATCACAGCTCACTGGAACCTCTGCCTCCTGGGTTCAAGTGATTCTCGTGCCTTAGCCTCCCAAGTAGCTGGAACTACAGGCATGTGCCACCACAGCTGGCTAATCTTTGTATTGTTTAGTAGAGATGGGGTTTCACCATGTTGGCCAGGCTGGTCTCGAACTCCTGGCCTCAAGTGATCCACCCGCCTCGGCCCTCCCAAAGTGCTGGGATTACAGGTGTGAGCCTCCACACCCAGCCCAGGCCTACATTTGAATCCTGGTAGTAGCACTTAGCACTTTTATAGTGTTGGGCAAGTAACTTACCTATCTGACTCTTGGTGTCTTCCTCTATAAGACAGGAATGATAGTAGTCTCTGCTTCTAGAGAGCTTCTAGGATGATTCAGGAGGTGGCATGCATAAAGACCGCCTTTGGCTTATGCCTGGCCCATGCAGGGAGCTCCATAAGCTGTTATTTTCTTGCAACTCCGGGGATCATATGTCAGTCTTACAGCCATTTTCTATAGTTATTATTTCAAGGTGCTCCATAGATAAAGGATTTTTTTTTCCTAGTTCCGTGTCTCTTAAGTTGGAGCAATGTTTCCAAGAGTGTCCTCTCAAACCCTTAGCAGGCTGATAAGCATCAAGTCTGAGCCAGCCTGGCTGACAGGGAGTTGGCCCCAGAGGCCACGTGTGCTACTGTTGGCCCACACGGGCAGCTGTCCATAGGCTGATGTCAGTCTGGGCTGGTAGCTACCCCGTTTTGGCCAAATGATATTCCTTTGCCCTCTAGGGCAAATGTTGTCCGTGGTAAAGATTCTGAGTCCCCTCAAAGTGGGAACGTTGAAACTGGGCATGACTAGAGGTCTCTGCCCCAGTTGTTAGAAGTTCTTTAGGTCAACTCAGAATAAGGCAGGGAGCATGGGTTAGTTTGGGCATGGTTTTAGAACAGGGGTTTCCAATATTTTGCCTTCCCTGGGCCACACTGGAAGGAGAAGAATTGTCTTGGGCCACACATAAAATACTAATGATAGCCGATGAACAAAAACAAAAACAAAAAAAAAATTGCAAAAAATTTTATAACATTTTAAGAAAGTTTACAAATTTGTGTTGGGCTGCATTCAAAGCCATCCTGGGCCGCATGCGGGCTTCAGGCCGTGGGTTGGATTTGTTTAGAGAGTTTTCTCCCTTATGAGGGAGAGACATTTGTTTTTAAGTTACAACCTACTTTAGCACTTTACTTCCCATAACCAACCTCTTATGTGGATACTGTAAAACCAGACACAGGTCATTTTGTTCTTCCCCCACCCCCTGGTTACCTGTCTTTGTATAAGGGTTTAGTTGGGGCATTACACAGAAAGAGACTTACTATCTGCCTTTGCTTCAGGTTCGAGCATACGGGCCAGGTTTGGAGAAATCTGGATGCATTGTCAACAACCTGGCCGAGTTCACTGTGGATCCTAAGGATGCTGGAAAAGCTCCCTTAAAGATATTTGCTCAGGTAAATTTCAGGGGGCCACCTGTGCAGGTAATTGTCAGGTAACAAGATCTGACCACGTAATGGCAAGTTGCTGAGTCCATCTGATCTTCAGTTTCCTCATCTGCACCGTGGAAATGATAAGAAGATTATCTTATAGGGTTATGTGAGGGTTCAGTGAGACTACCATGTAGAGTACTGGGCTTTAAAAAAATCAGCTTTCTGATTTATATTCTGTGGAAATGAGGCTTGTTTGTTTCAGGTTATTCTATAATGTCTTTTGGTGTGGCTGAAGCTGCTGAGGCCATGGGGGGAGATTTGTAAACAAGGATTTAAAAAGTATGTTTATTTAATCTAATTGAATTTGGCCAAAGGACTTAAATGCAGGAATTGAGTGGCCAAAGCTTTGTTTTTGGGTCACTTGCTCTTAATAACTAAAAATAAATAAATGCATGTCATATTTTGTCACTGGTTGTCACCGTGTTGTGAAAATATGGCACATTGTAGTTGGTCCATGAAGTTTTGTTGTATAAGCAAGTGGTGACTTGGCTGTCTTGGGAGGCCACAGTGACCCTGTCTGATAGAGACAGTGTGAGGGCCACCTCTGGTCCTAGCTCTGGCTTTTTTGCAGGATGGGGAAGGCCAACGCATTGACATCCAGATGAAGAACCGGATGGACGGCACATATGCATGCTCATACACCCCGGTGAAGGCCATCAAGCACACCATTGCTGTGGTCTGGGGAGGCGTGAACATCCCGCACAGCCCCTACAGGGTAGGTTGTGAGGCAGAATCCTGGCTGTTTTATGGAAATGCCTGGTCATACACCAGGTCTGGGATCCATGCCTGACAGCCAAGGCAGACATATGGAAGGAACCCATCCCTGGTGGGCCTTGAATGATGGAGGGGCCCGAAGGGCAGAGTGCTCCAGCCTGCTCAGAAGAACTATTTCTAACAATGTTTTTTAATAGTATTTTACTGGGTCCAAGTGGAGGAGAACTTGATGACCTTCTCCATGTCTTCTCTAGGTCAACATCGGGCAAGGTAGCCATCCTCAGAAGGTCAAAGTGTTTGGGCCAGGTGTGGAGAGAAGTGGTCTGAAGGCAAATGAACCTACACACTTCACGGTGGACTGTACTGAGGCTGGGGAAGGTGAGAAAGGGCTTTGTTCAACCCAGTGATCATTGCTCCGTGGGGAAGGCAGTTCTTTTCATAACGTTTCAATGCCTTTTGAACTAGGAAGTAGTCCATCTGAATAGGTAATCATCTACTGAGCCTCTGAGTCATTCCTTAGTGATATCTTTGCTAATCCATCATCCCTTTCCCCAAATCCTTACTCTTTCTCAGGTTTCTTACTAGAAACTTCCCAATTGCTTTTTGAGGGTGTTAACCTGAGCTGGAAGAGATTGCACAGGACATGCTGTTTCTTGTAAGCTGGTGCTAATAAGCTGGTCTGTTCCAGGTGATGTCAGTGTTGGCATTAAGTGTGATGCCCGGGTGTTAAGTGAAGATGAGGAAGACGTGGATTTTGACATTATTCACAATGCCAATGATACGTTCACAGTCAAATATGTGCCTCCTGCTGCTGGGCGATACACTATCAAAGTTCTCTTTGCATCTCAGGTACGTGGTGGGGCCTGGGAGGAGATGGGTGGAGTAGGCCTGGATTCTCTTTGGCCACTTGTGTGCATGTCTCATCTACTTTTTGGTGTTTTGTTAGTATTATTATTTTTGAGATGGAGTCTCACTCTTTCACCCAAGCTAGAGTGCAGTGGTGTGATCTTGGCTCACTGCAACCTCTGCCTCCCAGGTTCAAGTGATCCTCCCACCTCAGCCTCCCAAGTAGCTGGGGACTACAGGCTCATACCACCACCCAGCTAATTTTTTTTTAATTTGTTTTTATTTTTTTATTTTTTTTTTGAGATGGAGTTTTGCTCTTGTTGCCCAAGCTGGAGTGCAATGGCATGATCTTGGCTCACTGCAACCTCTGCCTCCCGGGTTCAAGTGATTCTCCTGCCTCAGCCTCCCAAGTAGCTGGGATTACAGGCCACCACGCCTGGCTAATTTTTTTGTATTTTTATAGAAATGGGGTTTCACCATGTTAGCCAGGCTGGTCTCAAACTTCTGACCTCAGATGATACGCCTGCCTTGGCCTCCCAAAGTGCTGGGATTCTAGGTGTGAGCCACCGTGCCTGGCCACTCAGCTAATTGTTTTGCATTTTTAGTAGAGACGGTTGCCCAGACTGCTCTCGAGCTCCTGACCTCAGGCCCACCTGGCCTCCCAAAGTGTTGGGATTATAGGCATGAGCCACCACATTTGGCCTCCTTTTTGGTGTTTTACTGACAGGGAAGTTGTCTTGAGAACACTGCTCAATCGTTTTCTCTCTGGCTCCTTACAACCAAGAAGGAAAAAAAATTTACCCAGAGCTAAATTATTACCACTTTCTAACAAAAGTGAGGCAGTGTGTTCAGTGGTTAAAAGCAGGGGTCTGGAGAGAGACTAGTTTGTAATAAATTTTCATCAATATTTTGGTTGAAATGCAGTTAGCTTCTAGATATGTTCTACTTTGATGCCTTTGAAGCAATGACTGTGGTCTCCACCCTTAAATTTTTATAGAGAGAGGTGATTTGAAGTTTCAGGTATGCAATAGTGAAGATAGGGTGAGCAGGATCCTGAAAGAGAGAATTTTGAAATCCTAGGGATTAAAATTAACCTTACATAAAAATGGAAATCTTAGTAGAATGTTCTGTGCCTAAAGGTAGTGGTCTTGACATCCATTTAACCTCTTCTGCCTTTATTCCAATAGTCTGCAACATTCTTTTTGAAGAATTATAATCATTCTGTCTCTGATCACTTCTTGCATTTCCCCAGACCTTAGCTCTCAGCTGTCCCTGGAGGACATTTCCTTCCCCCAGCCCCATGTATTATTGTCGTTTTTGGTTTTATTCTTGTTGGCATTTTTCATCCTGAGTACTCAACATTCAGTATTAAAGGCTCAAAGTCCTCGGGTTTGTTTGTGACATCAGGGATCCAGGCATTAGAGAGTGACCTGTTATAGAAGGCCCTTTCCCAATGCTGGGCCCTTTTGGCTTATCTTACCCTTCTGTTTACCTGTGGTAATAGAAGTCTGCTCACCACTCGCTAAGTCAGAGTGATGCTAAGGTTCACCCTTTGTTGAAGGCTCCCTGAGCTCTGGCTGTTGCTTCAGGGGCTTTCCTACTAAGACTGTGTCTCTGCTACAGGAAATCCCCGCCAGCCCTTTCAGAGTCAAAGTTGACCCTTCCCACGATGCCAGCAAAGTGAAGGCAGAAGGCCCAGGGCTCAGCAAAGCAGGTAAGATGGCACGTCTAGGTTGTCCTGGGCCCCTCTGCCAGCCGGTGGCACTGGGCGTGTTTCATCCACGGCCTTGAGGAACTTCATCTCCACCAACACCAACACCAAGCTGGCAGGTTTTCTGTGCAGCTCTGATGCAGCAGTGGCTGGCCAGGCCCGTTGCTGGCTGTCATAATAGACCTGGTGCTGTTGAACCTGTCTGACGGGTTCTCAAAGTGAAACTACTCCAGCTGGTCTGTCTCCTCACTTCACAGTATATCTTTCCAGGTGTGGAAAATGGGAAACCGACCCACTTCACTGTCTACACCAAGGGGGCTGGGAAAGCCCCGCTCAACGTGCAGTTCAACAGCCCTCTTCCTGGCGATGCAGTGAAGGATTTGGATATCATCGATAATTATGACTACTCTCACACGGTTAAATATACACCCACCCAACAGGTAGGGTCCTTCTCCCCTCTGCTCCCCTGGCCCCCAGCCAGGCCCCTTTCTATGCAGTCGGTGCTGGGTCACTGTGGACACCAAGGGGTGTGAGAGGTGCTCTGCCAAAGTGCTCCCTGATGGGAGGCAGCTCCTGGCACTTTGAACCCCTCTGGGAGCACCTATAGGAAGCCCAATGGGTTCTATCAGGTGAACTGCAGAATTCCCCAAAAGCAAGCAGGAAGCTGGTCCCATATCTCCACCTTTGGTTTGCATTTTATCAGAGAAATGCTCAGTTCTTGATATTCAGGCCCTAATATCTATCTTTCTGTTACACATGTGCACACATGTGCACACACACACACATACACACACACACGTGCATTCCCTCGCGGCCTCACCAGCTGCCTTTTAGTCTTTTCATTAATTACCCACAGAAAAAGAGCTGCTACACCTTTGTGTTTCCTTCCTGGTCCTTTTAGCTTAGTTTACCCTTTTTATGAGGTGTTGGAATGAGGTCTTTTCTCAAAGAGCCAGTTCAGCCTTTCGTCCCTAAGGCCCAGCACACTATTTAGGGCAGCAAATTATTCCCCTTTACAAAATGCAGGATTTCACATGTGATCTTACCATCTAGGCTGGCTTACTCTGATTATTTCAGGCCATAAGGGCCTTAAAACTGCCTCTCTGTACAAGTTAATGTTTATTTGTTTAAAAACATTAAAAAAAATTTGTATCGTGGTAAAATACACATAACACAAAATTTACCGTCTTAACCATTTTTAAGTGTATAGTTCATTAGTGTTAAGTGCATTCATTATGTCGTGCACCCATCACCACCATCCATCTCCATAATTCTTTACATCTTGTAAAACTGAAGCCCTGTATCCATTATATTTGTTTAAAATTTTGTTTCGCTTCATGTTCACACCTCTGGGGTCTGGAGAGCAGACATCCTGGCAGAAAAGTCTGGATTTTAATACTTAAGCCTAGTGTTCGAAGTGGTTGTTCCAAGCCTCTGAGATTCCTTTATTCTTAAGGGAAATGATCCTGCTGTGTTTGAAATGCCATTTGTAGGAGAAGAAGGGCAACGCTTTCTGCAGAAGCACTGCTCAGAAGCCTTGCTCCCGTCTGGGTCCTCTCAGCGAGGAGCAGTCAAGAGTCAAGTGGGGAAGAAAGAGGATTATAGTGAGGAAGGGGTCATGGTGTAACTGTCCCCTGAGTTTGGGGGCTGCACTCCCTTGGAGATGGAATCCTTACTGTGAGAACATCCCTGCAGTGGGAGGGATTCCCTGGGCGAAGGGATTCTGTGTGTCGTGTTATAAATGTGGCCCCTTACATCCAGGCTTGCTGCTGTTTGTGCTTTCTTCCCCAAATTTTTATTTTTATTTATTTATTTTTTAGACAAAAGTCTTGCTCTGTTGCCCAAGCTGGAGTGCAGTGGCATGATCTCAGCTCACTGCAACCTCTGCCTCCCAGGTTCAAGCGATTCTCCTGCCTCAGCCTCCCGAGCAGGTGGGATTACAGGCACATGCCACCACACCTGGCTAATTTTTGTATTTTTGGTAGAGACGGGGTTTCGCCATGTTGGCCAGGCTGGTCTCCAACTCCTGGGCTGAGGCAATCCTTTCACCTCAGCCTCCAAACCTGCGGATATTACAGGCATGAGCCACTGCGCCTGACCTCAGTATTTGTCTTTTTGTGACTGATTTATTTTTCTTCCTATATGTCCTCCATGTTGTAGCACGTGTCAGAACTTCATTCCTTTTCGAGGCTGCATTCCACTGTATGTATATATGTTTTGCTTCTCTCTTCGTCTGTTTTTTGTTTGTTTTTTCTTGAGACTCGCTCTGTTCCTCAAGCTGGAGTGGCACTGTCTCGGCTCACTGCAACCTCTGTCTCCTGGGTTCAAGTGATTGTCCTGCCTCAGCCTACCGAGTAGCTGGAAGTACAGGCACGTGCCACCATGCCCAGCTAATTTTTGTATTTTTAGTATAGATGTTTCACCATGTTGGCCAAGGTTTCACCATGGGGTTTCACCATGTTGGCCAGGCCGGTCTTGAATTCCTGATCTCAGGTGATCTGCCCACCTCAGCCTCCGAAAGTGCTGGGATTATAGGCATGAGCCACCGCGCCCGGCCATCTTCATTTGTTGAAGAACATTTGGGTTGCTTCCGTCTTTTGTCTGTTGTGAATAATGCTGGGTGTACAAATATCTCTTTGAGTCTCTGCATTTAATTCTTGTGATTATAAACCCGAAATGGAATTGCTGGATCATATGGAAATCTCTTTTTAATTTTTTGAGAAACTACTATACTGTATTCCACAGTGGCTGCACTACTTTACAGTCCTGCCAACAGCATGCAAGGGTCCTGGTTTCTCCACATCCTTGCTAACATTTGTTTTTTTTCTGTTTTTTTTTTTTGTTGTTGTTGTTGTTGTTGATAGTGACCATCCTGTTGAGTGTAAGATGGTGTCTTATTGTGGTTTTGATTTGCATTTTCCTAATGATTAGTGATGCTGATCATCTTTTCATGTGCTTATTGGTCCTTTGCATATTTTCTTTGGAGAATTATCTACTTGCCCATTTTTATATCAACCTTCTTAATTTTATGTTGAGTTTTAGGAATTCTCCATGTATTCTGGATATTAGTTCCTTATCAGATAAATGATTTGCAAATATATTCTCTCACTCCTTGGTTTGCCTTTTCACGCCGTTAACAGTTCTCGTGTGCAGGTTATAAACGCGGCTTCTTATCTCCAGACTTGCTCTTCCTGTGCTTTAAAATAAAAAATCCAAAACAAAACATTCATTATTAGTAATGATAAAACTAACACTTTTATAGATAGAGCATTCTTTTCTCATCAGGCCACTCAATAGTAAGTAGGTAATTATTTTCCTGCTGATGGTTCTGAGGGTTGGTGGGAGCCTTACTACTGGGTGCACCACGCTGAATCTTCTTTGTTGCCAAATTCTCCATATTCTTTAGGAGAAAGCACCAGAAAGCCATAGCTGTCTGCGTACAATGACTGGGATCACAAGGCCATGACGTCTTCTAAAAACATTTTGTGACTTCTGCTTTATTCTATGTCTATATGCCTTTTAGTGTTTTGGCTGAGCCGTTAGAAAGTAAGTTGCAGATATCAGGACAGGGTCAGGGTTTGACCTGCATCCTTGGAAAGGACTGCAGAACCCAGTACCCCAGACGTCCCCTGCTGCTGGTTGAGGCAGAAGTGGAGATTAGGAGCCTAGGTCCGGTTTTGTCCCCTTTGAAGTAATGCTGGAGTGGGAGGCTCCTTACTTCAGAGTCACCCCAAGGTCACATTCATCCAGTTCTCTGATAGCAGCAGGTTTGAGAACTGCTGCCATGCTGAGTACTCACTTAGGGCTTTGTGTCCGGATGCTCCCAGGATGCATTCAAGGAGCCGGGTGGGCCTTGGTGGCGGTCGTTGCCACCAAGTGGCAACATCCAAGCTGCTTGAAGCCACCCACAACCCCACAACCAAGAGAAGAGAAGACCAAAGTCCTCAGGTAAATCACAAGTGTGAATGACTTGCAGGGTGGCACTGGGGTCCTTCTTGTTGTTTGTTGCTTGGAGCTGGGTTTATTGTTTCATTATTTGGGCAACTTGCAATTCTGCCTATTTTTCTATGGCAAAGAACACATTAAATCTCTCCTTAGATTGAATTTCCTTCCCACCCCCACCCCCAGCACAGAGCCTGGCCCTATAAGTGCTCTGTGTGGATTAATGGCTGTGAGTGAGCGAATAAATGACATGGCGCCTGGATTCACAAGCGGAGATGGCCTAAGAACGTTGTAATCTGGTAGAGGAGTGATGCCAACACCTCCTCATTCTCCTTTGAACTCTGTTTTCTGAAGAGCAGCTAAAAGCTCAAGACTGGGCTAAGGAAGTGTGCCCTTGGATGTGGTTAAGAGACCTGGGTCAGCCCAGAAAGCCACCCCCTGACACGGGGGAGGGAGCATACTTTGAGGGCTGACACCCACAGGCACACCTTCTCATGGTAGTTTTAGGGTATAACAGGCTGGAAATCCCCAGAAAGGTGGCTGCTTGGGCATGGGTGTGTCCTGGCCTGGTGTGGGCGCTTCCCCCTCAGAACACAGGCTGTGCCACGTGGGGAGCCGAGGTCCTGCCTGAGTAACCCAGGTCCCTGATTGCTGGTTTTGCTCCCTGACACCTGCAGGCCTGCCACTCCACCTCGCAAAGTCCCTGAGTGACAGCTTGCAGGTGCTTGCCTGCCTGGGGTGGATGAGTGATGTGGATGGCTGTAGGATCCTGTGAGTCCCTTGAGGATGCAAAAGTAGAGCGCGTTTTGCCTTAGAGGAATGGACTTGTTGGCTTGGGGCTTGAGGACCCTCCCAGAGGTCAAAGACTCGGTTTTATAGAAGGGAAGTGATTTCCCTGAGGACTTTGGTCTTCTCTTCTCTTGGTTGTGGGTGGCTTCAAGCAGCTTAAATTTCTCACCGCACGTTCCCCTGCGCAGAGCAGTTTGAGAAGCTGGTGGCAATGTCTCCATTACGTGCTGTGCTGGGAGCCACTAGGATTGGGGACCACTCCATGTAGTACTCTGGCACCTTTAGAAATCCCTGTGAGCTCACAGACCCTCACAGAGTAACAGCTTCTACCTTGAAATGTTCTTAACGTGGTGGTCCTGGCTGCTCCTGGAGGGCCCTAAAAGGGATGGTGCTGAGGGTGGCTCTCTCAGTCCCATCCTCTTCTGAGCTGTCTGGTCAGTGTCTTGTGTATGTATATTTTGAAGAATAAGATTCAGGTTTCAGAAGCATGTAGAGGAGAGTGAAACTGTCTTGCAGCCTGCGAAGTCGTGGCGAAATGCACTGGCCATCACTACCCAGACATCCCTCACTTCATAGCCCTGTTGGGGAATAAACACAGTCCATTCCTTAGTTGGGGCCTCAGGGGACACTTTAAAATGCTGTAGGCATTGTAGGTGTAAATCTCCGAGATTTTTTCCCTCCCCCTTCTTAGGTTATTTAAGGTACAGTTCATTTTCTATCTGAGTTTTTGTTTTGTTTTTGACTGGTAACAAGAGCATACTTTCTTTTATGGGATGGGTGGGCTTAACTGGAAGAGGGTTTTTCCCTCTCTTTTTTAGCACTTCAGAGAAGAGGCCAGAAAACTTTATGCGGGTGAGGGAGGAGGTATCCCCAAGACCTCTGGTTAGCCTGAGGTCTGCTTAGTGAGCCCCTGAATTGTTAGGGGCTGTGGGGAAACGGAAGCTCGGGAAGAGTTGGCACGTTGGGAATGCCACGTTGGCTGAAGTAGCGAGTCAGTCCTGCCTTAAACAGTACAAAAAGGAGACCTTTCCTGCCCCTTGGCTGGCTCCCAGCTCTGTTGAATTTGACCTGTACACATTTTACCAGGAAATGTTGTTCACATGAGGCAGGGGGCCAATTGGTTTTGTGTGCAGTGCTTAAAAATGCTGGAAAATTAATCCTCTCTTCATTGATGCAACCAGTTTTTTTTTTTTTTTCTTGGCCTTTACCCCCTTCCTTATTACAAAAGGAATGTGACAAAATATACATAGGCCAAATGCTACACCCTTTTAACACTTGATCAGCAACAGCTTTCAGCAGGGCCTGCATTCCAGCAAGGCTGCTGGATTCTTGGGGGGAACTCGTCTCTCCCTCACACTTTCCTGTTACATTATGCCTGGCCGATTGTGGTGAAGGGGATCTTGATCTACTGAGACAGCCATGAGATTTCTTGGAGCCTCGATTTGGAGGGAGGGAACTTGGCCAACCATGGAGAGAAGAAGCCGGCTGTGTGCCAGCCTGGAACCGGCGAGAGGAGAGAAATGGCGCACACATGGCTATCGCGTGCCACCCGGCCACCCGTGAGGGTGCCTGCCAATCCTGCAAGCACCATCTGCCTTCACACTTGCAATTTTATTTTCTTTCACATGGAAATGGAAGTTCAGATATTGTGCGATGGTCTTAGCACAGGTCTAGGTGAACTCTTGCAAATCCCTGTTGCAGCCTGGGGGCCTCAAACTGATTCCTAGGACAGAAATGGTTCTGTTTGGTGAGTGGCCCCAGGCCCAGCTGCACTGGCTGGCACTGGGTATGATGATGGGGAGGTGGTGTGGCAGAGCAGCTAGGACACAGATTTGGGGGCCATGGGTATGAGGCCCAGCTCGCACCCTTACCAAGGTGTGTGACTTGGGGCACGTTCCTTTACCAGTCTGAGCCACAGTTTCCTCTCCTGAAAAAATGAGATGACAGTAGGAACTACCCCTTAGGACTGTTTTGATCTTGAATTGAGGAAATGCATAAAAGCACATAGCATGGTGCTTGGTGTGTAGAAAATGCTCATTAAGTTGCTTCTGTTATTATTAGCTGCTCTTATTTGATCTAATTTTTCTGTTATTCTTGCCTTGTGGTCAAAAGCTAGAAGAAATAGATCTAAGATACTTTCTACATTGATTGGAATCAAGTCTCCCCTGTCCGTGAGAAGAATGAGGGATCTTGAGGGGATTTTAAATGCCAAGTTAGCTTTTTGGTACCCAAAGGTAAACTGAGTTTTCTCTCTTGTTCCAGGGCAACATGCAGGTTCTGGTGACTTACGGTGGCGATCCCATCCCTAAAAGCCCTTTCACTGTGGGTGTTGCTGCACCGCTGGATCTGAGCAAGATAAAACTCAATGGGCTGGAAAACAGTAAGTGCCTGAATGGAGAGCAGATGGGTTGTTGATGACCCCCCAACGTGGCTGCTGGTTAGATTTTCTTCAAAAGGTGAAATTTGCAGAGAAGCAAATTCTATGTTAAGAGACTTTGCAGTTGCACAGACTTTGGTTCGAATTAAGGCCGTGGTGTGAAGTAACTGTGACTGTGTCTGCCCCTTAGCCACACCGAGACTCAGCTTTCTCATTTGTACAGTGGGGGGTGGTCGGCGGGGAGAGGTTGAGAACACCCATGGGAATATTTTGAAAATTATATGAGCTAATGGTTCAGAGGCTGGCACGTAGTCAGCCCCCTGGCATTGCAGTAGGAAGTTTTCATTAAAAAGAGAATTTGGGCTATGTTGCTTTCTGATGAGTTTCTAACTGTGCCAGCTATCCTTGGCAACTGAATCCGCACTAAGGTTGCGAGTCAAGCATAAATGCCAAATCCCTGGCACTCAGAAGTCACTACCACCACACCTCTGCCCCATCCCAATGTTCCTTTAGCTTGTTAGGGATTTTACTAGTATAAGCTCATTTCGCTTATTTTCAATTTTCTGATTATTTTTTAGTAGGGAAAATTTCAAACAGAAAAGGAAAGAGAATAGTATAACATGAACACTGATGTACTTATCACTCAGCTTCAGATGTGCAACACATGCTCATAAAATGATTTTTTTATACAAGTAAAAATATATCCATTTTTCATCTAAAAAACATTACAGTTAAGGGATAATTCCACTTTAACCCTCACCTCTCCTTCTCCCTAGGGTTAACCAAAGTTTTCAATTCAGTTTCTGTTCTTCCAGATCTTCTCTCTGCATCTATACATATAGATGTGCCTGTGGAACACATTTGGCTGTATTTATTTTGCATTAAAGTTGCCCTGCTGTATAAACCTACTTCTTCGGCCTGCCTTCCAACAGTGCATCTCGGGAATCATTCACTCCTACATCTTTTCCGTCTGTGTTTACTGCTGAGTGGCTCCAGACTGGATGTACCTCAGGGCTCACATTCACCTGGTTTCAGGCTTACTGAGGCAGGGCTGAGTGCATACCCCCAGGACGGGGCCTCCTGTATTCACCTGTGAGGGTTTCTCCAGAGTACCACTAGCAGTGCCATTAGTGAGCATCTTCCTTCACTCGTGACCCAAGTGCACAAGTTGCAAGCAAGGCCAGCTCCCAGTTGCAGAGATCCAAAGTGAGAGCTCACTGTTGGCTTTTGTGGCTGGAGCAGCCAGCTCTGAGTGTGTAAACGTCCACTGCCCAACCCTGTCATGTGTCCCCTTGTCACTCCTTTCCCCAAGACACTGAGAGCTTTGACTCCAGAACAGGAAAAGCAGGGTGCCAATTAGGAAAGCCTCTTTTCCGGTGGGAAGTAGCGATCCGGGACCTCCTTGCCTGTGGTTCGGCAGTGTCCATCTTGCCAGGCCCTATGTTCCTTCAGAGTCAAGGTTCTCTGGGTTGTGGCAGGGGCCCTGTGTTCCCAGTGCTTTTGTTTTGGGTAAAGTCCTTTCCCTGTTCTTGTCTAATCTAACACTTGGGCTTCCTGCAGCCCTGCTTTGCAGAGACCTTTTGGAAACCATCACGGTACAGTCAGTTCTCAGCACTTGCTTCAATCGGCTCGCATTTGGCAGCTCTGTGACTTCTGCTTTCTTGAGGGGGAGGGGTGCCTATAAGATGGAGTTGGCTGCCAAGAATTAGTAAATAAAACATTGACTTATGAGGGTGTTTGGATATCAAGTTAACACCAAAAGTAAGTAAATAAGAGACGACAGTGTCAGATTACAACTTTCTGGTCAGCAAAGATTGTGGGGTCAGGTAAATTTCACTTTGAGTCCCAGCTTGGCAGGCTGCTGCATATGTCACCCTGGACAAGTTACTTAACCTCTCTGAGCATCAGTTTCCCCATCTGTGAAAGCCATTGGTTAATAATAAATACCCCATAGGATTGTGGTGAAAATTAAGACAATAACCTATTTGTGCTTGGCATATAAAATGCATTCAGTAAATGATAGCCGTTATTGCTGTCATCACTAATTGATTATTGTGCCGACACTTGTTGTTACTGAGGCTGAGATGCTGATGATACTTACTCAGCTTTGCTGCTTGTCCTCTGCAGCAGCTGTTGCTTACAGTGGAGGCTGAGATAAGTCCCCGTGTCCAAAGAACCATTGCTTCTGTGCTCTGGATTGTTCCTGCTGCTGAAAAGGGTCAGCTCTTCACCTCAGCTTGTGTTTCTTTTCCAGGGGTGGAAGTTGGGAAGGATCAGGAGTTCACCGTTGATACCAGGGGGGCAGGAGGCCAGGGGAAGCTGGACGTGACAATCCTCAGCCCCTCTCGGAAGGTCGTGCCATGCCTAGTGACACCTGTGACAGGCCGGGAGAACAGCACGGCCAAGTTCATCCCTCGGGAGGAGGGGCTGTATGCTGTAGACGTGACCTACGATGGACACCCTGTGCCCGGGAGCCCCTACACAGTGGAGGCCTCGCTGCCACCAGATCCCAGCAAGGTCAGCCTTTGCTTTTGTCCCAGAACTTGTCTCATTGCTGTCAAACATGACACCATAGTCCTTCTCTGGTTCTTCCTGGCAAAGACCTTCTGAAAATCGTTTTGTGATGAAAGTTAGCACAATTCACTGTGAAAGGTCCCCTGGGTAGGTGGGTCACAACCCTGCTCCTCCTCTTGCTCTCTGACTACAAGACTTTGGTGAGGGGCTCCCTGTCCCAGAGTCTTCTTTCTTCGCTTGTTAGCATAATCACAGTCCTCACTACAAAGCCAGCCTGTAAGGGGTAGGTGAGTTAGCAAACGTGGAGGCCTCTGCCCAGCACCCAGCTCACAGACGGAGCTCACCCTCCAGAAGCTAGAATCATGTAATATAAAAATACATTATTCTGGCCAGGCGCGGTGGCTCATGCCTGTAATCCCAGCACTTTGGGAGGCCGAGGCGGGCGGATCATGAGGTCAGGAGATCAAGACCATCCTGGCTACCACGGTGAAACCCCGTCTCCACTAAAAATACAAAAAATTAGCTGGGCATGGTGGCGGGCACCTGTAGTCCCAGCTACTCGGGAGGCTGAGGCAGGAGAATGGTGTGAACCTGGGAGGCGGAGCTTGCAGTGAGCTGAGATCACACCACTGCACTCCAGCCTGGGCGACAGAGCAAGACTCCGTCTCAAAAAAAAAAAAAAAAAAACCACAAAAAAAAACATTATTCTTGGCTGGGCGCAGCGGCTCACGCCTGTAATCACTGCACTTTGGGAGGCCAAGGTGGATGGATAACTTGAGGTCAGGAGTTTGAGACCAACCTGGCCAACATGGTGAAACCCCATCTCTACTAAAAATACAAAGATTAGCTGGGTGTGGTGACGCATGCCTGTAATCCCAGCTACTCGGGAGGCTGAGGTGGGATAATCGCTTGAACCTGGGAGGCAGAGGTTGCAGTGAGCTGAGATTGTGCCACTGCACTCCAGCCTGGGCAACAGAGTGAGATTCCGTCCCCTCCAAAAAAAAAAAAAAAAGTTCATCGTCATTTCTTCATAGTAACCCTGACTCAAGGGGTTTTGGAAGATTTCCAGTGGTCTCAATGGTGTGAATCCTATGAAGGTGTCTTATTTGTTGAATTAGAGGTGAAAGCCTCCTTCCTCACTCTTTTTTAGAAACAGTTTAGTTTTATTATTATGCAGAATTTGTTGAGCAAATTGCAACAGCCCAAGCCACAGCTAGCTCCACAAGAGCCCTTCCATGAGCCCTCAACCTGGGATCTCGTGTATCTTTGTTGGAATGGACATTAGGTTTCCAAGTCCAGGCCTGTGATTTAGAAGGGTCAGGTTGGGTAGGAGAGAGGAGAGTCTTGGAGGGGCTGCTCCATGGGGGTCACACCTCTCTCCTGTGGGTTTTCGCTGGTGATTGAGTTCTGAGGCATTTGCTGCATTGACTGTTGTAGCTTTAACTCGTGTGCACGTGTGACACATAAAGCCCCAAGAGAAGGGCTGCCTGGCTCAGATGCACTTCCATGCTGATTATATGCATGGGTGTTGAAAGCAGTGCTGGCTGAGCAGCGATCCCAGTGCAGTTTGACTTTATTCTTTGCTCAAATAGGTGAAGGCCCACGGTCCCGGCCTCGAAGGTGGTCTCGTGGGCAAGCCTGCCGAGTTCACCATCGATACCAAAGGAGCTGGTACTGGAGGTCTGGGCTTAACGGTGGAAGGTCCGTGCGAGGCCAAAATCGAGTGCTCCGACAATGGTGATGGGACCTGCTCCGTCTCTTACCTTCCCACAAAACCCGGGGAGTACTTCGTCAACATCCTCTTTGAAGAAGTCCACATACCTGGGTCTCCCTTCAAAGCTGACATTGAAATGCCCTTTGACCCCTCTAAAGTCGTGGCATCGGGGCCAGGTCTCGAGCACGGGAAGGTGGGTGAAGCTGGCCTCCTTAGCGTCGACTGCTCGGAAGCGGGACCGGGGGCCCTGGGCCTGGAAGCTGTCTCGGACTCGGGAACAAAAGCCGAAGTCAGTATTCAGAACAACAAAGATGGCACCTACGCGGTGACCTACGTGCCCCTGACGGCCGGCATGTACACGTTGACCATGAAGTATGGTGGCGAACTCGTGCCACACTTCCCCGCCCGGGTCAAGGTGGAGCCCGCCGTGGACACCAGCAGGATCAAAGTCTTTGGACCAGGAATAGAAGGGAAAGGTGGGTTTCATTTAAAAAAAAAAAAAAAAAAAAAAAGACAAGCTGGGACTTAAGGGCTACCTGAAACTTGGAGCTGCAAACTCAGCCACCTGCAGGAGCCAGGTGACATATAAGGCGGTGCTCACCTGTTCCCTCTGCCTCGGGGAGTAGTTGGGGGGCCCTGGTGAAGGTTAAGCACATTGCATTTCTGGGGACCGTGCTACTCAACCCCTGTTTTCTGTTTCTCCATGGGGAACAGGACCTAGCATTGTCAGCAGAATCTCTAGTTTTTTGGCAAAGGCAGAAATCTTGATTTTTCTCTGGAAACTCAACATACAACATGTTGGCATTTAATTGGAAAAAAGTTTAAAATGTAGTGTTGTCTAACACCTGCATGCCACACAGCAGGTTAGTCTTCAACCTTTAACCTGTCCTCGAGCCCGGTGTGAGCAGTCGTGTTGTCACTTAGCCGTGGCTACTCTAGAAAGGCCTTCTTTGGGATGGAGGGGGTTAATATTCTTGATTTGAGAGTTAGAAAAACCAGTTTTCCAGTTACTGAAATTGGACTTCATGTGTCCTGAAGTGCCAAGAACCTTGGTTCTGGGGTTTGCTTTTGGGTCTGGGGTACTGGTGGCAGTGTTAGCTATGTGCTTGCTCTGCAGATGTGTTCCGGGAAGCTACCACCGACTTTACAGTTGACTCTCGGCCGCTGACCCAGGTTGGGGGTGACCACATCAAGGCCCACATTGCCAACCCCTCAGGGGCCTCCACCGAGTGCTTTGTCACAGACAATGCGGATGGGACCTACCAGGTGGAATACACACCCTTTGAGAAAGGTGAGCCGCCCTGTCCTCGGACTGGACCCTCGTTCAGAGCTGCCCTTGGTCATTGCCTCCTGGTGGCTGGTACTGATGCCTGCCCCATGTGCTAGGCCTGTCTCAGCAGGGCCACGTGCAGAGTGACAGAGTGGAAGTCAGCGTCCGCTGCAGTCACCTGCCCACTCAGTGCCTGGCTTGCTGGCCTTGTGTAATAGGTGGGCTGGGTTTAGCCTCAGTCTCACCTCAGCAAGTTATGGGGTAATGTCATGATGTTGCTCATTTGTGCCATTTTTCTTTGCGTATGAATTTCTTTCTTCTTGAGTATTAGGAATTATAAAAAATTTCAATAAATAGAAAACCATAAAGAAAAAAAAGTGCCATGTATATCTCCACTACCTGGAGATCGGAAGCCTGCGATATTCTGATATAGATATTTTCAGTCTTCTTGTGGATGCCTGTTTCTTCTGTTTCACGGGTTTCGCTTTTTCTTTTGGTTAATGGCTGGATGGTGTTTTCCCGAATGAGAGTAGTCTGTTTAGGATGACTGACTTGAATATTTGCTTGGTTGGGGTGGAGTGGCTTATGTGACTGCAGATAGACGGTTTGTATTATTTAAAAGTCAGATCATACCTACATTACTGTGGGATTGTTTTGTTTTGTTTTGAAACAGGATGTCACTCTGTTGCCCAGGCTGGAGTGCAGTGGTGTGATCACGGCTCACTGCAGGCTCAACCTCCTGGGCTCAAATGATCCTCCTGCCTCAGCCCCCTGAGTAGCTGGAACTGCAGGTGTGCACCACCACACTCAGCTAATTTTTGTATTTTTTGTAGAGATGGGGTCTCGCCATGTTGCCCAGGCTGGTCTTGAACTCCTGGACTCAAGTGATCTACCCACCTCGGCCTCCCAAAGTGCTGGGATTATAGGTGTAAGCCACTGCCCCCAGCCACATTACTGTGTTTTTAACCCCCTTTTCCAAATAACATAGTATAGCATGCAGACTTCGATGCTAGATGAAACTCTGAAGTAGAGAATCATTTTTCACAAATAGGGGATTTGTATGCAAATATGCGTTTCTGTTTGTTGTTTTGAGCAGGTCTCCATGTAGTGGAGGTGACATATGATGACGTGCCTATCCCAAACAGTCCCTTCAAGGTGGCTGTCACTGAAGGCTGCCAGCCATCTAGGGTGCAAGCCCAAGGACCTGGATTGAAAGAGGCCTTTACCAACAAGCCCAATGTCTTCACCGTGGTTACCAGGTAGGCAAGGCCCTACATTTGGTGTCTTGAGTCTCACTTTTGTGGCTAGATTCTACCTATGTGTCATGGTTTCCTAACTTTTGATAAGATGAATTTTTATTTTTATAACATGTATTTCCTTCTGTAGAGACTTATGTTACATAGAAAGACCAAGCATACCTAAAAAACATACCAAAGCACTTGATAATGGTCATGAAACTATTTAGCAAACCAGGAGTCAATCAAGCTCTATAACTTGATAATGTAAAAATTTGTAGCCAACCTTGTAAGTATTTTTATTAAAGTTGGTTGCAAGGCATATGCCTGCGTTGTACTTGCAGTCCTAGCCAGTGCAATTAGATAAGAAAAATAGGCTGGGTGTGGCGGCTCACACCTGTAATCTCAGCACTTCAGGTGGCCGAGACGGGACAATTGCTTGAGGCCAGGAGTTTGAGACCAGCCTGGCCAACATGGCAAAACCCCATCCCTACAAGAAATATAAAAATTAGCTGGGCTTGGTAGTACACGCCTGTAATCCCAGCTACTACTTGGGAGGCTGAGGCATGTGAATTGCTTGAACCCAAGAGACATAGGTTGCAGTGAGCCGAGACCGCGCCACTGCACTCCAGCCTGGGCAATGGAGTGAGACTCTGTCTCAGGAAAAAGAAAAATAAATGAAGCATAAGCATTGAAAATGAGGGGTCAGAGTGTCTTTACTTACATTATACTAATGTGAAATTCCCTATGTGAGAGGTGTAGTAATTGAGTTGGGGTGGCTACGTGGAATAGTTTATAAAGGGAATTTGCATGAATTTTGGCAATAAGCAGACCAGCATAAATAAATGGTGCACATTTCACTTTCTTTTCCACTCTTTCCAGAGGCGCAGGAATTGGTGGGCTTGGCATAACTGTTGAGGGACCATCAGAGTCGAAGATAAATTGCAGAGACAACAAGGATGGCAGCTGCAGTGCTGAGTACATTCCTTTCGCACCGGGGGATTACGATGTTAATATCACATATGGAGGAGCCCACATCCCCGGTGAGCTATTCCTCAGAGAGGACCCCAGAGAATAATTGATTTTGCAGGAAAATGGGTTTGATTTTGGTTATCTCTCTGAGTGGGGAAAACAATCTGATATTTGTAATAGCTGCAAAAGGAGAGTTTTTCTTAGGGCTACATCTCCAAGATTATCTCAACTCCCAGTAGAACCGGTAACATGGCAAAAAGCATCGGCTTAGAATTTTGACTGGAAACAGTTGTGCGTGTGTTGGAGGACCTAGTTCTTGATTCAGGGGAAAGCTGGTTCTTTACAAAGTTGAAAATCACAGTGGCTCACACCTGTAATCCCCAAACTTTGGGAGGCCAAGGCATGCAGATTGCTTCAGGTCAGGAGTTTGAGACCAGCCCAGGCAACATGGGGAATCCCCATCTTTACAAGAAATACAAAACTTAGCTGAGTGTGATGGTGCGTGCCTGTAATCCTAGCTATGTGGGGTGGGGGCTGTGATGGGACGATGTCTGAGATGGGAGCCTGGGAGGTTGAGTGAGCTGAGATTGCGCCACTGCGCTCCAGCTTGGGTGACAGAGGAAGACCCTGTCTCAAAAAAAAAAAAAAAGAAAAAGAAAGAAAATTTCTACCTTATTTTGTGCTTGGCTCCTTATTCATGTGTCTTGGTTTCTTTTTTTTCACTGACAATACTAGTAGCTGATCAAGATATGCAGATTCAAATTCTTTCTTTTGTATTTAGTGATGTCATGTGTAATCACTGTGAAACACGGTTTCTCAACTCCGGCACTATGACACTTTGGGCTAGATGATTCTTTGTGGTGTGGGGCTGTCCTGTTCATTGTAGACTTTTGTCAGCATCCCTGCCCTGTACCTGCTAGATGCCCATAGCAGACTTCTCCTTCCCCATTCTTATTTGTGGCAACCAAAAATGTCTCCATATCTTGCCAGATGTCTTAAGGGACAAAATCACTTCAGCCTGAACCACTGCTGTAAAGATTCAAACAATAAATAAATATATGACTTAAGTAGTGAAAGACCCTCCTCCATTTGTTTTGGGGGGAGGACTCTCCATAGGTTCTAGTTATCTACTCAAATGATTGTCACCCCCACACATTTTATTTATTTATTTCAATAGCTTTGGGGTACAAGTCGTTTGTGGTTACATGGATGAATTCTATAGTGGTGAATTCTGAGACCACCTCCCCCGCCCCCATTTCTAAAAGGGCAGGCAAGTGTGTGGTGTGGACAGAAGACCGAGGGCTGGGGCTGTTCTGGGCCACTTATGCCTTGTCTTAGGTGTGGTGTGAAGAGGGCAAAGCCCCACCCCAGGACCCCAGGAGCAGAAAGAGCCTCAGCGGGGTCTTGTTCTTCTTTCTCTGGGTCACGCTGAGAGGGGAAGGGCAGGTTGAGGGGCCCACTGCTGGGTTCTGGGTTAACTCTCAGGCAGCTGGAGTGTCCACTGACCACACGCTTTCCTGATTCCATTCCTGCTTCCCCCTTACCACATGGAAATGTGCACACACACTCACACTCACTCTCTCTCACACTGATCAGAAAGTATTGACATTCAACTCAGACTGATTCTACTCAGATACTCATTTAAGCCTCAAGTCATTTAAAACAACATGTTTCTCCTCAAACTTGTGCTTGCGGCTCATTCAATATAGATTTAAAAAATTCCTATAATCACTAGTCTAGGGGACTTCAGCTGTGGGCAAGACAAAGTTCCTGCCCTCAGGGAGCTTACTGTCTAGGGCTTTTACAACTAAAACTTGTGATGACTGCTATGAAGAATGAGAATGGGGCTCGGTGACAGAATTCAGAGCTACGGGCTTGTTTTGGAGTTTTGTAACACTTGCGTTAGGAGAGAGTTGGGCACAGGAAACGGGTAGAAGGCTGCTCCCAGGAGGGGTGATGTGGCTCCGACCTGGCAGGCAACAGTGGAGATGAACATCTCCTGTGGCAATGAAACTTTTTGACTATGGGGAAAGGCTGGTGAGTGCCACCAGCTTCCGAATCCCCCTTACAGAAAGGGGTCAGAGTTTGTCCCCTGTGGCCGACCTGTGAGCTTAAAGCAAATGGTCGTCTTTGAGCATAACAACAGAAAGACACTCATTTGTGGTTTTCCCATCAGGTGTGGATGGTGCCTTTTTATGTTTCAGGCTCTCTGTTGCCTCCCAGAGAGCCAAATGCCGGCTTTTCCAGAACCCCAGAACTTTCCCAGGCAGAGATATTTAGTGAAGTGTTGGTTGGTTTTCTAAGCATCAGGCTTCTTAGCTAAGGCAACCTATGGGGGTACTGCCGGGAAACAGTCGGCTACCTGCCACCTTCTAATTTGCTTTCATGGTAATTCTGGGTGCTTAAATATTAGCCTAGTTTTTCCTGGCCTGGTTAAAAACCCGGAGTGGAGTTATTTTTAACAACGTGTCCTGTCTTACCCGTAATGGCATGTTGATTTCCTGTGGTAGGCCAGCTGTGGTTGGTTGGTGGCGGCTCCCTAGACCACTGGATTGACTGGGGTTCAGAGTGCATGAGGAAGAAGATCTGGCATGAGGGAATGGTGACATGTGTCTGGGCATGGAACAGGGGAGTGGCGGATAATGCTTGGGGTCTGCCATCTTGGACAGTTTATCTTACCCGGGTTTGTTGGTTTTTGGCTACTCTCATGCTGAGCTCAGACAACTTCTAGTGGAGGCTCTGACTTAAAGATTGGCCTCAGAGGTAGTCCCTTGCCATCAGCTGTTGACATTGAAATCCTCAACTGTCACTCTCTAAAGTAAAGCCCCCTTTTGTTCCTCTCACCCCAGTGTGGAGGCCTGTGCTTGTTTGCCAGGGCCAGCCATTTATTTCACGTAGCTAAAGACCTGGATGCCGTTGAAACCCAGCTGTTGTTAGAAAGCCAGGGACTCAATTCTTTGTGTGTCTTGGCTGTCTACCATCTCTAATTCTACAAAGTATAAATTCTCTGGGATGCAAAGCAGAGATCCCTCAGCTTTCACGGCAGTCATTAACTTTGCCAGATACCATGGGGAGCACCAGGACTCCCATGCGAGGCAGAGGTGCACGTAGCCCCTTGGTGATGGGCGTGGTAGCCTGAGGCATGCTGCCGTTCGCTGGATGGGGAGGTCCCCCTCCACAGTGGAGTCCATGAGTGTCCTTGGCCTAGCCCTTGTTTCTCTGTTTAGCACTTCTCTAGCAAATCACTATCTCCTCTCCTCGACTCCTCTGTGCTTCATCTTTAAAACTGACACCCTCAAGGAGTCAGAGGCCCTCAGGGTCCCCCGGGGGGTCAGCCATGTAGCAGGAGCTCAGCTTACACTCAGGAAGACGGCAAGGCTTCACCAGGTGGCCGAGTGACCGAGAAGGCTGAGTGTGGTCAGAAGGTGCCAGCTGCATTGGAGGGAGAGGAGTCTGGGGGACACACAGGAGCCATGTGTGGGGGACAGGGCTGGATGTGGGCTGCAGGGCCTGCCCATCTCTCTCCGTTCTGTTGTTCCACCACTTGGCTTCCTCCTTCAGTTGCTCCAGCAGCCTGTCTCCTCCCTCGCCTCTAGGCTCCTGCATGTGCTGAGGCCTCTCTACTTGAAGCACCTCTCTGTCTGCTCCCTCTTGTGCCGCAACTGAGATGTTACTGGAAAGCTTTCTCTGGTCTCCCGCAGACCAGGTTAATTGCCTCCTGAGTGCTCCACCTTCCACACCCCAAATATGTTATGTAGGATGTTAGAGTGACTTGCTTGCCTCATCCTTCTCCTGCAGTTGTGGGTTCCTGGGGGGTGTTAACCGCTCAGGATCCAGCACGTGGCACAACATCTGCACGTAGTAGGTGTTCTGTGAGAATGGTTGACAACAATGAGTAGGCACATGAGCAGTGCACACAGTGAGGCAGGGGGAGCTGACCGAGGCCTGCATGGCCGAGGTCCCGGGGGAGCAGCAGTGCTATTCTGGGTGTGCACAAGGTGGTCTCCAATTCCCAGCTTGTGCTCAGAATCCCACAACCTCTCTTCCAGGCAGCCCCTTCAGGGTTCCTGTGAAGGATGTTGTGGACCCCAGCAAGGTCAAGATTGCCGGCCCCGGGCTGGGCTCAGGCGTCCGAGCCCGTGTCCTGCAGTCCTTCACGGTGGACAGCAGCAAGGCTGGCCTGGCTCCGCTGGAAGTGAGGGTTCTGGGCCCACGAGGTAAGTGTGCACCCTGCCTTCCTGCAGACATTCATCTGCCCCAGGCAGGGGCAGCTGTAACCCAGAGCAGATGCTTTGCTTTTGAGTTTGCTCATGAGCTTAAAATTAAATTAAAAAAAATTATTGTTTCATTTCTAGTTAAACAGTAGAAATTCCTGCTTACAAGTAAGCAGGCTTGTTATTTCTCCAGTGATCTGTCCCCCCATTTAATAATATGGCTATCAATTTCTTAGAGGAAGCAGCAGTATTTGGGCTGTCATATGTAATATGGTGGCGACTGTTTCATTATGTGTTTCAGCATTTGTGAGGGGGTGGGTTGCTCTGGATGTGGCAGATGGTGGGGTTTGGAGGTGATAACTCATTGAGATATCTTGGTGTCCATGTGGTACATACCAGAACCTCTGGGAATGCCAGGCACATGATGCACGTGATACGTGGCTTTGTCATTGTCTTAGTTCCCCAGAGAGAGAGTGTGTCTTGGGGAATGGGCTTTGTTGGCAATTTGGCCTGCCTTGTTGGCAGCTTGGAACTTGGGTTTGGTAAGGCTAGCGGGCCATATAGGGACAAAGCCCTGAAGTGCATTGGAACTTGCCTTTTTTGATAAGTGACCATGTTTCCTCCTCCAGCACTTAAAATGTGCCTTTCTCCCACATAGAGGACAGTGTGCCTAATTTCTTACGTAATCTGGATTTTCCTCGCCAATGATATGTTCTTGGATTCACAGAAGTGGCAAATGGGGTTTTCCCTCTTTGAAGAGGAACCTTCTCCTTCATGGGGTTCAGCAGGAGGTTTTATCTTTTGAAGCTCAGGGCAGAAATGGTTTGGGGGAAATTAGGTCATGGGTCTGGGATCAGATTCTGTGAAGTTACTGAGCTTCAGGACCTGCATGTGTTTGTGTGCATGTATGTGTCCCTGTGTATGTGTGAATGAGAGAGGGAGAAAAAGAAGAAAGAGAAGCTTTACTTGGATATCTGCCTCTATTATGAAGGACTCTCAAGTAACAGCCTTTTGATTTTAGCTGACGACACGGATTCCCAGTCATGGCGCAGCCCCTTGAAAGCCCTTTCAGAGTTCTTTAAAGGTGACCCGAAGGGTGACTTTAATAAGACAGGTTTGCATTTTCCCATGGCTGCTGAATTATGTAACCCAAATGCTTCTTGCTGGCCTCACTTCTAAAATTGCTTACACCTGCCTCATCTGCTTTGCTTAATGAGCATGCCATCCTTTGATTAACCTACCCTGGAGTTGACCCATCCTTGACTGTCACGTTGGAAGCTGGGATCTGGACTCTGCAACCCAACGCGTGCCTTGATTATGTTTTAGCATAATCTCTAACATCTCCACAGGCTTCACCTTGAGGGTCCCCTTGCCCCATGAGATTGGCACCCTCACCTGCCCTGCACCTATGCCCCAGCATGCTGGTACCACAGTGTTCTTTGCTCAAAGGTGGCCACAAGTCTTGACTAGCCAGCCCATTGGTTAATTTTTGCTCTTCACAATTCTGGACTCTTTGGCAGTGTCTCAGCTGTAGAGTAAAATTGCCACATCCTAAGCGTGCCTAACCAGCTTGAAAGGTTATATTGTGTCTTCAACACACATCATCCACATACACCCTCCAGCAGCAAGCACAGGCAGTCTCCTTAATTATACTCTAGGGCAGACTGAGTGTATTTTAGCCAACAAAAAGCTAAAGGTGTCTCTCGGGGTCATTTCTGCAACCATGAATTGGGGATCCTGTGATTTTTTTCAGGCCTGTGATTATGGTTGCTGGCCTTTTTGTTACTCATCAGTGGAAACCAATAGCTCTTGGGGATGGATGTGGTCCTATTTCAGACTCAGCCAAGGGTGGAGTAAAGGTGAGGCCAGGCAGCTCCTTAAACCTCTCATCTCTGTCCTCAGGCTTGGTGGAGCCAGTGAACGTGGTGGACAATGGAGATGGCACACACACAGTAACCTACACCCCATCTCAGGAGGGACCTTACATGGTCTCAGTTAAATATGCTGATGAAGAGATTCCTCGCAGGTAAGCTCCATCCATCTGCCCATCCATTCCTCCATCAGTCTATCTGTCCACCCATCCATTCCTCCATCAGTCCATCCACCCATCCGTTCCTCCATCATTCCATCCATCCACTCATCCATTCCTCCATCAGTCCATCCATCCACCCATCCATTCCTCCATCAGTCCATCCATCCATCCATTCTTTCATCATTCCATCCATCCACCCATCCATTCCTCCATCAGTCCGTCTACCCATTCATAGAGGCAGCAAGTATTACATAGAACCTGCAACTTGTCACCACACACTAGCCTTGATATTTGTGGCTCCCGCTCTCTCACTCCCCCAGTTCCTTTCAGACATCTTTAGTTTAAAGGTGAGCTGAAATTAAGAAGTTGGAAATCCTAACCACGTGTGGTGGGATTCGCCTGTAATCCCAGCTACTTGGGAGACTGAGATGAGAGGATCACTTGAGCCCAAGAGTTTGAGGCCAGCCTGGGCAACATAGACCCTCCCCTGACATCTCTGGAAAAAAAAAAAAAAAAAAAAAAAAAAAAGCAATAGTAGTAGACAATCATTGATGAAATAAATAATTTATTAGTTTATTAGAGGCTTCCTTTTGGTGTTTTGGTGAACCTGCAAGTAGTTTTCTGATTGGGACAGGACAAAGGTCTTTACTTCAGGGTTTGCTTGATAAAAGCATTTCCAAAAGGTTTTACATAGAAACCTTGTTCCTTGTTGATATTAATACAAAAAAAAATGTTACATAAGCTCTTCACCTCTTGGAACAATCTCTAAGGGTTTTCTTTTCTTTTTTTAAAAAATCATGCCCCTTAAGATGAAAAACTTTCACCCATATCCCCTAACACATATTTTATATAGAGATAAGCATATTAGCTCTATGTAGAAATATGTAATTTATAAATTACATTTGTATATTGCTTTACTAATATACCATGTACCATATGAAGCATACTATAGAATAATTATAGATACAGAATATAGAATAAGATGAGATATAAATATTAAAACTGAAGTTCCAGTATTCTCTTTCCATTTGGTGACCATGATCTTAGCATAACAAAAGTGGGGTAAATGTGTTTAACCCTGTGTTTCCCAAACTAATTTGTGAACTCTTCCTCCCCAAACTACTTGTATCCCTTGGAACAGAGGTCCCCAACCCTTGGAGCGTGGACTGGTGTGGGTGCACGGCATGTTAGGAATTGGGCCGCACGGTGGTGGGTGAGCCATCATTACTGCCTGAGCCCTGCCTCCTGTCAGATCAGCAGCTGCATTAGATTCTCATAGGAGTGCGAACCCTATTGTGAACTGCACATGAGAAGGATCTAGATTGCACACTCCTTGTGAGAATCTAACTAGTGCCTGATGATCTGAGGTGGAACAGTTTTATCCTGAAAGCATTCCCCCACCAGGCCCCCTGGTCTTCTACGAAACCAGTCCCTAGTGCCAAAAAGGTTGGGGACCGCTGCCTTGGAACACACTCAGGACAAAACCAGTCTGTCATATGATGGTTACTACCTCATAGTTGTAAATTTCTGCTAGACTTAGGCACCTTGACTAACTCACTGTCTTATCTGCTGTAGAAATCCCCTTTTCCATCCCACTCTTATGTGTAAGAAAAGTCAGATGCAGCTGGGTTGACATGTATCTTTATTGACTAGGGTGTGTGTGTGTGTGTCTATCAAGTCCCTTCAAGGTCAAGGTCCTTCCCACATATGATGCCAGCAAAGTGACTGCCAGTGGCCCCGGCCTTAGTTCCTATGGTGTGCCTGCCAGTCTACCTGTGGACTTTGCAATTGATGCCCGAGATGCCGGGGAAGGCCTGCTTGCTGTTCAAATAACGGTAACTTGGAGTTATTTTCTGAGCCAAACCTTAATCCTAAGACTTAATTTCTGGGCCAGATTTAAGAACAAGGGTTTCAATAACCGATTTCTGACTCAATGCAAGTTGTTTGTTAGATTTTCCCACCAAAGAGTCAGTAAATGTGCAGAAGCAGAAGCAGCTCACCTGAGAGATTTGAGGGTGTAGCTCCAAGAACCACTTTTTGGTGAATTTTCATGTTTTTTTACTACATCTATTCCTATGTTTTTATTTTTATTTTTTTTAAAGATGGGGTTTCACCATGTTGCCCAATCTGGTCTTGAACTCTCTTGGGTTCAAGCAGTCTGCCTGCCTCAACCTCCCAAAGTGCTGGGATTGCAGACATGAGACACTGTGCCCGTCCCCTATGTTTTTATTTTTAAATGTTTTAAATTACTCTTTGGTTCATTTAAGACTAAGTTATGCTGCATATCACAGTAAACCTTAAAATAAGAGTGGCTGAAATAAATGAGATTATTCTCTCTTGTTAAGGAACCCCAGGCTAAGCCACCTGGGTGCCCTGCAGCTCACCAAGGAAGTCAGCTCCATCTCTCTGCTCCTCTACCTAGCATGTGGCTTCTGTCCTTAAGGTCTCCTCCTGGACCATAAGGCTGCCAGTGCTCTGGCCATCACATCCACATGGCAGGCCAGAAGGAGGAAGAAAGAAGGGAAAAAGGGGTCCTCCCAGCTCAGTGGGCTCTCTTAAGCAGCCCTGCCAAAAGTCCATCATAGACTTCCATTCCCTTCTGATTTGTTGGGGGTTGGTCACAATTCACATTACCTAGTGGCAAGGATGCTAGGAAGTGGATTCCCATCTTCTGGGAGCGGTGCACCTAGCTAAGAGTTATGGTCCTGTTAATAAAGAGAAAAGGGAGACTGGATGTGGTGGTGTGTGAGCAGAAGCCTCTGCCTCCTCCCCTCCCTACATTTCAGAGGATTTCGAGCTAAAACACTCTTGGTTCACCTGACAACAAAATTACTAAAAATTGGCCATGTCTGTCATGGTGTTAAAGGGATCTGTGACCCTCTACTCTCCCTACCAAAAAACAAAACAAAACTAGATTGTATTAAGCCATCAATTCTGTCTGTTTCCACTAGAGGCACTAATTGGAAAATATGTCAGGGTTTTCCATGAATGTTTTCTACATCTTGACAACATCCTAAATAGCATTTCTCTATGATCCACAGGACCAAGAAGGAAAACCCAAAAGAGCCATTGTCCATGACAATAAAGATGGCACGTATGCTGTCACCTACATCCCCGACAAGACTGGGCGCTATATGATTGGAGTCACCTACGGGGGTGACGACATCCCACTTTCTCCTTATCGCATCCGAGCCACACAGACGGGTGATGCCAGCAAGTGCCTGGCCACGGGTGAGTACAGGGCATCTCAAGGTCAGGGGCACAGGCTTTGCAATCAGAAAGCCGGGCCGTAGCCCTTCTCTGTGACTTACAAGCTACATGATCTGGGCACGTTGCTCAACCTCACTGAACTTCAGTTTGACATAGATTGAAGCTCTTTGTTTTTATTTGGAGAACATTTAGATCCAAGAAGCTCTTCTAAGGAACAGAGACTGTTTTACAGGGTTACTGCAAAGATTAGATGAGGTCAGGCATGAAAAATGCTTAGCACAGTGCTAGGTACATGATAACTATTATTATATGCTTTTGAAATGTTGAGAACCCAACTCTGATGGCGGCTCCCATGAAAAGCAGCACATTTCTGCCTTTTATGAGTAGATAGTTACTCAGGATTCATTCAAGAGCATTTCAGGTCAGCATTAGAGAAACACATTTAAGGATCTAGGTTTTTTTCATCATGCATATGTAAACCTCTCAGGAATTCTCCATGAATATTTGAGCATCACAGTTTCTTTGGTTTCTTTCTTTTTTTTTCCCCTCCTTTTTCCTTCAGTTTCTAAGACACAACTATTGACTGTCACAGGCCATTCTTTTTTTTTTTTTTTTTTTTTTTGAGATGGAGTCTTGCTCTGTTGCCCAGGCTGGAGTGCAGTGACGCAATCTCAGCTCACTGCAGCCTCAGCCTCCTGAGTAGCTGGGACCACAGGTGCCCACGACCATGCCCGGCTAAGTTTTGTATTTTTAGTGGATTCAGGGTTTCACCATAATTGGCCAGGCTGGTCTCGAACTCCTGGCCTCAAGTGATCTGCCCTCCTCAGCCTCCCAAAGTGCTGGGATTACAGGTGTGAGCACCACGCCTGGCCGGCCTTTCAGTTTTTAAGAACAGCCCTTGGGCAGCTCAGTGCTGCTGCTCAAGCAGATTTTAAAACACGAATCCCCATCTCTAAAATGAGACAGATTTACTTCTTTTTAAATAAGAAGACTAAACACAGGACCACCCTTGATGTGTTCTGTTTCTCTCTTAGCCCATCTTTTTTTGAATGGAGAAAATCTGGGCTTTCACGGCAAGGTTGTGAATTGCTCAGCGTGGCCCTTTTTGGCTCACCCATGGCAAAAAATGGAAAAATTTTGGAATGCAGGCCAATCCACCACCTCCTAGGTCTATGCAGCTGCCAGCGACAACCAGATCATCTTTACTAATTGATGGCATGTTAACGTTGGATGGGGACTTCCCCCTTGCCTTGCAGGCCCTATTTCCTCCCCCAGCTTGGGCAGAAGCCTGAGCTGAATACTTGCCTTTTGGCCACACCTCTGGGTCTGTCATTCAGGGTCTTCCACAGATTGACTCCAGTCTTCTCTTCCACTCCTCCCTGAACAAACTGTTCTTGCCACCCTCCCTATTACTCCTACGCACTTGGCTCATATCTACCAATGTGCTTTTAGTTCATGCTTTTCTGCATTTCCTGATATGTGGATCCTGTGTAAAGGGGCGCCAGAAATCAAGAGAGAGACTGGTCACTGGGGAGAGGTTGCAAGTCTCCCTTAGCTAACAGCACCCATCCTTCAGGGTTCAGCCATGTTTCCTTTCTTTAGGAAGCCCTTTGTCAGTGCGGCAACCCTGGGATATAAATTCTTAGAACCTTTGCCTAGATATGCTGCCAGACACTTCTCTGAGGAACAGTTTGTTATTTTTTCTGTAACTTAGTTCCTCTTCAGCATTTCCACTGCAGTTGGAAATGTCGTTCTTGGTGCCTGGCCCTGTTAACATCTTGAGAGCAGGGACTGTGTCTTGCCCACCTTTATGTGTACCTGGCACTTAAGAAAATGCCCAATATGTTTGCTATTGAAAGTCAACCTTCATTGCCATACCTTTAAATGCTGGCAAACCCAGGCTAACCTTTAGTCAACACTCAGAGCTTACAGATGCTCCTTATTTAGTAAGTAATTGATGACGTAACCCTTTGAGCAACACCTGATCAGGGGATCTTTGGGATATCCCTCTGAATGGCAGCAGTTGGAGGCCTAACATTTACAGGCACAGACAACATGGATGGGTATGATTTGTTCTTGGGCCTCCAGGATGTGTGTCCATACTTCCATTCTCTTCCCCTGAACTCTTCTCCAGGTCCTGGAATCGCCTCCACTGTGAAAACTGGCGAAGAAGTAGGCTTTGTGGTTGATGCCAAGACTGCCGGGAAGGGTAAAGTGACCTGCACGGTTCTGACCCCAGATGGCACTGAGGCCGAGGCCGATGTCATTGAGAATGAAGATGGAACCTATGACATCTTCTACACAGCTGCCAAGCCGGGCACATATGTGATCTATGTGCGCTTCGGTGGTGTTGATATTCCTAACAGCCCCTTCACTGTCATGGTAAGGAAAATTCCTTCTCCCGAGCATGCTGTTATTGGTGGAAACTGTAACAGCTGCCGTTTGTTGAACCCTGACTAGGATATCCTCTTCACCTTTTTTTTCCTTTGGAAAAAAATTTGTTAAGCAGTCATGACCTTGTAGAGTCCCAGAGTAATCTCTAGAAACTCAGAGACCCTTTGGCTGTAAGGGTTTTTAGGGAATCTTACTGGCCACCAAGGTGTCTATCATAATAAGGGACTTGGGCAATATCCTGGCCTAAGCCCAGGCATTTTGAAAGATAACTCCTCAGAAAAACACACCTTTATGAAAATGTTTCTACATAAAACATGACAGGTTTTTAACCGGCCAGCTCTTCCTTCTTCCATCTTCATGGCCATTCTCCATGGCTGGAGGAGAGAGCTTCCTGATGCTGTTTTGTTTGGAGACTTGACTCTGAAATCCCAGGACTCAAAGTACCTCCACTTGTGTTTTGGAAAGATTCACACTTTATGTATGAGGGGGAAATACCTCGTCTTTTGCAGCTAGGAACATCTGGAATAAAAGGAGGAAACCATTATGCAAACACCTGGGTTAGTGAATGACCAAGGTCTTTCATTTTCAGTTGTGAGTTACTTATAGATCTTCCTCTGTTTATTTATTTTTATTATTACATAATAGATCTTCTTCTGAATATTCTTCAACCAGGAAAAGGGTTAGAAACCTTGGGGACATTACCTCATTGAACCCTCAAAACCAAGCATCGTTGGCTTTTTTACAAATGAAGCATGCTTGGTCTAGACAGACACCAAATACCATGCTGTCATCCTCACTGGTGTCCTTTGATACTGTGGTCAGCAGCCGCACTTGACCACAAGGTTTATAGGCCCTTAATGACCTGGCCTTGTGCACAGCCGACAAAGCACCTTCTAATTATTTCATTTTGTGCAGCAATGGAGAGGTGCATGAAGACTCCATTCCAAACTCCAAAGCTCAGGGACTTTCTTCCGAACAGTCTATACTCTGTTGTAGTATTATTCCCTTCCATCGACGTCTGTTTATCTGTAAACAGCATGCCAGAGATCTGGAGGCTCTTTTATGTCTCAAGTATGTAAATGTAAACACTTGTCAACTTTTGACATTGTTCATTTAAGAGTGTTTTTCTCCTGTAGGAAGAAAGAAATACAGCTGGGAAGTTGATGTCCTTATTCACAGAGAAGGGTACCAGTTGTAGTTTTCAGAATCTGTTTTTAGCCCATAGTGGGTTTTATCTGGTTGGTTAGAATTAGGTGGAAGGAGGGAAGAGCAGCCAAGCACTGAGCAGTGGTCATGGGCCTGCTGGTGCAATGATTTGGGGGTAAGAGAAGACCATATTGGGAAGGTCTACGTGAGAAAGTCAGAGTAAAAAAATTGAGGACCCTTTTTGCAGAAGTGGAGGCTTCCAAACTCAGTAATAAGTGTCTTCTAGCCCCTGAATACACACAAAGCAAGAATACTTTGTGTTTACCCACTGCCCCCTGACCACTGCTGAAGGCAGAAAGGGACGATCACCTACAGTACCTGGTTTGGGTCTTTATTCTCTCATTCCAGGGAGAGAACCTTAACTAGATGGACTGACTGACTGTTCATTGGCTTTGGTTGGGTAGATTCCCTGCTTCCCTCTATAAGTTTGACGCCAAAAAAGGACACCGACCAGCACTGCAGTCATAGCAAATGTCTCAAGGAGACCCACAGGGTGGTTTCTTCAAATACACTACTCACACACAGCACATGGAGTCATGGACAAACAGCTTAACTGCCCATTGCCTTTGAGAAGTCCTGGACCAAAGGCCATAGCTCAGCCATTGAAAGATCTTCCTTCTGACTGATATGTCCCTGCATAGCTCCAACCTGTGCAGGCAGAGGATAGGGCTGTTCCAAATGTCGCTCACAGAGCTGCCTTTGCCTTTCTGCAGATCCCAAGATACACACAAAGCAGTTAACATGGGTAAATAGGCCTTCCTCTGTAGGAGAGGGCTTCTGATTCTTATTCTTTCTTATGGCGGAAGAGGGTGTTGAGAGGGGTTCCCTTGCTGTTGGTTCTGTTGAATCAGGAGCATTAAATCTTTTTTGTTTTTTTTTGAGACAGAATCTCACTCTGTCACCCAGGCTGGAGTACAGTGGTGCAATCTCAGCTCTCTGCAACCTCCACCTCCTGGGTTTAAGCGATTCTCCTGCCTCAGCCTCCCGAGTAGCTGGGATTATAGGCACCTGCCACCACGCCTGGCTATTTTTTGTATATTTAGTAGAGATGGGGTTTCACCATGTTGGCCAGGCTGGTAACTCCTGACCTCCAGTGATCCACCTGCCTTGGCCTCCCAAAGTGCTGGGATTACCGGCATGAGCCACTGCGCCCAGCCATGAGCATTAAAGCTAAGATTTGTTGAAAATGAATTTATAAAAAACTTTAGAAACATTAACTGCTGAGCATGGTGGCTCATGCCTGAAATCTCAGCAGTTTGGGAGGCCAAGGTGAGAGGGTTGCTGGATCCCAGGAGTTTAAGACCAGCCTGGGCAATACAGTGAGACCCCATCTCTACCAAAAAAAAAAAATAATAATTAGCCTGGTGTGGTGGTGCACGCCTCTAGTCCCAACTGCTCAGGAGGCTGAGGTGGGAGGATCACCTGGGCCCAGAAGGTTGAGGCTGTAGTAAGCTGAGATTGCGCCACTGCACTCCAGCCTGGATGACAGAGCAAAACTCTGCCTCAAAAAAAATTAAATAATTAACCACAGTAGACATTTATCAAGTAAAAAAAGAACTTTTTCCTGATTCTGTGCTGCAGAGATGCCTTGTGTTAGTTTTTACCTACTTACACTTCACACACCTCACTTTCATGCCTGGGGTCACACCGTACATACTGCTTTCGCACCTTGCTTCCTTCCCTCAATGTGTCATAGGTACCCTTACATATTGATTCATTGGACCTGACTGCCATGTTCCACTGGACAGACTCACCAGAATTTATTTGACCAAATCCCTTCCAGATGGACATTGGGTTGCTTTAGTTTTGCACGACCACAGACAGCACCAGTCAAGGTCCTTACACACATCAATTAACTATGGAGTCTCCCGCCAGCTTAGGTCTGCGTGCTACAAGTGGGGTTGTGGGCTCACAGGGCATGCGCATCTGACAGTTGAAGAGAGGACACCAACTGCCTTCCAAAAGGGCAGTAAGAAAGTGTCCTTCGCTAGAGTGAGTGGCTCACTGCAGTTCAAGATGGAGCAGTGGGGGAAGCAGCTCTGTGGTGGTAGTCTACTGAGTGTATCCTTCCAGTATGGTTCCCAACTAATCTCCATTTGCCACTGACCAGGCCACAGATGGGGAAGTCACAGCCGTGGAGGAGGCACCGGTAAATGCATGTCCCCCTGGATTCAGGCCCTGGGTACAATTTTGGTTTTTTCCTTTTTGTGTTTCTGTGTTTACTCAGCCTTCATTTCAGAAAATCTGCCATCTGCTTCTGGGATTGCTTAAGCCCTGTGGGTGTCCTGGTCATTGGTGTGCCCCTCACTGATCAGCCCATCACGATGATCCCTGCTTTTTCTGTAATAAGATCACCTTTGCGTCACCATCCGTGCTCCACGAATCGCCAGCCGTCGTGTCTGTGATCACGCTCGGTGCAGTTTGTCTCTGTGTTTAAAGAGAAAGACAGACAGCTGTCTGCAGCCCTCCTGCTGCCTCTCAAAGCCGCCACTTGCACATTCAGTTTCTGTTCAGGGGGAAAGCCACCCACTGCTACTCTCTGCCACTTAAAATGCACCTTCTTTTCCAGGCCACAAGCAACTAAACCTTTCCAGATGGAGCCTCTTGGGACTCATAGACATTGCTGTCTCTCACTTTTCCACTTTCCCGTGGGTGCTGCTGGGAATTTTACAAACAGACTCCCGAGTGATTGCTAACAGTTGGTCAGCATGACCTCTCCAGTCCCTCAGGTTCTACCCTGGGTCTGGAGCCACTTAGACAAAGCCCATACCACAATGGGCAGCCGCATTCCCAAATCCCGGCCTCACTGGCTTGTAGAATTCCCAGCAGCTCTAACCCCTGTAGCTTCACCAGCTCCCGCTGTTGTCTGCTTTACCCAGTGACCACTGCCTTCTGTTTTTAGGTGACCGAAGAGGCCTATGTCCCAGTGAGTGACATGAACGGCCTGGGATTTAAGCCTTTTGACCTGGTCATTCCGTTTGCTGTCAGGAAAGGAGAAATCACTGGTAAGCACTTGCCATAAAGGCCGTCTCATTCTCACTTGCTCTCACGAGCTTCCCAGAATGGTGCTGGGGAGGTGTGTCCACTGTCCCCCAGACCCAGGCTCCTTAACCCAGGGTCACGAGTTCTTGGTCTCCGGTGTTGGGCCGTGGGCTCCTGAAACTACAGAATATGCCACGTGTGTGTTTCTCTGAAGAAGTGGCTCACTGACAACTTGCATTACTTTCTTGAGCAGTCCCATGATTCTCTCTAGGTTAAAAACTGCTGTGTTTAGATACCTCATGACTGTCGGGTTCTTGTTTGCCCCTTTTTCCTGCCTTCTCTTATTTGACTTTTCCAGATGTGACTTTGACACTGAGTCTGTCATACAGGAGTTCCTTTCTCCCCTCAGCCTCTTTTCAATGGCCCACTTCTCTTTGGTTTGATGCTCTATGTATCCAGCTGGTTTCATGGTGTTCTCAAGTCCTTTCTGAGCTTGATTTTGCCAGTTGTAGAAAACTCTTTAAGAGTTGTCTGCTATATTTTGTGGAAGCCAAATGGAACTGGAAAAAAAAAAAAGAAAAGAGCAAATGGTCTCTCCCATTGTGGGACTTGAATGTTTTAGGCAGCAACGAATGTTCTTGGGTCTGGAAACCTTTATTTTGAATACATCTGTGCCTTGGGCTCTGCTTCTCTGGGGAAGGTTGCTGGTGGGCTTCATTGCCCCGTCTCTCTGTGCTCCATAGGAGAGGTCCACATGCCTTCTGGGAAGACAGCCACACCTGAGATTGTGGACAACAAGGACGGCACGGTCACTGTTAGATATGCCCCCACTGAGGTCGGGCTCCATGAGATGCACATCAAATACATGGGCAGCCACATCCCTGGTAAGCTGAGTCAGCAGGCCCAGCAGGGCTCCACCATTCAGGGGCATCCGGGCAGCCTGCAGACACTCCTCAGCCGCTTTGCAGGGAGCAGCTCTCGGCAGCAGGCTGGAGAATGCAGCGTTGGTACCCCTGTGAAACCAAACAGTCTGGGACCCTAGCAGGTCCAGCTGATTTCTGGAAGGGATGATGTAGCTCAGTGTCTTGGGTCACAGTGCAGGCCTTTGGGTCTGTGGTTGTTTATCTTTGTCACTACGCTGAGTGTGGCCAGAGGTCAAGCTGGGAGAAAAATGGGAGGCATGGTGAGGGACTTTCCAGCCTGGCCTGCAGAGCCCTGTGTGGGCTGGAGGCTTGGGGCCAGGTCAGAGGTGGAAGAAGAGGACCAGCAGCCCTGGAAGAAGAGGACCAGCAGCCCTCTACAAGGGAAGCCAGCCCAGGTTTCATGGGTCACCAACCAGCACAGTGTCACCAGTTCATTCTTTCTTTTTGTAGTTGTATTTGTTTTTTAATTTAGTATTTTGAATAGGTAACACATTCTCATGGTTCAAAAATAAAAATGATACGAAGAAAGTTTTCCTTCCTACCCCTCTCCTTGAACTAGACTATCATAAATTTTTTTATGTTCGATTTCAGAGTTTCAGGGTTTTATTTTTTATTTTTTTGTGGAGATAGGGTCTCACTGTGTTGCACAGATTGGTCTCAAACTCCTGTCCTCAAGCAGACCTCCCGCCTTTGTCTCCTAAAGTGTTGGGATAACAGGCATGAGCCGCCACGCCTGGCCAATTTCAGAGTATTTTTAAGACTCTCCATGCAAACGGAAATACAGATATATAAGAGAGTGTCTTCCCAGCCTTCCCTCATGTGGACGAACCATTACATATTTGACCATTTCCCTATTGGAGGGCATTTTGGTTCTTCCTGCCCTCGCTGTCCCCAGTGTTGCTGCGCAAATCGACTTTTCCCCTAGTCACCTCACACTCACAAAGATGTATCTGTGAGATTTAGTTACCAGAGGAGGCAATGCTAGGGCCCCAGTGCAGGCATCTATGATTTTGACAGATCTTGCCAAATTGCCCTTCAGAGGGGCTGTTGCAGTTCACACGCCCTCTGGCCATGGAGAAGAGCACCTTCTTTTCCACAAAATTTGCCAGTAGAATATGGTATCAAATTTTTGGAGCTTTGCCAGTCTGATGGTTGGAAAGAAACAGAATCTCAGCGTTGCTTTATTTGTATTTCTCTTGTGAATGAGACCACACAACTTTCCCTATGTCTATTTGTATTTCTTTTTCTGTGAACTGAACATTTGGATCCACGGCCTGTTTTTCTATTTGGTTATTGGCCTTTGTCATATAGTTTCTAAGAGCAATGTAAACATTGGAGAGATTAGCCCTTTGTGGTAGGAGTTGCAAATGTTTCTCTGAGATTGGCATTTACTTTAGTTGTCTGTATGTAATATTGGTTTAAAGCAAAAATGTATTATCTGCTTCTATTTAAATATTCTAAAGCGGCAGATGGAGAGAGAGGAAAAAATGTCTTTCTCACATCTGCCATCCACTTCCACTGCTGGTGTGAGTTGTGTATCTTTTCAGATGTTTCTCTCTGTATCTACAAACATACATATAATTTTATTCTATTTTGTTTTTAAAGGAATAGCATAATGGTATTCATAGTTTATAGCAACTTGCTTTTTTTCTTTTTAATGCATCATATTATGGATAATTTCTCAAGTCAGTAAACATGGGTCTTCCTCACTCTTTTTAATGGCCCATGAGTAGATCAGCATTTATTTAACCGGTCCCCTGTTGTGAACACTTAGGTCTTTTCCTGATGTGCACCCGAACACTGCAGAAATGAAAGTGCTTACATAGGGCTAGGAGTCGGGGTGGGCAGAGAAGACCACTGTGGGGTTGATTCCTTACAGGTTGAATGGCATGGGCAAATGGCCTTCCAAAAGCCCTTTCCACTTACCTTCCCTCTGGCCATGGGTCCTTTCACCACCCAGTGCAAAAGTTTCTTCCTTATTTGTCAGGTTGGGCTGGTACCTTACCTTAGCCCCCTTCCTCATCTGGAGCAGCTTCCAGGATTGTTTTTCTTATGTTGTGATTGAAGGAATAATACTGCGTAGACCCTCTCTGATGTCCTAGGATGGCGGGGGATGGGAGGTGCATGTGCATCTCCTTCTGTCTCTTCATGCCTCTGCTTAGGAGGCGCCAGACCTGTAGAGAGGTGGACGTCAAGATGCCAGTTGTCCAGGGTCTTCGTTCACCCCTTAATGAGCACCAATTTTGTTTGTGTCCTTCGTAAACCCAGAGAGCCCACTCCAGTTCTACGTGAACTACCCCAACAGTGGAAGTGTTTCTGCATACGGTCCAGGCCTCGTGTATGGAGTGGCCAACAAAACTGCCACCTTCACCATCGTCACAGAGGATGCAGGAGAAGGTACTGTGTGGTTTACGTGTTTATACGCCTCCAGCTGTCCATTTGGAGGGTGAAGTGGACACGGTTCCAGGGTGGCTTTTAAAAGTGAGACAATCGAATGGTAGTATTTGTCTTGTCTTTTCTCTCGTGTAAATCTGTTTCTTCTTTAGAGCCGCTTCGTCTTCTACCCAGACAGACATTTTTGAAGTCCTTTGTGTTCTAACTGAAATCAGATTCATGCTATGAAATACTTTATGTGACTTGTCTGGAATTTAAGTGTGTTTTGGTTGGTGATGTTTTTGTTCTTGTTGCACATGTATCCACAAGACCACATGACTTACTGAGTGGCTCTTTTTGATAAAGCTGTGTGCCCATTCCCGTGGTATTCATGGATAATCCCAAATCTGTGGTTCTAATGGGATTTCCGTGATGGCAGCCAGTGCCTGATGGGCAGGGACAATCCACCTCTGCCCTCCACCACCCACCGTCTCCTATGTGTAATTGATGTACACGGCTCCTTCCTTTTCTCATCCCATGCATCCTGAGAGTAGAGAGAGCTCCAGGGTTACTTGCAGTGAAGAACTCAGATGTTTGGGGTTTCTTCTCAGTGGGTGTTTTTACTGCGTGGACTGCTTCATTCTGACAGATGTCCCTTTGCCCACAGCTCACGTGGAGTGCGTCAATCCATTGTCCCCAGCATCAGGGCTGCCCTGGATGAGTTGTTAAAAGGAAACTCTTAAAACAAGGCAACTCTCTCCCTAACACCCCTGCATCCCTGTTCCCACTTGTAGGTGGTCTGGACTTGGCTATTGAGGGCCCCTCAAAAGCAGAAATCAGCTGCATTGACAATAAAGATGGGACATGCACAGTGACCTACCTGCCGACTCTGCCAGGCGACTACAGCATTCTGGTCAAGTACAATGACAAGCACATCCCTGGCAGCCCCTTCACAGCCAAGATCACAGGTAGGGTTGTCTGGCTTCTGGGGTCTTCCTCGTGGGAAGTATGGCTGCCTCTGACTGCCACCCTCCTTATCAGACCCCTGGCAGCAGGCTAGACGTCTCTTTGAGTTTAGGTTTCACAGAGACTTGTTGAGGAGGAGCAGGGGATGGAATGCAATTTTGGATTAGCTAAATCCTTCTCTTGCTGATAATCCAGGAAAATGCGAGAGCTAGTATTTGGAGCACACTTTTATTGTGCCAGTGTGACTCTAGGGTGCAAAGAGAAAGCTCTCAGATGGAGTGTTCGAATCATACTTACTGCAATAGTGCATGAAGTGCATGAGCTTAGACATGCCCTTCAGCGTCACTACTAGGTAAATTTTCTGCTATCCCTTTTACAGATGGGAAAACTGAGGCTTGGCAAGGTAGTGGTGTAGCCAAGTTCACATATAGGTAAACAGATCCAGGTTATCAAATTCCAAAGCCCATGCTCCTCACCTTGCTGTGTTCAGGTTATGCTTTCAGTGGGTTATAAGGAAGATGCACAAGGCAGATCCTGTTTCCCCACCGTATTTAGACCTGTCTGTGAAGCAGCCAGTAGTACTGTGTGGAATGTGGTCATTGTTTACCTAGAAATGCCCACAGCCATGCCAGGCAGGTATGAGGTGCCTTCAACTAACAAAAATTCCTATATTTTATTTTATTTTTGAGACAGAGTCTCACTCTATCACCCAGGCTGGAGTTTTAGTGGCATGATCTCGGCTCACTGTGACCTCTACCTCCTGGGTTCAAGCGATTCTCCTGCCTCAGCCTCCTGAATAGCTGGGATTACAGCACCCACCACCACACCCAGCTTATTTTTGTATTTTTAATAGAGATGAAGTTTCACCATGTTGGACAGGCTGGTCTTGAACTCCTGACCTCAAGTGATTCGTCTGCCTCAGCCTCTCAAAGTGTTGGGATTAGGCACCTGGCCCAAAGATTCCTTTAAAATGTGGTCCATGAGGACTCAAGTCTCTAGGTCCTGCCAGCTTCTTGTCTTTGCTGCAAGCAGGCATGAATCCCATCATTCTTCATTGGTTGGGTCTACTCAGTGTTCAAGGCTCATTTTTTTTTCACTTAACTTTGTGTAATTAGTTCTTGCGTGTTCATCCGTGAACAGCATATGGCATGGCAGCTCTGTGAAGCCAGGGTAACCACATGTAACGGGAGTCCTTTTTGGGGGATGTTTCCCAGATGACAGCAGGCGGTGCTCCCAGGTGAAGTTGGGCTCAGCCGCTGACTTCCTGCTCGACATCAGTGAGACTGACCTCAGCAGCCTGACGGCCAGCATTAAGGCCCCATCTGGCCGAGACGAGCCCTGTCTCCTGAAGAGGCTGCCCAACAACCACATTGGTGAGCTAGGCTACCCTTCCTGGCTGGAGCCAGGACATCTTGGGTGGGAGATGGGGACTCTTGCAGTCCTTTCTTGGGAATGGGTAGCACAATGGAGTGTGATGTGATAAACCTGCTGGGTCACACGCACGATAAATGCCCAAGCGTATTTGTGCATTGTGATATCGACACTCTGGATTGTTGGGTGTCAGGAAAGAGGACATATTTCTATTTCTGAGAGTGTGTCTCTCTCCTGCTTCCTCTCCGCCATCCCCTTACAAGCCCCAATCTGTGTTCTGGTCCAGGCATCTCCTTCATCCCCCGGGAAGTGGGCGAACATCTGGTCAGCATCAAGAAAAATGGCAACCATGTGGCCAACAGCCCCGTGTCTATCATGGTGGTCCAGTCGGAGATTGGTGACGCCCGCCGAGCCAAAGTCTATGGCCGCGGCCTGTCAGAAGGCCGGACTTTCGAGATGTCTGACTTCATCGTGGACACAAGGGATGCAGGTCTGTGTGGTCCCAGGGGAGAGGCCCAGAGCTTGTGGGAACCGACTTATTTTGCTGAGGCAGCGTCATCTTTTCATCCTACCAACTCCTTTTCCTTTCTGAGCATCCTTCAAGCTATAGGTCCTTCTGCCTGCATTGTCTTTTATGCCTCATGACCATTGGCAAAAATGGGATTGTCTTTGTTTTTTAGATGATGAAACTGAGGCTTGCAAGGTTTAGAGCCCCCTCTGCACTAGGATCTGAACCCAGAGCCACAACACCTCGCAAACCCCTGTTTTCTTATCTGCTCTCCCACCCTTGTTCTCAGCTTCCCAGCGTCTCTCCAAGCAAAGAATGTTGGGTTGATTGGCCAAGACCATGGTCATCTGAGCAGAGCTTTTGTGGAAATGAAGCATCTCTTTCTGTTTTCTCTTTGAGATGGTTTGAGTTAGATTGTGTCTCTTCCAAGCTTGCCACACCCCAGTGCCTCCAGTCATCTGCTTTCTTGAAGGATGGCCACGCTGGTGAATTCTAGACAAATTCTAACCCGGGGAGAGGGCTGGAGAATTTCTGGTCCTGGTTGGGAGATACTCCCTGTTAAACCTTCGGATATGCTGACCTAGCTGAGGTAGCCAGGGGCTATTTAAAAATTCAAAATCTCAGATCTGGCTGTGGATAAACCCCCAAGGTGGTACGTGCAGTACTTGGAGGCGTGAGGGCAGAAGGTCCTCCCCAGCAGTTTGTACGGGACACATCATCTATGGGATATTAGTAAATATCCTTAAGGAAAGGCTTCTGTGGTCAAAACCAGGTTCAGCAGGTTATTTCACTATGGGGCTTCTCAGGACGCTTAACCTACTCATCCCCCTCTGGGCTTTGCAAACGAGGCCGCCATTGCTTTCTTTCTGCTATGTAGAAATAGATTGAGGCGTAAGGGTCGGATGTCCTTTCTCCATTCATCAGGCTCCCTCTTCCTGAGGAGCTGCTGTCAGAACAGCCTGGGGCTGCTGTGTTGCAGGTTATGGTGGCATATCCTTGGCGGTGGAAGGCCCCAGCAAAGTGGACATCCAGACGGAGGACCTGGAAGATGGCACCTGCAAAGTCTCCTACTTCCCTACCGTGCCTGGGGTTTATATCGTCTCCACCAAATTCGCTGACGAGCACGTGCCTGGTATGTGCATTCCATTCCCCTCCAGGTGGGATGCTTGGGTTTTCTGTAAATGCTGTGCCTTGGCCTCTGGCCTGCTCACAGGAGCCTTCTTGGGTCTTGCAGGGAGCCCATTTACCGTGAAGATCAGTGGGGAGGGAAGAGTCAAAGAGAGCATCACCCGCACCAGTCGGGCCCCGTCCGTGGCCACTGTCGGGAGCATTTGTGACCTGAACCTGAAAATCCCAGGTGGGCGTCGGGGACTAGTAGGGTGGGGAAGCCTTGGCTCCAGCCTTCAGGGCAGTGGGTGCCTTTGGGAACCAAGTTTAGGCATGGCCCAGAACACAGTATCCAAGTCGGCTGTGCTGACCTTTTCATTTCACTTCATTTCATTATGTTCTTCTATGTTTATTTTCACAGAGTCTCATCCAAGAAAAACAAATGTTTACCTTGCTACCTTTTTCCTCTTCCAAATAAAAATAGCTTTATTGTGTCACATGGGGGAAACGTAGATATGCTTTTAGATTTTTAGATTAACTATCTGTCAAATAGAATCATGTCAGTGAAAGAACTGGCCCTGCCGATGCCAGGGTCTGGAAGTATTTAAGAGGTGGCAGCCCAGCGGCATCCTTCTAGTATTTCTCTTTCATTCCTGAAATTAGAACGAGGGCTGTGCTGCAGAACTCGCTGGGCCACATCTAGCCCTTTGGTGGTGAATTGTTCTTCTTGGGCCCCGATTAGCCAGTCAACAGGTCACACAGTCTGTCTGAAATGTGTTCCAAGTTCTTTCTATAAAGAATCCTTCCAGAGGGAAGCCACTGTGAGTGAAAATTTTGAGGCTCCTCTGCCCAGAAGTTGGCATGTCCTGTGGAATTGCACAAATTCTACAGAGAAGGGAAATCTAAATCGTCTTCAGATGGAGCTTGTGTTGCGAGCTCTGGAGAGGGGGTTGTCTTTCTACACTGCATCTCCCATCCTTCCTAACGAGTCACGGAGCTGTCGACTCCGCCTTCTTGGCTTTAGTTAACAGGTTCTTCTTGTGTAGTCACATCAACGTCGGGTCACATGGGAATGTGGTAAAGCCTCATTACTGTAGAGTTCAGACATGATCACTTAAAAAGAGCTTTATTGGGCCGGGCGCGGTGGCTTACTCCTATAATCCCAGCACTTTGGGGGGCCGAGGCAGGCAGATCACCTGAGGTCAGGAGTTCGAGACCAGCCTGGCTAACATGGCAAAACCCTATCTCTTCTAAAAATACAAAAATAAGCAGGGCGTGGTGGCGGGCACCTGTAATCCCACCTACTCAGGAGGCTGAGGCACAAGAATTGCGTAAACCTGGGAGGTGGAGGTTGCAGTGAGCTGAAATTGCACCGCTGCACTCCAGCCTGGGCAACAAAGTGAGACTCCTTCTCAAAAAAAAAAAAAAAAAAAAAAAAGAGCTGTACTGATCGTTTGTAGTCATAAACAGTTCGTGTGCCTCAAGGTGGGGGGAGGAAGTGTCACCTCCCAGAGAGAGCTTGGTTCACATTTTAGGTACAGAGTTGGACCCTGGCTGCCCCATCCTCATAGCCACGTCTGCTCACTTTCCAGTCACATTGGTGTACTCATCCACTGTTTTTGTGGGCATCTTCCCACCTCAAAAAATAGACATCCACATCATCTCTTTCATGACCCTGATAAAATGCCATTTCATTCAATGGAACTATTGGTGATAGAAAAAGAGAGATTCCATTTCATGTCTAGATGCATCAACCTTCGTTACTCATCTCTGTGCCTCAGCTCCCATCATCAGGGCTGCTGTGACATTTGCCACCCTGTGCTCAGGCTGTGGGCTGGATGCCCAGGAGTGGGCTGGGCTGGTGCATTTCAGATGCTGCCATGCCTTGGCAGACCGCCCTCCACATTTCTCCATACTCCCCCACCAGCACTGGGGCTGTCTCTCCTTCTCACTTTGGCCAACCTGATGGAAAAACATGGCATTCAGTGTTCAGTTTCATATCTTCGATTACTAGTGATATGTGTACTGTGTTTTCTTTTCATTTGCTTTACATTTCTCATTTGGCAAAATTTCTGTGCTCTGCTTATTTCTTGAGGAACTAGCAAGTATCTGCAGTGTGGACGTTTACCCTTTCTCTTAAGTCTCTTCCAGCTCTTGGCCATTTTGTTATTCTTTTAGTTACTTAGTACCAGATGACTCTGGGTGAGGCTCGATTTTCCACTCATTACCCAAATGATCCTCTCGGAGATCCCCTCCTCCTTAATGGAGGACAGCTCACTAACTTCAGATGTCCTCCGGACCCAGGTTTTGCGGGGCATCTTTGTCAGTTTGGGCTGCTGTAGCAAAATCACATGAACTAGGTGGCAACCAACAGAAATGTATGCCTCACAGTTGTGGAGGCTGGAAGTCCAAGATCAGGTGCCAGCATGGCCAGATTGTGGTGAGGGCCTCCTTCCAGGCTGCAAACCGACAGCGTCCCCTTGTATCCTCACATGCTGGAGAACGGAGGGAGCCAGCTGTCTGGGACTCTTACAAGGCCACTGACCCCATCACAGGGTCGCTCCACTTTCATGACCTTATCTAATCCTAATTGCCTCCTCAAGGCCCATGATAATCCCATCACATTGTTGGGGGTAGGGTTTCAATATTTGAATTTTGGAGGGACACAAACATTCAGTTCATTACATGGGTGACCCTCTTTTCAACCTCCCTTCCCTTTTCTGTCCTCAGGGGTCAGAGTCATGAACTGCTCTGCCCAGATCCTGTGGGGCTGGAGGGTGCAGTTTCATACTGGCTCTAGGTGATGGCAGTGCTCCGTGCCCCGCATGCGGCCGCCTGGCCTCACCACGGCAGTGCAGGCACAGTCGTTGGCATGACGTGAGCAGCTCACGGAGAGTGATGTGGTCTTGCGTCCTAGCACTGGTGACCCGAGACATTGCTTTTCTGAAAGTGTGGCCCCTGGTCTTTGGTTTGCTCAAAGCTTTGCTCACGCATGGTTTCCCCTCTGCCATTGGGACTTACATATGTTCACCTTTTTCTCTAACTTTGTCTTGTTGCCTAAAAGAAATGCCAAAGCTTCTTGACGGTAAAGGATGATGGCTCTTGTTTTCTACCCTTACCTATCTGTGGAAAGGAGCCCGTCTGTGCATGATGGATGACCACGTCACCTTTGGCAAAAAGTCTCAGTGCCCCCAGCATGGGTGGCCTGAAGGGCCCTGCCCACTCCATGCTGGCCACAGAAGGGCAGGCACCCAGCCTGAAGGGAAGGAAGCCTGGGCACCTCACGTCCACCGGGCTGCACACACCTTGCTCTCGGCTGCTTGCCCTGCATGTCCTGCCCTGTCTCAGGCCCTTGCCCTAACCCTCTTCTCTCCCCCAACCTCCCTCCCTCTTTCAGAAATCAACAGCAGTGATATGTCGGCCCACGTCACCAGCCCCTCTGGCCGTGTGACTGAGGCAGAGATTGTGCCCATGGGGAAGAACTCACACTGCGTCCGGTTTGTGCCCCAGGAGATGGGCGTGCACACGGTCAGCGTCAAGTACCGTGGGCAGCACGTCACCGGCAGCCCCTTCCAGTTCACCGTGGGGCCACTTGGTGAAGGAGGCGCCCACAAGGTGCGGGCAGGAGGCCCTGGCCTGGAGAGAGGAGAAGCGGGAGTCCCAGGTGAGCATTGCGGGCAGGATTTTCACTTGGGAAGAATAGAGTTGAGCCCAGGCAGTGTGGGCACCCACATACTTTTTTGCCCCATTTGAAAGAGAAGACTTCTGATAGGTGGCATTAAGGGCATTATTTAAAACAAGGCATCATGACTAAGTCTGGCACAGTTTGTAACTAAGCTTTGCTCACTTACGTAAAGCCAAACAGGTTTCTTACTGGGAGCCTCCTTGGAGCCCGTATCTTATTAGTGTGCACCTGAGTCTCTAATTGGGGAGCAGAGTAATACGGTTTCCAGAGCATCTTTCAGGGCTGATGTTCTGTGGAACATACTAGAAAGCTACAAAACTGACTGTAAGCATCCTTTCCTGTGGTTGCCGCTGGTGGGAAGATCTGTAGGGAAAAAATGGAACATTCTCATCTTTCTCTGGCTTGGTTAAGGTGTATTCATTTTTTAAATTTTTTATTTAATATCTTTTTCTCTCTTGTTTGTTAGAGATGGGGTCCCACTATCTTGCTCAGACTGGTCTTGAACTCCTGGGCTCAAGTGATCCTCCTGCCTTGGCCTCCTAAAGTGCTGGGATTATAGGCATGAGCCACTGTGCCTGGCCGGTTAAGATGTATTCAGGGCTGGGCGTGGTGGCTCACACCTGTAACTCTAGCACTTTGCAAGGCCGAGGCAGGCAGACTGCCTGAGCTCAGGAGTTCAAGACCAGCCTGGGCAACACGGTGAAACCCCATCTTTACTAAAATATAAAAGAAATTAGCTGGGCATGGCGGCATGAGCCTGTAGTCTCAGCTACTCGGGAGGCTGAGACAGGAGAATTGCTTGAACACAGGAGATGGAGCTTGCAGTGAGCTGAGATTGCACCACTGCACTCCAGCCTGGGCAGCAGAGCAAGACTCCGTCTCAAAAAAAAAAAAAAAAAGACATGTCTTCAGAGGACTCCAGATGTCCTGTGAATTTAGTTATCACTAGTGATGCTTAGGAAACTTCAGCAATGGACCTTGGACCTTGCTTGGGTTCTGCTTGGGGTTGGAGAAAGAGGAAAGGGCTAGCAACAGACGAAACCTAGCACTGCAGGTTTGAACAAGGATGGAAGAGGGACAGGGGCTCTGTGGGGCTCAGTCACTAACCAGGTTTCTCTTTGCTCTCAGCTGAGTTCAGCATTTGGACCCGGGAAGCAGGCGCTGGAGGCCTCTCCATCGCTGTTGAGGGCCCCAGTAAGGCCGAGATTACATTCGATGACCATAAAAATGGGTCGTGCGGTGTATCTTATATTGCCCAAGAGCCTGGTATGTATTCAGGGTTCACAAGAGGACATTTTCCTTGTTTGAACATGATTAGGTTGCAAGGAACAGAAATCCATCAAGTTTGCTGAAGTCAATGAGGAATCTATGTGTATGGGCACATGGGACAGCCTCCTAGAAATCCAGTTGCAAGATACATGGCCAGACCTCTTAAGGGTGGGAACGCTTGTTCTGGTTGCCTTTTGCCTTTCTCCATTAGCCTCTCTGCTTCTTGCTTTCATTCAATTGCTCCATTCTTTCCACCAACCAGCCTCTGTCTGCCCACCCATGGCTACCCTGGCTGGCTGCCCCAGAAGAGTGGCCTTGGCATCTGAGCTCCCTCTAGCAGGAGCTCTTAACCTTTTGTGTGCCATTGACTCTTGCCATCTGGCGAAGCCTATGGGGACTGTTCTTGGGATAATGTTTTAAAGCACATAAAATGAAATATGTCACATTATAAAAGAAATCATTGATATTATAGTACAGTTACCAAAATCTTACAAGAACAAATATGCAACATAGAAACATGCATATCTTCGTTAATACATTAAATCATAAGATTTGGTGACAGTATATTAACTGTCATCAAAGTGACAAAGTAATAAGTGAAAATGATACGTCAAAATAACTGTAAAATGACATAAAAATATATGATTTTTAATGGTGATGTAAGTCATATGTACTTATAATGTGCTGTGATTTCTTGTCAACATTTCTGAAGAAAGGAAATGGTAAATTTCAGTTAGAGAATGGTGAAAATTAAAACGTAATTTTTTCCCCATTGAAGTCCATGGATCTGCTGAATTCAATACAGGCCATTTGGGGACCCTGTGAGCCCCGGTTAAGAGTCCCTGGCCTTACCCCACTAAGGAAATCATATCGGCCCAGCCTCAGCCAGGCGACTCCCACTCAACCAATCAGCTGTGGCCATTGAGGAGGGCTGGGTCTCTCTGAAGGCATTTTAGCCCTTGGTGAGAAGCAAGAGTCCACTCTGGGTCCAGAGTCTCTGAAATGATGGGACTTTCCTGTCCTCATAGGTAACTACGAGGTGTCCATCAAGTTCAATGATGAGCACATCCCGGAAAGCCCCTACCTGGTGCCGGTCATCGCACCCTCCGACGACGCCCGCCGCCTCACTGTTATGAGCCTTCAGGTGAGATGCAAGGAAGCATCCATCTCCTTGGCCGCAGGCCACCAGTGAGACCCCTGGACTCCTGAGGCTGCTTCAATGTCCCCTTAGGTGCTGAGGCCCCTTTTCACATTTTGACCACAGATGTCACCCAGTCACTGGGGAGCTTTCCTGTGGCAGAGTCAACTCCCCATACACTTAGGGCGGATGACACTTGGGGCGAGCAAAAACAGAGCCACAGTCAACAACACACCTTAATGTTTGGGGACACGTTTGTTTTTAAAGGTTTATTTAAGAGAAACAAAGGAAGCCTGTTCATAACTGGTTAAGGGATAACAAGGGCTTTCAAAACAAAACCAACACAAAAATAACAGTGCAGTGATGTTTTAGCCTGCTGTTGTTGGCTGCCTTTCTTCAAGAAAGTCAGTTGCAACTTACTGTGATTCATTAATAAGTGTGCAGGGAACTATATTAAGAGCTTTATCAGTGTTACCTCAGTAAATCCTTGCAATAGCCTGACAAGTAGGTTCTCTTGACCCCATTTTAATGATGGAAAAACAGAGATACAAGGAGGTTTTGTCCACTGGGAACCAGCTAGTATGAGGCAGAACAGGCACAGTGTGGCTCCAGAACCTGTATTTTTGTTTGTTTGTTGTTGTTGTTGAGGCAGAGTCTCGCTCTGTCACCCAGGCTGGAGTGCAGTGGCATGATCTCGGCTCACTGAAACCTCTGCCTCCCAGGTTCAAGTGATTCTTCTGCCTCAGCCTCCTGAGTAGCTGAGACTCCAGGCACGCGCCATCACACCCGGCTAATTTTTGGATTTTTCGTAGAGATGGGGTTGCACCATGTTGGCCAGGCTGGTCTCAAACTCCTGACCTGAGGTGATCCACCCCACTCAACCTCCCAAAGTGCTGGGATTACAGACGTGAGCCACTGTGCCTGGCCAGAACCTGTGCCCTTAACGGCAACCTCTCTAACCCCCACCTGATGTTGTGGCACACGGTTGCATAGTCCATCCCATTAGGATACCAGGAGATGCAACATTTTTCCTCGTCCTAAACAGGTCACTTAATTCAAGGTTGTACTAGCACCTTCAGCCAAACTAAGAACCATCGGGGATGCCTCTGGGTTTTTGCCCAGGACACTGAAAAATAATTAGGTGTCTGAACTGGGAGTAGCAATTAAGTTGTGAAATAACATCGAAATCCCAAAGTATGATTTCTGGGTAAGAGTTTCTAAATAGCCTTGAGCTGCCCCCAGTTCTTGAAAATATTGGATTCATTAAAATCCAATCTGATGTCTAAGATTGGTGATATCATTGGCTTTAGTTCCATACACTTGGTTTACATTTGAGATTCTAATCTTACTCTGAGGGGAACTGGGATACCTCCAGTTGTTCCAAACATTAGTCTTTCATTTAGAGACGTAAACAGAACCCAAACCAGACTCAGTCCACACATTGAAGCGGCCTCATCCGGAGAATACCAAGGGTACTAACTGGTTACTGTGGTGTAGATGTTTTTCTTGTGTTTCATTTAAAGGCTTCTTAACAGAAGTGTCTTTTGTGGCCAACTTAACTAAAACCTACGGAGGGAGATAAACCCAGCACTTATTGAGGGCAGGAGCTGCCCTCATGCATCTCGAAGATTTCTTTCAAATCTGCCGAGGCATTTATCTCCCTCTTGAGGATTTAGCGGCAAGCGGATTCAGGTAATGTAAATGATTCTGTCTAAAAGGAGCTGGTTTGGAAAAATCCCCTCCAGGAAACTTCTGTAGAGTGCTCTCGTCATAGCTGGGTCATAAATGTTTCAGTAAGTGCACAGCAGGCTGTTTCTTAAGCTTTTGTAACCAGCTGCTGCCGCAGGAGAAGTGTGTTCATCAGCATCGCCCCCTGTTCTTCCCGGGTCATTTGATGCCGAGTGATATGTAAATTATTGATCAGAGATTTTGCGGAGGCCCACGCAAGCAACATCTGGTGCTGGTTAGCAAAGAGAGGCATGTATCGTTTTGTCTTGCTTTTGAGACTTTTTAGGAAATTGGAGTAGGCTGGCACTTGGGGTGGGGGTGGGATGGGAGTGATCTGGTGATCAAAGACCCTCTAATTCTGTGTTCTGTCCTCCCTCCTCAGTCTATATCCCCTAGGGCAGCACAGTCCAATAGTAGGTTCTGCAGTGATCAAAATGCTTCAAGTCTATGCTATGCAGCATGATAGCCACTAACCATATGTGACTATTGAACATCTGAAATGTGGCCAGAGGAACCAAGGAGCTGGATGTTTAGTTTTATTTAAGTGCATTAAGTTGAAATATATGTATATATGGCCTCGTGGCTGGTGACTACCAAATTAGCCAGTGCAGCTTTAGGACCTTGCCATGAAGATGTGGTTCTTGGGCCAGTTCTTGGACCTCAGCATCACCTGAGAACTTCAGTCCCAGACCCACTGGAAAAGAATCTGTATTTTAATAAGATCCCCAGATGGTTTGCTTACACATTAAGTGTGAGCCATGCTGCTTCAGAGTTATTGCCTGAGGAGTGGCTGTCCGACCAAGTCTAAATCAAAATTACTGACTTGTAAAATGCTGCTGTTCAGGATTGGCTAGTCTTAAAATATCTCAAATGTTGTTGCTCAGCTTTGTTCTTAACCATCTGAACTTCTAATCCCCTCCTCCCAGAAGAGGAGATAGTTTCCAAGACAAAGTATGGGGAGTGAAACTGATCCAGGGAAGAGCAAAAGCTATGTCTTTCTATGGCTTCTTGTGGGGATACAACCTCTAAATGCATATTAATATTTAATAATAAGCTGACGTTTTCGAGCCTCTCTGTGTATGGGCTAGGCCCTGTGATAAATGTTTTGCATGCACAGCTTCATTTGATCTTTATAGTAGCCCTCGAGATAGATCGTTATTATGCCCATTTTACAGATGAGGAAACTGAGACTCGAAGAGGTTTGGCACCCTAGATATATAGCTAGGAAATGGTAGGAAATCCAGATCCAGCTGATTCTTAACTGCTATGGAGTACTGCCTTCTTTGCACACGTAGCCCTTTATAATATGTTCCTCCAGGTCTGCCCTTGAGATAACAAACAGCATAACATAAAACTGTGTTCGTGTTCGTGAGTGCATGACTTTGTTAGCTGCAGTATCCTCTTAAAAGAGGACACTTTTTTGACCTGGAACATACTGGGTTTTCTGGCCTGCATGGGCATTATTTTGGATGCTGAGATGATAGTCCTTTTGACCAGGATGTCTCAAGTATCCAAGCCCAGAAATCATCTCTTCTAGGCTGAATCAAGATGGTTTGCATAAGAGACCATGCAGATGCACGTCTCTGCTATCTTACATTAAAAATGCAGAATGGCTCACCTGCCCTTTGTTGTCATATGTTATATAGAAAAACCTATTTGCATGAGAACTGTCACCCACAGTTTTGGGTAGGGTCAGTGTGTGCCACTGAGCAGGAACGCCGAGGGCCATAACCTGTCTGATGTATTAAATTCTCAGGAATCGGGATTAAAAGTTAACCAGCCAGCATCCTTTGCTATAAGGTTGAATGGCGCAAAAGGCAAGATTGATGCAAAGGTGCACAGCCCCTCTGGAGCCGTGGAGGAGTGCCACGTGTCTGAGCTGGAGCCAGGTGAGCAGGAGGCCTGCTGGGGGGTCCCAGCACCAGCACTTTCCAGCAGAATGTTCCTGTAAATGTGTGTCCCAAGGGAGGGCTGATCAGTTTCATTACTGCCAGTGAGCCTCTGAATTCCCTTTGCTGTTGCCAGATATTGTTTATAAATTAGGGTTTAAACATGTGCCAGGGATAGGGAGACCCTTTATGCTAGGAGAGAATGCTCATTCTTTCTTTCTTTTTTAAACAAATGCTGGGCTGGGTACAGTGCCTTAACCTGAGAGGTCAAGGCTGCAGTGAGCTATGATGCAGTGAGCTATGATTGTGCCACTGAACTCCAGCCTGGGTGACAGAGTGAGACCCTGTCTCCAGAAAAAAAACAAAAAAACAAAAAAACACATACACACAACACAAAAACAAATGCTTCTTTGTTTTCTGTTAGTTTTTCAGATTCCTTTTGCATGACATTCATCATAATTTTTCTTTCATATTGTAACAACATCTTACAGATTTTTATTCATTGACCTTATGGCACGAGTAAGCATATTTTGATCTCACTTTACTCTAAAGGAAAAGTAGGTTAATGTTCTGTAAATTTAAAAAAGAAAATCTGGGTCTCTAGGCCCTAATGTCCTAAGATTTTTCTTGCTTGGTGCCTTGGTATATGGAATTCTCTGATTTAATCAACTTTAAAGAGACAGTGTTACCGGTGAACATAATAAATTTATTAAGTGTCAGAAACTTGAAGGAAGGTATAAGGCTCAAAGAGTTGCTCAAAGTTTAGTGAAGGCCTGGCCAAAAAGCAGATGATGACCCCAAATGATCACTAGTACCACAGGAGAACTGTGAAGCAAATGGTAAAGATGGTCAGAGCAGGAGAGAGAAATAGTTTCTGCCTCGGTGAGTTCAGGAGGGCTTCTCAGAGGAGGTGACATTTGATGTGGGCCTTGATGTATGAGGAGGAGACCTATGATTACTGCCTTATAGGGCATTTGTTGTGTGCCTGGCTGTATTTGTATAGTGTAGTTGGAAATCTAGGCTCTGACCAGGCATGGTGGCTCACACCTGTAATCTCAGCACTTTGGGAGGATCAGTTGAGCCCAGGAGTTTGGGACCAACCTGGGTAACATAGTGAGACCCCTTCTCTACAAAAAAAAGTAAAAAAAAAATTAGCCAGGCATGGTGGCACACACCTGTAGTCTACTTGTGGGGGATGAGGTGGGAGGATTGCTTATGTCCAGGAGGTCGAGACTGCTGTGAGCTGTGATCATGCCATTGCACTCCAGCCTGGGTAACACAGCAAGACCCTGTCTCAAAAAGAAAGAAAAAGGAATGTAGGCTCTGTGTGAACATTTAGATCTATGTTTCCTAGTAGGCAGAAAGGCAGTGGGGAGCCTCAGGAGGAACAAGTGTAAAGGATGGGGTCAGATCCTGGTTTTAGTCTGAAAGGCCAAGTGGCAAGCTGGTGCTCCCAGAGTGGTCCATTTGAGGAAGCAGTGGCACTGGAAATGGAGAGGAGGGACTTGAGGCCAGAGATCTATGGTGGCTATAGAGAGTGAGAGAGAGAATCCATTCCAAAATGTTCCACGTAGCTTAGTGATTGGGTCGGAAGATGACAGTGCAGTTATCAGAACTAGGGCCAGCCAGGCAGAGGGTGGGTGAGGATTGGTCAGGGCCTTAAAGGGTTTAATATTTTACTTTGAGGGGTTTTGAAGGATCCCCAATACCCAAATGGAGATGTTTACTAGATCACTGTGAGGTTTGGTGGCCTCAGCCCCAACAGTCCCTCACTGGGTACCCTCCCTCTTCTCTTAAAGCCAATGTGCTTCAGGGGAAGCTAACTCCACCCCAGACAGGATTTGAACCCCTACAGATGTATGAGATCATTAGCATGACACAGTTACTATTGATTGCAAATTACAGAATACCCAGCTCAAGCCAACTCACACAATAAAGGGGCCCAGTAAGTTGCATAACTAGAAAGTTCAAGACATCCAAGACAGGTTTCAGCAATTTGATTTGGTCATTGAGCTGCGCCCTGCAAGGCGTCAAATATTTCTGCTGTTCTGCTTTGTGGGCCTGGTTCTGGCCTTCCTCTTGGTGGCAGGATGGCCTTCCTCTTGGTGGCAGGATGGCTGCAGCAGCACCAGATGTCCCACCTTCACGCCACATCAATTAAGAGAGACACCCTCTCAGGATTCTTAGAAGTCGAGAGCCTCCTTTCCCAGAAGTCTCCAGCACGTCTGCCTTCCCCTCTCACTGACCTGGACACATGCCCACTGCTGAGTCATTTCCTGTGGCTAAAGAAATGCCATGTGCTCATTGACTAAGGCTTAGTGAAGAAGGATTTTTCCCTGATCCACTCAGGGACCACACCTGGACATGGCGGTGGAGCCAGCTTCCCCTACAACACATTGGCTTTAAGGGAGGCGGATGGGGACTGTTGGAGGATGTTCAGTGCCAAAGGACGTAGGGTGCACAGCTTCATGGAGGTGCACCTCTGTGGAGACGTCCAGAGGCAGGGAGAAGAGCTTTGGGGAACACAAATTCTGAGAGGGATGAAGAGTACTAGGCACCAGGGAGAGACCGAGAGACTACCTGGAGAGGTAGGAGGAGAACAGGCTCTGCACCCTGGGCAGGAGGGCTTCAAGGAGGAAGCGGCAGTCAGGTGGTGCACAATGGGTAGATGTTCTAGGTGCCCACTTCAGTTAACAGATTACCTTGCTACATGCTGTGACCCAAACGCACAGCCACAAACCTGCCCTGTGGGGGCAGTTCCTAGCTTTGAGCTTAATTAAGGAGCATTAATGCCAGTTGGAACCGTTTTTTTTCCCCTTCAAGTGGCCAAATAGAGAAACATAGAAGAAGTGAGGTTTTCTTTTTTCCCTTCATATATATTCCTTTTTATTTCTTGTTATGCCTTCCCAAAACAGAGACATTGAACAGTAGTTAGAATGGCCATCTCCCAATGTTTAAAAACAAACTGAACTCCCCAATGGGTGAACAAAGTAAAGAGTAGTAACCTGGAGTTCAGCTGAGTAAGCCGCTGCGGAGCCTTAAGTGGTGAGGTCTTCCAATTTCAGAGTGCTGTGTCTTCAACTTGTATCATCATTTTAGTGGAAAAACATAATTTAATTTTGGTGAAATGAGATTCATCTCGTGACAGGATTAGTAACAGCATTCACAGAATTTCACACTGAAGAAGTGAGGTTTTCTAAAGAAAGGAAGTGTTCTTCTGAGGCAGGGGTCAGAGTCTTGTCCTGTGTTTATAGGATTTGCAATGTGGATGCGTTTCCCTTGGGGCTGATGAGGGATACCCAGGGGGTCTGTCTGGTTCTGAAATCCAGGATGCTGAGTGCCAGGCTCCCTGTAGAACTGTTGATTTTAAATGGGCCATCTCAGCTTGGCCTCCATCCTTTATCCTCACTGAACTCAGGGGTGTCCATTTGCTTGATTTCACCCTGTGCCTTTGCTCATTCTCCTAGATAAGTATGCTGTTCGCTTCATCCCTCATGAGAATGGTGTCCACACCATCGATGTCAAGTTCAATGGGAGCCACGTGGTTGGAAGCCCCTTCAAAGTGCGCGTTGGGGAGCCTGGACAAGCGGGGAACCCTGCCCTGGTGTCCGCCTATGGCACGGGACTCGAAGGGGGCACCACAGGTAACCCACTCTTCTGCTTCTTGAAGCCTTAACTGAACCAGCTCCAGGGACCAAGCCAGATGGAAATCCTCAAGCCCCATGAAAGCTTTTTACACGTACTCCCCGTGGAAACTGGGGTCATGCACACTTCGGAGGCGCTTGCTGTCCAAAGCTGTTTTGGGAGTTGCGGTTTGACCCACGATAAATCCAGAGTGAGAGCTCGATGGCCGTGTTATCACACCTCATTACTGTTAGTTGTGATTCAGATTCCTTCCTCTGCCAAGTTTCTTGACTTTCAGAACAGGATGCTGATAGTCAGGGAACACAGCACAGTGTCATTAATTTTGAGGGTTTCTTTGCCTGCACAGAATTCATGATGCGTCCAAGTGGGCTCCTACCCGTCTGTTCTTTCATGGTACCAGGCTCCCAGAAATGCACTGAAGCAGCAATAAGACCTGTCCCAGCCTATCTCCTCCTCTTTTTACTCTCAGATCTTAATGGAGGAGGAGAAAAGACTGAAATGTTCAAAGAATTCTGAAGCTTTTTAGACCCGTTACAATTTACTTTTATTCTTTGCCACAGATGGGACATGTTTGATTATGAAAGATACAGGCAGTGAAGAAGTAAATAAAGTGAGACTCACTCCATCTTCTCTCCTCCTCCCCCACCTGGGTCTGGAAGCAAACGGCTCTGGGAAGGGAGGACCTTCACCCTGTCTGTCATCTCATTGTCTGTCTTCATTCTTGGTTGCTGGGTTGGTTAGCTAATTGGTTCATTAGACAAGCAGACACAGAGTTTTGCTTTTGTCTTACAGAAAGAATCTTACTGTATCCACTGTGTGGTATAGCTTGTGTTTTTGCTTTGACATCTTAAAGATCTTTCCATGTCAGAACAGATCTTCCCCTCCTTTTCCTGGCTGTAGTGAGAATTCCTGCTGTGAATCGCAGTTATTTGAACAGGTGGCATCGGGTGGTGCGCAGTGAGTGCGTCACTGTTATGGAGGCTGCCAGGGTGGAGAGTCAGTCCTTAGTCTTTGCAGGGGAAGTGCGCAGTGTGGACTCACTGGGGCATGTTTGCATTTGGTGTTACTTTGGACCCTCTTGGGAAAGCAGTATGTCCTGGTTTCTTGAGTCTCTTGTGTGTGTACCCCCACCCCGCATAAGGAGAGTGGGATGGAGCAGACTTGCCTCCCAGGGGTGAGGGGTGAGTGGCTGCATGGTTGCCTGGCATCCAGCCCTAGGAGCAAGTGACCTGTGTGGCCAAGGGGCCCTCTCCGGGTGCAGGAGTGACTGGTGGGCTGGCAGGCTGCCCGGGACTCTGGCCAAAGCAGTGGCCTCAGCAAAGCCACCCACAGGGGTGGTGTGAGTGCTGCCAGACTCCCCAGGCAAATCCAGCCCGGCTCCACGCTGAACTCTGGGCCTGCGGCTTGCCTTTTGTGAAAGGCATGGTATCATTTTACCGTAAGTGATGTCCATTTTACAGATGTGGAAAGTGAGATGCAGAGGTTGAGTCACTCCCCAAACAACACTCCCCCAAAAAGCAGTCAGCTGGGAGGAGGCAGAACCAGGAATCAGTCTACATCCGTGACCTCAGAGCCTATGCGCTGAACCCCCGAGCTTGGCCCCCTCTCTAAGTGGCTGGCTCACCCAGAGGCAGTGACTGCATCCCCAGCCCACTTTGGGGATGTCCTAAACCAGGACCCCTGTCCTCCCAGCCACTCAGGAGTACTTTCCAGGCAGCAGTGCTGGCACTTGGGCCCTGACAAGGTACTCACCTTTGAGGGCCCAGGTGGGGTCCTCTCGGCACTTGGAGCGCGTGGCAGGCTTCAGGCCAGGCCTCACAGCAGCTGCTGGGGTCTCCCACACTGGCCAGGAAGCATCTCACCCTCCTGCTGGCTCATGCCGCTGTGCCTGGGCCCTCTCCCATTTCCTTTTGGCTGTTCGCACACCTTTTTGGGAGCTTGGGTTTCAGGCTGTGCTCTGCAAGTGCTGGACGCTGCTGAGAGAAGGAGTTGCTCTTGCAGGGAAGCTCCTAGCCAGGAGGGGAGAGGTACAGAACCGCCTGCTTCAAACCCTGTGTAAATATTGCTCTTGTCACAGGGAAGGCGCCTTGTTTTTCCAGCCCTCCTGCTCCCAAGCCTTTCCCTAAATATCCATTCTGAGATTACACAGCTGCAGTGTGCATGGAATGAAAAGGTATCTGTGCTTGGCCGCCAGAGCGCCCAGTATCCTGACCTTCTGAACAAAGCAAACCTCCCTCTGTTTTTAATGGGTGAGTTTGCTGTATCTCTTGGCTCAAGCTTTAAATGGTCCATTCTGTAGATTTTGGAGTAGGGGAATGTGGAGAATTTGGGGCGGGACCCTGCTGGAGGCGGCTTGAGAGGCTGGGAGATAGACCAGGGAGCTCCAGATTCTTTGGAGCCGCTGAGCAATTTTCCTAATGAAATGGTCCAGGAACCCCAGTGTGCTCGGGGTATACCAGAAGGGCCTCCTTCCTTAACTGCCTTGAAGAACAAGCAGTGCTGCGTTTAACATGCATTAAACTCACAGGAACTGAGCTGGACATATTTGAGGGGGTGGGGGAAGACCGCCACGCCCAGAGATGTTTTGTGGTGTCAGATACAGGTTATAGCTAGAGGCAGTGGTGAGAGACTTCTGCTTGTGGATTTTTTTCCTTCCATCTTCTCTCAGGTAAGTGCTTTAGCTCCAAGTTGGACAGACTTTATGTTTAAATCCCAGTTCTGCTGGTCCCCAGCTGTGTGACTCCAGATGAATTATCTGACTTCACTGTGCCTCTGCTTCCTTTCCTGTAAAACAGGATTAATAACAGGACCCACCTAATAGGCTTGTTTGGAGCTGTAGAGGAGGTAACAGCCAAGTAGTAGCTCTTGTCCCATAACCCCTGCTTTCTCTTTTCCCACCTCGTCTTCCCTGCCCTTTTGGGCCCTCACAGTCAAGATGAACTGATTTTTGGTTGGTCAAAATATTGCATTAGGGCCAAATGGGTGCGGTGGCTCATGCCTGTAATCAAAGCACTTTGGAAGGCCAAGGCAGAAAGATTGTTTGAGGCCAAGAGTTTGAGACCAGCCTGGGTGACATAGTAAAACTCCATCTCTACCAAAAAAAAAAATTTTTAAAGACGAACTTAGGAATGAAACAGCTTGTTAAAAAATGGTGGAACTTTCCCCTGCAGCCACATCATTTCAACTTCACTTTAAAAATATCTTTTTGGCCTGGCACAGTGGCTCACACCTGTAATCCCAGCACTTTGGGAGGTGGAGGTGGGAGGATCACTTGAGCCTAGGAGTTTGAGACCAGCCCAGGCAACACAGCAAAACCCCATCTCTACAAAAAAATTTAAAAATTAGCCAGGCGTGGTGGTGCATGCCTGAAGTCCCAGCTACTTTGGAGGCTGAGGCAGGAGGATGGCTTGAGCCTGGAAGATTGACGCTGTGGTGAGCTGTGATCATGCCACCGTACTCCAGCCTGGGCAACAGAGGAAGACTTTATCTAAAAAAAAAAATATTAGTAATAAGGCCGGGTGCGTTGGCTCATGCCTGTAATCCTAGCACTTTGGGAGACCAAGGTGGGCAGATCACTTGAGGTCAGGAGCTCAAGACCAGCCTGGCCAACATGGTGAGACCCCATCTCTACTAAAGAAATACAAAAATTAGCTGGGCATGGTGGCGAGTGCCTGTAATCCCAGCTAATCAGGAAGCTGAAGCAGGAGAATCGCTTGAACCTGGGAGGCGGAGGTTGCAATAAGCCAAGATCATGGTACTGCACTCCAGCCTGGGCAACAGAGCGAGACTCTATCTCAATCAATCAATCAATAAAATATCTTTCCTTATCATCACCTTACAGCTGCTTCCTGGATGGACACACTGTCTCCTTGTTGCTCACCTCCCGCTTCTTCCCTACGTAGCCCCAGGCCTCAGAGCTGCTGCTTGAGGGGCTTCTTGGCTGCACAGATTAGATACCATGATGAGGTTGAGATAGTGTTGGGGGTGGACCTTGGGGCAGGAGCCTCAAGAGCTTCCAGGAACAGCTGGGTTGTGTTTGAGAGTTGCACGATAGCAGCTCTTTTGTTTTTATTGATATCCAGAACAATAATTCTTTCTCTGGACTAGGAGCTATAATTAAACCAAAATATTTCCCAGCTGGGGCAGTGTCTAGGGCTCTGGCAGAAGCATAGCCCTGCATGGGGATGCTATGCCAGGCATGCCCCATAGAGGGCACTGTAGCAGGCATGCGCCAGACCTGATGACTGAAGGAGGCTCTCCCTGGGCCAGCTAAGTTGTCTCAGGGCTGCAGTTAGGGGATCTGAGGCAGCTCCACTGCCCATCCAGGGGTCAAGAGATGAGCCTGGCACCAGAGCCATGCAGACATGGTTCAAACCCGGCTCTACCACTTTCTGGTTGTGTAGCGTGACTGGCCCCCTCCCTGAGCCGCAGAGTCATTTGTGAAGCAGGAATCACGGAAAGGATTCCATACCACATGCGTAAATGGTGCTGTGCACAGGACCTGGAGCCGGAGTGGGGTACGCATGCCCCGTCAGCGGGAGCTGCTGTTCTGTTCCTGTGCTTGTTGCTGGAATTCACGGCAAAGTGGGTGGGCTGGCAGGTCACAGTGGCTGCACCCGGTCTGCAGCACAGTGCCTGGGGTGAGGGCTGAGGAGGAAGGGAGGAGATGCTTGGCCTCCCTGGCTTCTCCAAGTCTACCCGGAGAAGAAAGGACAGTCAGAGGGGCCCACGCCTCCCCCACACCCCTGGAGGGAGAGCTGGACTCTGGTGGCTGAAGCAGCACTTCAGGCTCACAGTGTGACTCAGGCTTCTTGCCCTCAGCCACAATGGCTCATGCCCAGAGGAGAGAACAGGGTGTCCAGGCTGTTGGTGCTTGTGGGCGAAATGTCAGCCATGCTCCTCCTGCCTTGGCCTAGAAAAGGGAGCCCCCACCCCGCAGGGCCTGAGGTTCTCTCTGCCAGAAGTTCAGAGCTAGTGCCAGTGGGTTCCCATGCCACCAGGGTGAGCCCTCTGTAAGGGGATCTATGTGTGTCCCTCACCACGGCCTCAGTGCTCCCAGGAAAGCCCTCCAAGTCATCAACACAGCATTTTCTATTCCTTTCTCCCAGGTATCCAGTCGGAATTCTTTATTAACACCACCCGAGCAGGTCCAGGGACATTATCCGTCACCATCGAAGGCCCATCCAAGGTTAAAATGGATTGCCAGGAAACACCTGAAGGGTACAAAGTCATGTACACCCCCATGGCTCCTGGTAACTACCTGATCAGCGTCAAATACGGTGGGCCCAACCACATCGTGGGCAGTCCCTTCAAGGCCAAGGTGACAGGTAACGAACAACCACCTTCGGAGTTACTCTCCCTTCCTGGGGAGCTGGTTGTGTCAGATCAATCATAGTGGAAACTATGGATGGTTTTAGATGTGTTAAAGCTACTTTGAACTTTGAATGTCAGTAAATAGTATGAGATGTCAGAGGGCAGTGTTTGAAACTTACAAAAGTCCACAGAGTGGAGCCGTGCAGAAGTTGAGAAAGCATGTTAGGATGTTAGGTGGTTTTCTATCTCTAACAGGAAAGAATACATATTGAAATCTTACGTATTTGTTTAGATCAGGGTCTGAAAAATCCCCTGATTTCTAATTTTCACTTGAAAAATAATCAAAAAGTTTTCCTATACTTATAAAAATGTGTCTCCTCCAAAACACTGGAAAAAATACCAAACTATGAAAACCACTTCACAGCCACCACCCAAGGTAACCACCATAAACACTGTAGTAAATCCCTTCCACACGTCATGATTCACTGTTACATAAAGAATGTAGGTTCATCGCAGGAAAATTAGAAAATTCAGATAGAAAAATCATCCTTTCTCATCCACAGAATCATTTTTTGATATTTCATTATATGTCATCCCAAACTTTTACACTGCTTATACATAGACTATTTTATGTCAATAGAAAGATGTGAATTCCACAGGCACATCTTTGGTGGGTAGGGGGTGGGGGGATTGGGAGGGTCCTTGGCCTTGTCAGCCAAGGCCAGACTCATCCATTTGCCCAGAAAGCCAGATCCTAGTTGTATGGGGGTGGGATCCTAGGGGTTTAGAAGACATTATGGGTGTGAGATACAGGTGTGGTGGCTTTTGTGTTGGGGTGCGCGGGCTCTCCTGGGGTTACTGTGTAGGGTACTCGCCTGTCCTCTGGCTGAGAGACCCCTCTTGATCTGGCCATTCATGCCTGTCCCCCTCCCTCCTGTATCTTAGGCCAGCGTCTAGTTAGCCCTGGCTCAGCCAACGAGACCTCATCCATCCTGGTGGAGTCAGTGACCAGGTCGTCTACAGAGACCTGCTATAGCGCCATTCCCAAGGCATCCTCGGACGCCAGCAAGGTGACCTCTAAGGGGGCAGGGCTCTCAAAGGCCTTTGTGGGCCAGAAGAGTTCCTTCCTGGTGGACTGCAGCAAAGCTGGTAGGTGTCTGGGCCTTTTCAAGGGTGGGGTGGGGCAGGGGCAGGCTGGGCACCCTGGGTACACTGGCCTTCCCTGCTGAGGTCTCCTGCAGTGCCCACCCCCATGTAGGCCAGCCGTTTGCAAGTAACCATCGTCATGACCCTGTTCTCCTGCACTTAATATTTTTAAATGATTTCCTTCTCTTTTGCCTTTTGAACTTGGGTATTTATTTGGGTTTCAAGGGTCGGTTGCCTGGGTTCTGGCATCCAGTACACCTGGGCTGGAAACCTAGTACCGCCACTTCATTCATTCATTCGTTTGTTCTAAAACTTATTTAGCCATGTGACCTTGGAAAGTTATTAAATCTCTTTCCAAAAGTCAGTTTCCTCTTCTCGGAAGTACCTTCCTTAAGGTGCTTGTGAGAGTAAACAAGAAGATTCTCATAGCCAACACTTAGAATAGCCCTTACTGTGTGCTAGGTTTTGACACCCATAACTCTTAAACCTCACAACTAGTTCGTGAGGTATGTGCTGTTCTCATTCCCTGTTTACAGATGGGGAAGCTGAGCTAGGGAGAGGTGAGATTCCAGTCCAAGGTCACCCAGGTAGCAAGTGGCAGGGCAGGGATTCGAACCCACACCGTCAGGCTCTATGAGCCTCTGCTTGTAATTGCCACGCTCTCCCACCTCTTAGGGGCCCCAGCATTATCGTGGAAGCACCTTACCTTTGGCTCTCATATTTCCTCTTCTTCCTGTGCCTGTCCTGATGCATCCGGGTGGAGTAACCACCTTTTGCCTCCTAGGCTCCAACATGCTGCTGATCGGGGTCCATGGGCCCACCACCCCCTGCGAGGAGGTCTCCATGAAGCATGTAGGCAACCAGCAATACAACGTCACATACGTCGTCAAGGAGAGGGGCGATTATGTGCTGGCTGTGAAGTGGGGGGAGGAACACATCCCTGGCAGCCCTTTTCATGTCACAGTGCCTTAAAACAGTTTTCTCAAATCCTGGAGAGAGTTCTTGTGGTTGCTTTTGTTGCTTGTTTGTAATTCATTTTATACAAAGCCCTCCAGCCTGTTTGTGGGGCTGAAACCCCATCCCTAAAATATTGCTGTTGTAAAATGCCTTCAGAAATAAGTCCTAGACTGGACTCTTGAGGGACATATTGGAGAATCTTAAGAAATGCAAGCTTGTTCAGGGGGCTGAGAAGATCCTGAGTACACTAGGTGCAAACCAGAACTCTTGGTGGAACAGACCAGCCACTGCAGCAGACAGACCAGGAACACAATGAGACTGACATTTCAAAAAAACAAAACTGGCTAGCCTGAGCTGCTGGTTCACTCTTCAGCATTTATGAAACAAGGCTAGGGGAAGATGGGCAGAGAAAAAGGGGACACCTAGTTTGGTTGTCATTTGGCAAAGGAGATGACTTAAAATCCGCTTAATCTCTTCCAGTGTCCGTGTTAATGTATTTGGCTATTAGATCACTAGCACTGCTTTACCGCTCCTCATCGCCAACACCCCCATGCTCTGTGGCCTTCTTACACTTCTCAGAGGGCAGAGTGGCAGCCGGGCACCCTACAGAAACTCAGAGGGCAGAGTGGCAGCCAGGCCCACATGTCTCTCAAGTACCTGTCCCCTCGCTCTGGTGATTATTTCTTGCAGAATCACCACACGAGACCATCCCGGCAGTCATGGTTTTGCTTTAGTTTTCCAAGTCCGTTTCAGTCCCTTCCTTGGTCTGAAGAAATTCTGCAGTGGCGAGCAGTTTCCCACTTGCCAAAGATCCCTTTTAACCAACACTAGCCCTTGTTTTTAACACACGCTCCAGCCCTTCATCAGCCTGGGCAGTCTTACCAAAATGTTTAAAGTGATCTCAGAGGGGCCCATGGATTAACGCCCTCATCCCAAGGTCCGTCCCATGACATAACACTCCACACCCGCCCCAGCCAACTTCATGGGTCACTTTTTCTGGAAAATAATGATCTGTACAGACAGGACAGAATGAAACTCCTGCGGGTCTTTGGCCTGAAAGTTGGGAATGGTTGGGGGAGAGAAGGGCAGCAGCTTATTGGTGGTCTTTTCACCATTGGCAGAAACAGTGAGAGCTGTGTGGTGCAGAAATCCAGAAATGAGGTGTAGGGAATTTTGCCTGCCTTCCTGCAGACCTGAGCTGGCTTTGGAATGAGGTTAAAGTGTCAGGGACGTTGCCTGAGCCCAAATGTGTAGTGTGGTCTGGGCAGGCAGACCTTTAGGTTTTGCTGCTTAGTCCTGAGGAAGTGGCCACTCTTGTGGCAGGTGTAGTATCTGGGGCGAGTGTTGGGGGTAAAAGCCCACCCTACAGAAAGTGGAACAGCCCGGAGCCTGATGTGAAAGGACCACGGGTGTTGTAAGCTGGGACACGGAAGCCAAACTGGAATCAAACGCCGACTGTAAATTGTATCTTATAACTTATTAAATAAAACATTTGCTCCGTAAAGTTGCCTTGGTGTTCTTGGATGATGTCGCTTCTGAATAAATTGTTTAATCCTAGGAGTTCAACACCCTCAGCCTGGGTAACAGCAAGACCCAGCCTCTACAAAAAATTAAAAAATTAGCCAGCATGGTGATGCATGCCTGCAGTCCCAGCTACTCAGGAGGCGGAGGCAGGAGGATTGCTTGAGCCTGAGAGGCCAAGGTTGCAGTGAGCTGTGTTTGCAACCCTGCACTCTAGCCTGGGCAACAGAGCAAGACAGTGTAACACACACACACACACACACACACACACACACACACACACAGGCACATCGTTGGAGCCCCAGATCAGCTCTCCCAACCCCTTAAGGGACACAAAACTAGCAACTTGTTTTGACAATGAACCTGGGCTCCTTTTGTGGGGGTGGGGTGGGGCTGGTAAACAAGCTGTCACCTGTCACCCTGCTGTGCTTATTGTTGCTGCTGCCTCTGTTTCTCTTTTTTTTTTTTTTTTAATTTTCCTTTTTTGAGACAGAGTCTCACTCTGTTGCCCAGGCTGGAGTGCAGTGGCAGGATCTCTGCTCACTGCAGCCTCCGCCTCCCAGGTTCAAGTGATTCTTCTGCCTCAGCTTCCCAAGTAGCTGGGACTACAGGCGTGCACCACCATGCCTGGCTAATTTTTGTCTTTTTAGTAGAGATGTGGTTTCGCCGTGTTGGCCAGGCTGGTCTTGAACTCCTGACCTCAAGTGATCCGCCCTGCCTTGGTCTTCCAAAGTGCTGTATTACAGGCGTCAACCACTGCGACTGGCCTGTTTCTCCTTTTTCTAGAAGAGCTTTTGATTGCTGAATGCTTACGAGGTACCTAGCACCCCTCCTCCGCCCCCACCTCCTCCTCCTCTGTCTCCGCCTCCTCCCCACCCCACAGCAGTGATACCGCTTTACAGATGGCACTACCACCTCAGGTGCTGCAATGACATGTTTGCAGATGCAAAGCTCACTTGGGGGAAGACCCTAGGCCCCTGCCTTCTTGACCCCAGGGTGCTAGCTCTACCCCCTGGTGATACCGCTGTGGAAACAGGAGTCCCCAGATAGGCCCCGGCAGGTGCCACGGTGATGGGAAATCACGGCTGGGCCCCCAGCCCTCCAGATGGGGGTTGGGGGTGGAGAGAAAAGCAGGGAAGGGAGACTGGATTCTTCTGACACCTGGCTGTCAATTGGGATCAATTGTTTGCCTCTGAGAGGAGGGAGGAAGAGAGTGGAGGAAAGGTCCTCTCCTCCCGGAGGGAGCAGCCTTATCTGTGGCCTGCACCAGGAAGCACTGCTTCCTGGACTCCTATCTGAGAAGGTCCGTGGGCTTCGGGATTCTGCAGTGGCGGGCAGTTCCCCCACTTGCCAAAGAGTCCATTCAGGCTCTGCCCGGTGGGGTCTGGCCGGGCCACAGTATCATGCTAGTTTGCCCACAGAGGAGCACAGGGCGCAGCCATTGGTCTCTCCACTGTGAAGCCTGGCGGCTTTCTGTTGGGGGAGGCAGCATTTGTAAATTAACAGCATGGGCTTTGGTGTCAGGCACCCCAGAGCTTCAACGCTGGCTCTGCCGTTCATTAGCTGTGTGGCCCTGGGGAAGTCGCCTTGCCTCACCTCTCTGGGTGGTCGTGAGGATCAAATAAGAGCCCACAGGGAGCTGTAAGGAACAATTCCCTGCCAGAGTCTCAGCCACTGCTGTCTGTGACCAACACCTGCTGGAAGTGATGTTCCTGGCAGAAGGCCGCCCCCTGGCTGCTTGTTGGCATCTGGGGCTACACTTGGTTGTCCCCTGCATGGGAGCGATGGTGATGTTACCCTGGGGTAAATTTCCCCACTAGAAGCCACTGCCTCCTGTTACATCAAAGACATCCCAGGGTGGGATGCACCTCTTTATCAGTCAATGGCTAGGACCACAGGGCAACCCTTACCTGCACCTGGGCTTGGCTGCTATGGAAACCAGCTGTTTGTGCAAATACCTTGAAAACTTTGAAACTTGACCCCGGACAGGCCTGGTGCCAGGTCCTTTCCGACTTTTGTGTTTTCTTTCCACCTTTCACTACTGACTTTGCCTCTTTCCTACCAGGAATGGACAGGGCCGATGGAGGTGAAGCGGACAGCAGCTGCACTGCCCTGTAGAGATTCCCAGGCCCTGCCCACTTCAAAGCACACAAGCCCACCTCTTCCTCATCACATTTCCCTTTGCAACCCAGGGAGGCACTCACCAGGATGCTGCCAAGAAGGAAACATTTTATTAACATGTTTCTTTGTTTCCGATGCACTTAAAACACTTGGGCCTCTTGACCAAGTCTAGTTTTAGGACTTCAAAGGGGCGTTGAAAGCCACATTTTGATGACTTTGGTGTAAAATGAGTAGGGCATATCGGGATTTAATTTCCCTTGAAAGTTGCACAGACTTAAAAATTAGCAGAATAGGCTAGCAGAATAGGCCGGATGCGGTGGCTCATATCTGTAATCCCAGCACTTTGGGAGGCCGAGGCAGGCGGATCACCTAAGGTCAACAGTTCCAGACCAGCCTGGCCAACATGGTGAAACCCCCTCTCTACTAAAGATAGAAAAATTAGCTGGGCGTTGTGGTGCAGCCTGTAATCTCACTACTCAGGAGGCTGAAGCAGGAGAGTTGCTTGAACCCGGGAGGCAGAAGCTGCAGTGAGCTGAGATCGTGCTACTGCACTCCATCTGGCCTAGGCAACAGAGTGAGATTCCATCTAAAAAAAAATAAAACAAATAGTAGAATAAAGGTTAAAGGCAAAATGAGTGCTTGATCCTTGTCAACCCGCCAAGTTTATATTAAAAATGGGGAGTGTTGCTGTTAACTGAAGTGCGCATTAGCCTCAGTTCTCAGCCCTATGGAAGTAGAGTCAAGGAAAGAGATGGAGTCTTTCCAAATCTCCATTAACTTGGAGGGGGAAGAGGCTGTATAATCTGTATATTTCACGAATGAAAACTCCCAGAAATTAGTATCTTATGCAGGTATTTTTTCCCTTTCACAGTAGTAAATCATAATTTGAGGAAGTAAAAATGTCACATTGGGGGCAGTAAGGGCTCAGGCAAGCCTGGATTCAGTTTATTTTTCTGGCTTTGTCCTAAGGATGCTGCCTAACGCATGGTGGGAGGAATCTTTCTAAACAAAGAGATCCTTCTCTGCTTCGTGATAAGGCTTTTGTCTGAGCCCCCAGGCCCACGGGGACCGGCTCATGGGCATGGAATTTAGGGAGACCTACTCCACAGCCCTCACACCCTTTTTCTCTCTTCCTCAAGAGCTCTCAAGAGCAGGCAGGAAATGGAGAATCTACGAGCCTGACTTGTGGCACGGATCCACATATCCAAGGGTGTTTTGTATTTTGGACTCGCTTATCTCCCCGGGACAAAGTACAAAGATGAAAGAATCTGCAAGCCTTTTGTTGCCCATGTTTCTCCCTCTGCCCTGACTGCCTTGCCAAGATACCAAAACACCTCTCCCTGTCGGGGGCTGCCCTCCCTTTCTAGGAAGTGGACGTGCTTAGGGCAAAGCTGGTGCTGAACCCCGGCAGGGTGTATTCAGAGGAGGAGAAAACCTCAGCAGAAGCACCAAGTCCTGGAAATGCCAGCTTCAGGCCCAGCTACAAGCAGCCTGCTCCATAGCAGCAGAATAACCTCGTGTAGCAGCAGCATTCAGAGAACAGCGGGTCACATGCTGCAGGTTCAAACCGGATTCCAAGCCCAGCGCTGCTGCTTACCAACCGAGATACCTCAGGCGGTCACCTTCTCTGTGCCTCACTGCTCTCATCTGTAAAATACGGAAATAATGGGAAACTTCCATTCTAAAATCAGATGAACTCCAGAAAGGCATCTCCCCCTGCCTCCCTCCCGCTCAGCACATCCACCCCGCAACTGGCCTGGGCAAACTTTCCTCAACCCAAAGCTGTTGAGAGAGGGACTGCCTGAGTGTTGCAGAGATTCGGCTCCCCAAGGCAGACTGGAAGGGGCACCCCAGCTAGGGAAAGGGAGGCTTATGGAGAAGCCATTAAGCGTGGTGGCTCTAAGGTTGGGCTGGGGATTCAAATCCTGGCCCTGCCATGACCTCTGGCAGGCAGGTCACTGATCCTTCACAGAAAACTGTGCCTCAGTTTTCTTTCCAATGAAATGGGGTAACAGGACCCACCCCATAGAGTGTTCTGAGAACTCACTGACAAAATATACGTAAAGAGCATTTCAGGCCAGGCATGGTGGCTCACTCCTGCAATCCCAGCACTTTGGGAGGCCAAGATGGGTGGATCACTTGAGGTCAGGAGTTCAAGACCAGCCTGGCCAACATGGTAAAACCCCGTTTCTACTAAAAATACAAAAATTAGCCAGATGTGATGGCATGTGCCTGTAATCCCAGTGGGGAGGCTGAGGCAGAAGGGTTGCTTGAACCCAGGAGGTGGAGGTTGTGGTGAGCCAAGATCACGCCACTGTACTCCAGCCTGGGTGACAGAGCGAGACTGTCTCAAAAAAAAAAAAAAAAAAAGGCATTTCACAGAGTCCAGTACATGATAAGTGTTCGTGAAATTACTATTATTGGTGTAAAGGAACTAAGACATTAAGTTCTGAGTCCTAGGAAAGCAGTGTGGTGTGGCAGACAGAGTCTTGGTCTGGGCATTAGGGTTAGGCAGTATCAGTAGGAGTGGGTGGGGTGGGGTGGGCCAACCACAGAACTCTGTCTGAGGTGGGATGTTGGTGGCCTCAGGGAGTGGCCAGAAAGGTGGGAGGAGAAAGGGGTGAGTCACATGCACCTAGGAGGGCTCCAGCCCACATGCCAGCCTGTTCTTGTCCCCTGGTTTCAGAGCTTCACCATTTTCCCTTTGCATAGGCCTAGGCCAGTGACAGACCTGAGGGCTGCTCCCACACTGCGCCATCCCAGGGATTGTTAGATGGATGGAGCTTAAATAAGTTAATAAACTAAGAGTAAGAAAATTATCATCGTAAGTAACACTAACGCTATGCACTGAGACTTACTATCACATTTTTTAAAGGAGAGTTTGTCAAGGCTCAGAAAGGTTTAGTGACTGGCCGGGCGCGGTGTCTCACGCCTGTAATCTCAGCATTTTGGGAGGCAGAGGCAGGTGGATCACTTGAGGTCAGGAGTTCAAGACCAGCCTGCCCAACATGGTGAAACACCACCTCTACTAAAAGTACAAAAATTAGCCGGGCGTGATGATGGGCGCCTGTAGTCCCAGCTACTTGGTAGGCTGAGACAGGAGAATCGCTTGAACCCGGCAGGCAGAAGTTGCAGTGAGCCGAGATCGCGCCATTGCACTCCAGCCTGGGCGACAGAGCAAGACTAAAAAGAAAAAAAAAAAAAAAAAGGTTTGGTGACTTCCCCAAGGTCACACAGGTAGTCATTAATGGTCAAGGCTGTGTTAAAACTCGGTAAACCTGTCTAGGAACGGGGCCGTGAAGTTGTGCACGGCTCCAGACACAGAAAACAGAAGCCAGAGGAGGCTCTCCTAGCGGGCCGTTGGCCTCCTTGGGCCCGCGGAAGGCGGCCCTTTGGGAGCGCCTCTCTGCACCGTCCCAGCTCCGCTCCCCTCTCGGGGAAGTTGTGGGCCTCGGGGGTGAGAGGACGACTGCCTGGGTTGTCGTGGCCGCAGTGACCGCTAGGGGTCGCCTTGGACACGCGAAATACGTCCGCGAGCGGAGTCCCTGCGGTGGGGAAGGCGCGGGCTCTCCCAGACCAGGAGGAGGGGGACCCACCCACCTCTCTTCTTCTGCGCTGGTAAGTCCGGGGGCTCCAGCGCAGAAGCTTCGGGGGTGGGGCAGAGAGGCTGTCTGGAGTTCTAGCAGCAGACTCCGCCCCGCAACCGATTGACTCCAGGGTCCTGCCGCCCCCAAGCCCCGAAACTCCTGACTTCCTCCCTTCACCCCTCACCCCCACTGTCCCCAGTAACAGAGCCAATGTGAAGTGCGCCTAGGCATAATTTACTTGAGCACATTTCCCGGGCACCTACTGTGTGCCAGGCTCGGCCCGCGGAGACACCCGAGTTACAGGGCAGGGCAGGATCAGCTCCGCGAGGCCAGGGCGTTTTGTCCTGTTGTTCACTTGCAGCCCGGGACACACAGTAGGCCCTCCGCCAGGAGAGAATGACTAACTGGTGCTTAGCTCCTGCTCAGGCAGCCTGCAGGCGAAAGGTTCATCAGTCACTACTGTGCGTGCCCCGGGGAGGCATCTCAGACCCAGCTATTCCACTTAACCTGAGTTTCTTCCCCAAATTTCCCAAACCCCTCACAGTCCATTTCACACGTGGAAAGACTGAGGCCCAGAGGGCAGTCTATACATCCGTGGCCTTTCTTGCCTTTCTAACTGGGGGGTCCCAGGCTGCAACACTCTTCCCCTGTGCTTTGCCCCTGGCTAACTCATGTTCACAGTTCAGGTCTCAGTCAAACGGCACCTCTTCCAGGAAGCCTTCCCTGACCCACTCACTGCAACCTGGCTAAGCGTCTGCCTCCCCTTCTAGAGGGTGAAACCCTGAGAGCAGGAAGTACCTGGGCTCTGTCTTTCCTCATCTACATTTTGAGCCTGGCTTGGTGCCTGGCACAGGGTCAGAAGCTAATGACGTTTGTTGAATGAAAAGTGGAAGGCAAGCGGCCCCAGGGCCCTGTGGGCAGCCTCCTTCTCCCTGGTCAGGGAGGCAGAAGGTGTGAGGATCCAGGTGGCTGACTTTGTGGTACCGCCGAGGCGTCAGGTGGGTCCTCCCCTGCCCCGCCCTGCCTGCGCCTCTCTCAAGTGCCCATCCCACTTCCTGGGAGAATTTTGTGTCTGTAACACAAGGACGTGGGTTTTGGGGTTAAACCCAGAGATTCCTCAGTTTACTCATTTGCGAGAGTGACGCAAGACGGCCTGTTTGCAAATCACTGTGAGGATTAAGTGATGTAACAGTAAAGTCCCCAGCCCGGGGCCTGGCATGGAGTAGGTACACACCAGCGGGCACACCAGCCTCAGTGCCCTGGGGCAGTCACATGGTTTCCAAGCCTCCATTGCCCCACTTGGAAAGGAGGACATGAAAGCCTACTAATGGGGAGGATGGTTTAAGGCACACAGAGCACAGCTTAGCACCTGGCACCTCACGGGTGCTTGTGAAACTGCAGCTGATGTTGAGGGAGCACTTCCTCCCAGCCAGACACTGTCCAAGTGTTTTATATGCTGGTCTAGTGTCATTCTCCCAATACTAAGGGTAGTTCCCACTCTCACCCTCCTGTACAGATGAGGCCACTCCGCTAGCAAGGGACAGAGCTGCGTATCTGAGGAGCTGGACCCTAGAGTTGCCCTGGAAACCTCCTCAGCTGCGTGTCCAGCGCTCCCTGAGGCCGGGGAAGACTGGGCCTCTTTTTGGACCCCCATTGGGTGCCTGGCACATAGTAGGTGTGCATCAGAGTTTGCTGAATGGAATAGAGGCTGCAGCACCCCGTGCGCCACCCCAGAGCCCTGTGGGTGTGAAGGTAAAGGCCTGGGCCCGTCCCTCGGGGGAAGGACAGGCACCTTGGGTGGGTTGTGGCCAGGCTCTGCACCCTTTTCCAGCCTGGTCTGTTCTTCTGCCTGTGGGACCCCCCAAGTCCCCCAGGGCAGCCCAGCCTCTCCTCTCTTTCAGGGCCTTGGCAACCCAGCCCTCATCGGCTGCATGTATCCTTGGAGATGAGGCTCTGGGAGCCCAAACACAGGCCGCAGAGCTGTGGGAAGAGCCATTCTTCCCTCCTCCACCTCTCCCTGCCCCTGGGGAGCTGTGGACCTCCCAGAACCAGGCCTGCTGGAAGGAATGCATCCAAAAGGAGGCCACCACCCAAGTTGCCTGGAAGATCAACGATGGCCACAAGTACCTAAGGGAGGGGACCGTGCCCAGGAAGCAGCTCCAGCAGGCCCCATCCAGGTCAGCCTTGGTAGCGGGCCCAGTGCCTGCCACCAGCTCCCGTGATAGCAAGGAGGTACAGGTTGGATGGCCAGAGACCAAGGGGGCCCAGAACCAGCTGTCCAAGGGAGTGGGTGTCCAGGACTCCCCACCCAAGGGAGACAGAGTCTGGAAGGCCAGAAAAGCAACTCAGGGGCCAGCAGGTCAGACCAGGCCGGAGAGTTTAGAAATGAGGCAGGTCTCCCCAAGAATCCTGCAGCTGCTCTTCCCAGGCATCTCCCACGATGGCCAAGGCCACGCCCTGGACCTCCAGGCACGGCATCGGCTGAAGCCCGAGGAGAAGTTCCAGTACCCAGTCATGTCATCCTAGGAGTACAGCTGGCACGTGGGTAAGGGCCACCACCATCTTGCCATTCCAGGCCTCTGGCAGGCAGGCCTGGCCTCCCTCCCCAGCCTCATCCTTCACCACCCCTCACCCCGGCTCATGGACCTGGATCACCTTCCTCTGAGCACATAGACCTTGGGGATGTGCTTAGGCACCTTCACACTTCCAGGCCTTTTCATGCTCTGGTCTCTCCACTTGGGATGCTCCTCCTGCTGCCCCACCCTGATGAAATTTCACACATCACCTCCTCTGGGAAGTCTTCTGAGATGCCTCCAAGCAGATTAGTTGAGCCCACCTTCATGCTTCTGCAGGTTTTTGAGTCCACAGAAGCACTGGGCACACGGAATCACCATTCCTTATATATCCATCTGGCCTGGGGAGCCCTTTGGGTTCCAAGACTTCTTAGTTAACTTTATTCATGCCCTCCCAGCTCCCAGCCTGGGGCTGGTACTTGACTGTGGAATGAATGAACAAATGAATGAACATGGACTAGGGATGAGAACTTGATTTGCAATCAGGAGGTATGAGTTCAAATCCTGGTTCTACCACTTCTGAGTTGTATGATCTCAGGCAAGAGCCTCAACTTCTCTGGGCCTCAATTTTCACATCTGAAAAATGGGAATAACCTAGTATGTGCCTTCCTGTGTCATGGAGTTTTGGGGAAATCAAGTGGGAAAGCACTTGGAATAGGAACTGTCCTCACAAACCCCCTGTGAGGTAGGAACCAAGTGTGATTCCATCATTCAGAATGGAGAGGAGATCTGGAGTTACTGAATCCCAGCTCTACCTGGAAATGAGTCACTGAACAAACAAGCACAGAATTGTGAATCAGTTTAATTAGGAGGCTTGGGTTTGATTTCTGGCTCATTCATTCATTCAGTCTGTCAATCATTTAACAAGTGTTTATTGAGCTCCTGGTATGTGTCAGACACTTACACTTTTTGTCCCTGGGCATACAACAGAGAACAAGACAGACATGATCCCTGCCCTCACCAAAGGTAGACAACAAACAGATAATGATGCGGTGTCAGGCAGTGGTCCACACTACTACAGAGCAGCCCTTTTCCATCTTTCCTATGCACAGGAATCAGCTGGGGTCTTGGTAAAATGCAGGTTCTGACTGGGGCAGGGAGTGGGCGGTGATGGGGGAACTTCTGCATTTCTAACAAGTTCCCAGATGGTGCCGATGCTGCTGGTCCATGGACCATACCTCGAGGTCAAGGCTAAAGGAGAAGATAAGTTAGAAGAAGGAGATGGCCAGGTATGATGGCTCATGCCTGTAATCCCAGTGCTTTGGGAGGCCAAGGCAAAATAATCACTTGAGTCCAGGAGTTTGAGACCAGCCTGAGAAACATAGTGAGACCCCATCTCTACAAAAAAATTTAAAAATTAACCAGGCATGGTCGTGTGCAACTGTAGTTCCAGCTACTTCGGAGGCTGAGGTGGGAGAATTGCTTCAGCCCAAGAGTTTGAGGCTGCAGTGAGCAAAGATTGTGCCACTGCACTCCACCTTGGGCAACAGAGCAAGACCTTGTATCAAAAAAGGAAGAAGAAAAGAAGGAGAAGGAGAAAGAGAGGAAGAAGAAGAAGAGGAAGAGGAAGAGGAATAAGAAAAAGAAGAAGAGGAAGAAAAAGAAGGGGAGGAGGAGGAAGGGGAGGGGGAGGGGAGGGGAGGAGGGAGGAGGGTGGAAGGAGGAGGGGAAGGAGAAAGAAGAGAAGAAGGAGAAGGAGGACAGAAGGAGGAGAAGAAGAGGAAGAAGGAGGAGGAGGAGAAGAGGCTGCTCTGGTAAACCTGGTGGTCAGGAAAGGCCTGCTGGGAGGGAGCATTTGAGCAGAGTCCTAGGTATTACAGTATCTACTCCACAGGACTCATCCACAGAGCAGGTCTCAGCTGAGGCGCCACACAGCAACCTCCCAGTCCCCTCCTGCTCTGGCACATGCGTCTGTGTCCACTGCCTTTGAAGCCAGTGCCAGTTATAGGGTTGCCAGATCTAGCAAATAAAAATGCAGGATGCCCAGTTACCTTTGAATTTCAGATAACAAATAATTTTTTAGTGTACATATTTCCCAGATACCTAAACAACAATTTGTTGTTTATCTGAAATTCAAAGGTAACTGGGCATCCTGAATTCCATCCTGGCAACCCAATCATTGAGGTGCCGGTTCCCATGCCAGGGGGGCTGGGACTGCAGGTGCACACCACCATGCCCAGCTAATTTTTGTATTTTTTGTAGTGATGGGGTTTCGCCCATGTTGCCCAGGCTGGTCTCAAGCTCCTGGCCAAGAGATCCGCCCAACTCAGCCTCCCAAAATGCTGGGATTACAGGTATGAGCCAATGTGCCTGGCCTAGATGACAGACTTTTTTTATTTTTTTTTTTTTGAGACAGAGTCTCACTCTGTCACCCAGGCTGGAGTGCAGGGGTGCAATCTCGGATCCCCGCAACCTCTGCCTCCTGGGTCCAAGCGATTCTCCTGCCTCAGCCTCCCAAGTAGCTGGGATTACAGGCACCTGCCACCACACCCAGCTAATTTTTGTATTTTTAGTAGAGACAGGGTTTTGCCACATCGGCCAGGCTGGTCTCGAACTCCTGACCTCAGGAGATCCTTGGCCTCCCAAAGTGTTGGGATTACAGGTGTGAGCCACTGCGCCTGATGAGAGACTTACTATTGACCACTTCCCTTTCCCCACCACAGTTACAAACAGGGGCAGTGACATTCCAGTGGCTGCAAAAAGACACAGGGAAGAGGGGTTAAAGGCATAATCTGGACCCCAGCTAGGTCAGCCAAAAATGCCCTTTTACACATGTAAAGCACAGTCTAGGGCCTGGCATGAAGTAAGTGTTCAAACAAATGGTAGCTGGTATTATTAGCACTGTAGTTGGTGGTGGTGGTGACTCAACAGGCAGGATTTGCAGCCTATGGGCATGTGGGGAGCTAGTTCAGCCTTGAGTAGCCCCCACGTGCCTCCTGTGGAGCACTGGTATGGGTGGGGTATCCAGGGACAACAGGAGAAATGGGATGTGGGGTAAGTGAGCTTGGGGTGGGGTAGAGTCAGAATAGTTAATTGGAATTGCCCCCCTATCAGGACAGATCCTGGTGGTGCTGCCAAGGTGGGGTGTCAAGGTCTCCGTGCGATGTCAGGCATTACCCTTTGGTTATGAGGTCATAGGAGGGTCTGAGGGTCCTAAGGTAGGAAGGCATGGCTGGTCCTAGGTGGTACAGAAATGTTGCACTTTTTTAACAACTGAAGCAGCTATAGTAGTGTGTCCCTGCTGGCCCTCGGCCCTGTGGGTTGGGGAAATGTGGCAGGAGGAAGGTGACCCTCACTCTCCCCAGCCTCTGCTGTGTTGCAGGGGACGCTATGAAGCACATCAAGGTTCCAACTTATGCCAAGGTCCAGTCCATCACAAAGGTGTTTTACACCCAAAGTGGCATCTGCCATTTCCCACGGCAAACAGACCAGCTCACGTGAGTCCACATGGGGAAAGGTCCCCAGAGCTGCTCCTATCCTATGCCTATGGCCCATCTGGACCCTCCGGCCAGACTCACCCTTGCTCTGCAGCTGTCGAGCCCCCGCCGCCTTGCTGTGCATGGGTAGGCATGAGAGTGACTAAGGCGGGGTCTGGACCAATCGGTGGCCCTCCCTCCCGGCTGTCTGCCTCCAAGGACCTCAGCTCCTTGTAGGGCTGCCTCCGCCCCTGCCGTCATTGGCAAGGCGTGGACATGGGGGCTGCTTTCCTGGGGGGAAACAGTGGGGTTTCCAAGTGCTCCCTCAGCAGACCCGGCGCAGGAGAGGGCTCGCTAAATCCTTAAGGTGCTAAAGGGAGAGAATATCTCCCTGCTTTTTATTTCTCTACATTCTGTTGAAGGGATCCATAGCTGGGTTGCTTAGTGCCAATTTACCCCATAGTTTAGGGAAGAAGTAGTTTACGTTTTTGCTTACCGCTTCTCTCATCCCTCAGAACCTGTGTTAGTCAGGGTTGCCTCACTGCTAAAACAAACAGCCCCTAAGTCCCAGTTGCTTAAACCAATAAAGACGTCTTTCCTACATGGCCGTCCAATCTGATGTTGGGCAGGTGACCTTCCACCTGCTGATCCGGGGACCCAGGCTTCTCCCACCTGGTAGCTCTGCCATCCCCTAGGGCCTCACAGCCCTCCTCTGAGTCCTCTACATCCAGCCAGGGAAAGGGGAGAGAGACTGAGCATGGAGAGAATACACCTGCTCTGAACCGCCTTGGCCTGGAGCTAAGCGGTGTCACTTCCTCTCCCATTCCACTGGTGAGAACAAGTCACATGACTCCTAGATGTGAGAGGGCTGGGTTGATTCATGGAGCCATGCGCTCAGCAGGAAGAGGAGGAAGGGTACCACAGTGGCCTACATGTCTTGTGCAGCCACCATGCTAAATTCGAAGCTCCTTCCGGTATCAGTTTCTTAGGGTTGCCATAATAAAGTACCCCAAACTCAGTGGCTTAACACAACAGAAATTGGCGATCTCACATTTTTGGAGGCTGGAAGTCAGATCAAGCTGTGGGCAGGGTCAAGCTTTCTCTGAAACCTATAGGGACAAACACTTTCTTGCCCTTCCTGGCTTCTGGTGGCCACCAGCATCCTTGGCCTTCCTCAGCTTCCAGCTGCAGCACTCCAGGCTCTGCGTTCCTCGTCACGTGGCTGTCTACCTGTGTGTCACTCTGGCTTCCCATGACTGTCTCCTTAGAAGGGCATCAATCGTATTGGATTAGGGGCCCACGCCTCCAGTATGTCCTCATCTTAACGAATTACATTTGCAGTGGTCCTATTGCCAAATGAGGTGGCACTGGCAGTTAGAACTTGGAAAAAAAAAAACTTAAATATTTTTGGGCCAGGCGCAGTGGCTCACGCCTGTAATCCCAGCACTTTGGGAGGCCGACGTGGGCAGATCACCTGAAGTCAGGAGTTGGAGACCATCCTGGCCAACATGGTGAAACCCTGTCTCTACTAAAAATACAAAAATTAGCCGGGCGTGATGGCGGGTGCCTGTAATCCCAGCTACTCGGGAGGCTGAGGCAGGAGAATCGCTTGAACCTGGGAGGCTGAGGCAGGAGAATCGCTTGAACCTGGGAGGCTGAGGCAGGAGAATCGCTTGAACCTGGGAGGCTGAGGCAGGAGAATCGCTTGAACCTGGGAGGCTGAGGCAGGAGAATCGCTTGAACCTGGGAAGCTGAGGCAGGCGAATCGCTTGAACCTGGGAGGCTGAGGCAGGAGAATCGCTTGAACCTGGGAGGCAGAGGTTATGGTGAGCCGAGATCGCACCGCTGCACTTCAGCCTGGGTGACAGAGCAAGACTCTGTCTCAAAAATAAATAAATAAATAGTCTTTTGGGAGGAACAATTCATTCCATACCACCTCCCTTCTGACAGCTAAACCTTGGTTACTCATATTATCTTGATGGGCCTCCCTCCTTCTCTCGGAAACAGTTCTCTTGCAGAATCCCAGACATGTCGAATGATTGTCCGTGGACCCATCTGATGTTGGTGCTCACAGAATCTGATTGCTTAGAAGGCCTCGGGCAGGTGGGGAATTCAAATAAACATCCCTGCATACAGCTCTTTCAAAACTAAAATGCTCATGGGCAGGTCTTGTTCAACCAGGATATTGTGGTACACTTCCCTCCTTACTTGGACAAAAGGGCAGTTCCTCATGCTGGACAGAGAAAGCACTGGGCAAACGAATCACTATTCCCTGGTCTCTGGTGGTCTGTCTCTTAGCCTGAACTGTCAGAGAGGAGCTAGACCACTTAAAACTGCGAATGCAACTATCTTGTCTGGTTTTCCCTGGGCAGTCTTGGGAATGTGAGTGAGCATCAATGTGGGAATGGATTCCCTTGAGATGCACACAGCAGCCTTGCACAACAGAGCTGCTGGAAAAACACCTGCCAGGTTGAATCAAACACCAAATGACCCCCGGGTTCTCTAGAGTTACTTGATTGAATGCAACAAATATTGATCCAGCAGCTCCTGTGGGCCGGGCCTAGGCTGAGCTCCCGGGGAATGAGGGGTCAGATCTTGGAGCTCACAGGACATAGTGAAAAGGGCTGTATGGGGGACAGTGGACACCTTTGGTGCACAGAGGAGCCTTCCTGAGGGAGGCCATTGTCATTTCTGTCATTGAAACAATGCTCAGAAAGACCTTAGCACAGTGCCTGGCTCTATACATGTGATTTATATTAATAATAATTATCTCCATCAGCAGCAAGTCTTCAAGCTCCTTAGAAAAGGAATGGCTGCAGCATTTCTCAACTGGGATTCTGTGAATAAATGAAACCCTACAGAAAATGACACCAGTGACTTTTCTCAGTCCTCCCAGGAATGACACCATTCTACAGGCATGGGAAAGAAGTTGATTCATTACAAACAGGGGCTGTCCCCGAATGTTAGGGCTTAATTCTTTCTGGAAGTCAGTTAAGAAAGGCTGGTGGGGAGTTTATTTAGGTATTTAATGAATACCTGTTTGATATCTGCGGGCATTGTTCTAAGCCCTACACTGTCCAGTTCGGTAGTCATGATCCAACCACATGTCCATTGAGCATTTGCAATGAGTCTTATCCAAATTGTGATGTACTCTAAGTATAAAACACACACTGAATTTCAAAGATTTAGTATAATGAAATGTAAAATTTCTCATTAATAATTTTTATATTGAATTTTATGTTGAAATGACCATACTTGGATAGATTGGGCTAAATCAGAGGTTGACAAACTTTCCCTCTGAAAGACTGGATAGTAAGAATTTTCAGCTTTGTGGATCACCTGGTCTCAACTATGCAACTACTCAACTCTGCCATTGCAGTGCAAAATCAGCCATAGACAATATAAAAACAAATGGGCATGGCTTGTTCCAATAAAACTTTATTTAAAAAAAACAGATGGTGGGCCAGATTTCCCCCACAGGCTGTATAGTTTGCTGATTTCTGTGTTAAATAAAATATTAAATATATTAATTTCACTTATTTCCTTTACTTCTTAAAATATGGCTACCAGAAAATTTCAAATTACATTTTGGCTTATATTATATTCCTATTGGACCAGACTGGTCTAAGAACTTTACAAATATTAACTCTGGGGGATGATGCTTTTACCCTGGCAGAGGGGTGTGTGTGTGTGTGTGTGTGTGTGTGTGTGTGTGTGTGTGTGTAGGCTGAGATGTGTGAATTCCAACGACAGCCTCAAGTGAGTGTGGAGTTGGCTCCCTGGCCTGGCTTCACCACTGCTGAGTGTGGAGCCCAAGTGCAGACTGGCTTGTGGAGGTTTCCTGCGGGTATCTGGAACTGTCTGAGCCCTTTCTCTTTCTAGGTTCACCTCTGGACTAAAGGTAAGTTCCCCAAAAGGCCACCGGGTGGTGATGTCGGACCACAAGCCATGGTGGTTGGCTCACTGGAAACCTGAGCTCTCCACCTGGCTCTGCCATTCGCTGTGTGGCCTTGGACCTCAGTTTCCTCACCTGTAAACAGGATTAGACTAGACTGAAGAGAGCACGAACTTTGAAGGCAGGCAGACCGGGATTTTAATTCTGCCTCCCCCAGGGCCCCATTGTGGCTTTCACGGGCATTAGGCACCTTTGCCTTTATAGATCCTTTCCCCCATAAAAAATATTAAAATTGTATTTTACAACTATATTGGTATAAAGACAAACATGTTATTATTATTATGTTAATTTTTTCTTCATCCCCAAAGTTCATGTTTTTCTTTCTGATTCTGAAAGAAATTAACACATTTCCATGGGCCCTAGGCACAGTGCTGTGCCTAATGGGTGAGTCACCTGGGTTCAATACTCCCCAGCTGTGTGCCCTCGGGCAAGTTGTTTAACTTCTCTGGGCCTCACTCGCCTCGCCTATAAAATGGAGATGACATCAGACTCCACCTCGCTGCTGCGGTTGGAATTCAGTGAGATGGCCCACGCCACTGCCTCTTAGCACACAGCCTGGCACACAGCAGCCCTTAGCAAATGGCAGCCATTACTTATTATTACCTTTAAGGATATTTTCAGCTCTAGCCTCTAGGAAACTGTGAAAAGATCTCAGGAGCGGGAATCTCAAAGTAATGATAACTCGGAAAAATAAAACTCCCAGGGTATTTGGTGGTAGAGTTTCCCAGAGCATAGAGGGGCAGCAGGAGGAGTTTCTGTAAATGACCAACCTCCTCCCACCTGCCATCGGAAGACGCATTTGAGGCAGGGACATGGGCTGGTATGACCCAGCCAGAAGCTGAGCAGGCCGAGGAATATGTGCCAGGCAGGGAGACCCCTGGGAAAGAGCTGAGTGCGTGTGTATGTGCACGTACACACACACACAAACCTGCATCCATAGATTCTTGTTTCCTCAAATTCCCTTATTTTGATTTAATTTTAGTAGCTTCCCTGAATCCCAAAGATTGACGCCACTGTTGCCAGGGTCTTGGGGACCGTGGGGACCCGCTCCTCCTTTGAAATATGGCCCATGGGCAAGTGACATGGGGATGCTGGCTCCTTCAGGATCATTCAGGTGGAAGCCCGCCCTGATCAGGAGACTCAGCAGCTGATGCAAATGTGAGCCTCTCTCAGCTGCCCTGCTTTCCACCCTCACGCCTGCCTGGGCTGGGTGCCTTTCCTCTTTCCGGGAGGGACGAGGGATGTGGCCCCCAGTTTGTCGCCCTTTCCTGGTTTGGCAACTACTCTTTATACTTGCCCTCTCCAGCCCAAGGGAGAGATAGGAGCAGGGTTGCTGAATTGCAGAAGCTCCCTTCACCCACCCCACCCCCAGCAGGGTCAGGGAGAAGGTCACTGGGGGAGGGTTTCTGTATTTGTGGCAGGAAAGTGGTGTTGACAAGGAAAAGGATGTCACAAGGACTGGAAGCAGGGGCGTCTCCATCCTCAGGGTTACCTGCCAAAATATTTGCCGTGGTGAATGACAAAGAAATGGAACCCTGGCATGATTCCTTGTGTGGCAAAAATTCATTCTGAATAACTAAGCTCGAGCAACCTGCACACCCAGACTTAAAGCGGCCTACCCTTTAACAGAGCAAGCCCTGTTAATACAAATATACAAGTAAGGGAATTTAATTTATCGAGGGCTTACTAAGCATCAGGCACATCCTCCATGCCTTATATCCATCATCTTATTTAAACTTTACCTATGAGGTTGATTCTCTTATTATCTCTGTTTTACACACAAGGAAACTAAAGGTAAGTAGCCTGCTCGAGGTCCCACAGCTGGTAGGTGGTAGAGACTATGGCTCCAAAGTGAGCCTGGTCCTTGCTACCATGCTACACCTCGCCTCACCAAGGGGGACTGGGAGAGTGATTTCAAATCTGGGCCTCAGATCATGTGCCTTGGAATCAACCGGGGGACTTGTTGAAATTGCAGGTTCCTGGGCCCTGGCCCAGACTCTGGGAGACTGGGACCTGGGAATCACCATGGTAACTGGTTCCCTGGGATTCCAGTGCACACCAAGGTTTAGACTCTTTTTTGTTCGTTTGTTTTTTTTGTTTTGTTTTTGAGAAAAGGTCTTGCTCTGTTTCCCAAGCTGGAGTGCCATGGTACGATCACAGCTCACTGCAGCCTTGACTTTCCAGGCTCAAGTGATTCTCCTGCCTCAGCCTTCTGAGTAGCTGGGACTACAGGCATGCACCACCATGCACAGCTAATTTTTTTATTTTTTGTTCAGATGGGGTCTTGCTATGTTACCCAGGCTGGTCTCAAACTCCTGGGTTCAAGTGATCCTCCCATCTCAGCCTCTCAAAATGCTGGGATTACAGGCGTCAGCCACCGCACCCAGCCAAGCTTTAGACTCTTTGGACAAAGCCAAGGCTAAAAGGGTGCCTATGACCAGGGGACACCCATTTTCCCCAAAAGGCCACCAGAGTTCCTTGCCCAGGCCAGGCCAGGTGACCCAAAGGGACAGGAGGATGTTTGCAGCTCCATTAGGTTATGCGCAGTGAGACATGCCCTGCGCTGTGCCCTCTTGCCTGTCAGAATTTGGCCGGAATAAGAGCTGGCAGATGCCTGTGGCTCCAGTAACCTGCTCCTGGGCAGGAGTGGAGAGATGTCTTGTTGGGAGGAAGCTGCAGGGTGTCAGGACCAAGTCAGAGCCATGGACTGACTCATTTAGTGTCTGGTCCTCCTTCCCATTCCTCCCCCACCCAGCATGGAGTCTCAAGCCCCAGCAGCCAGGGTTCTTATCCCAGCCATGTGGGCTTTCGGAGCTTGCAGTACTTTGGGACAGAAGGATGAGCCTCTCTCTCCGGAATAAGCCCATTTATGACTTGCTTGACTTTTTTTTTTTTTTTTGACAGAGTCTCACTCTGTCGCCCAGGCTGGAGTACAGTGGCACGATCTCAGCTCACTGCAACCTCCACCTCCCGGGTTCAAGCAATTGTTGTGCCTCAGCCTCCCAGTAGCTGGGACTACAGGAGTGTACCAGCATGCCTGGCTAATGTTTTGTATTTTTAGTAGAGACAGGGTTTCGCCATGTTGCCCAGGCTGGCCTCCCAAAGTGCTAGGATTACAGGCATGAGCCACCTCGCCTGACCTTGTTTGACCATTTTGGACCTTGGAAACTGGTAAGTTTCCTGGGACTATGAGCTCTGGCTTAGGAGAAGGGTGACAGATGTGTTAGCAGCCTTGCCATCACTCACCCCTCACCAATTCCAGTGAGACCTTTGTCCAATGAGGTTAATTGGACATTTGAGGAAGATGGCTTCCCGTGCTTAACCAGGGCCCTTTTGATTTTATTCCCCCAGTCAGATGTTACATAATTTCAAGTGTCAGACTTAAGGTCTTTTTCTCCTACATCAAAAGTCACATCATCCCCAATATATTAAAGGAAAAAAGCGAAGAGTGGAACCATGCATATGGTGTGCTATATTTTGTATTTTTAAGGTTACATATAGTGCTCATTTCTGTGCAGACTCTCTGGAAAAACACATGAGCTGGGAAGAGGGGCTGTTTCTGAGACAGGAAACTCGGGGATGGGGTCAGGGCACGGCATTCCTTTTCCCTGCTTATTCTTCGGTACTGTTCACACATTTAGCCATGTTCGTGTATGACTTGAACAAAGAAACATCAGGGAAAACAAAGCAAAACAAACAAAAATGGGCACCTTGGATACAGGCTAAATGGTGCTGTGTTGTTGGACTCCAATGAGCCTCCTTGATTGCAGAAAGATAACAAAATCCTCGAGTCCCAGCCAGCCCACTAGGTGTTTGTCACACTGGGGCCCCAAAGACCTCCAACACTGACCTTGGTGACAAATATAATGTGGTGGATGTTGCAATAGAGGTAGGGCGC